>NC_000005.10:150054293-150354611 GCF_000001405.40 Homo sapiens | reverse complement strand
GCTAGGGCCAATATGTATGTTAGGGGAGGTGTGTTTCAAGGTAGAAGAAACCTGAGATTTGTTTAAAAGTGAATGGCAGATCCAGGAGAGAGAGGTTAACCAAGAGTGTAAGAAATAGGGGAGATAATCAGCGAGTAAAGTTCTCTCAAGCATGTGCGAGGGGCTGGGATCAGGCATGTGGGTTGGGGGGGTTCGTCTTGGGGAGGAGGAGGGATGAGTTCTCTAGAACCCAAAAGCAGGAACAAAGAGAGGATGGGTGCAGATGTAGATGTAGGTTTATAGTGGGATGTTAAGGGAGATTTCATTTTGAGCTTCTATTTTTTCTGCAAAGTGGGAGGCAAGGTCTTCTGCTGAGAGTGAAGAAGAGGTGGTGAGGAGTTTGAAAGAATGATCATTCAGAGTGTTGAGAAGCAACTTGCCCACAAAATCCCCAATTGCCTGACAGCCTTGGCTCCCCAGTTGAGGTTGGTGGTCCTTAGTGTATGTGTGTCTCGTCCTGTCCTGCTGAGTGAATTCCTCCATCAGGGCTCACCTACCCAGCTGCAGGCTGGGGAGATGTATGTACATAGTGGGATTTATCCAGGCCTAGGGCTTTGCCAGATGGGTGGGGAAAAAAGGGCACAGGAGTCTAAAGTATTGGCAAAGAGATGCTAAAATTCTGGGTCCTGGGATCTACACTGGGTAGCGAGGGAAGCAAGGCAGATGGATGTTTGCAGGGAGAGAGTGGAATCCTTCACGGGCCAGGCCTTATGAGGGACCCCTGAGATCAGAGAGGGCTGGGAGCTGGAACTGGTGGTGACACCCAGGTTTCTGCTTGGGTGGCTGGATGGGTGATGAATGTACATGATGAGCATACAAACCATTGTAAGATCTAAGATTTTTTTCCACCAACACCTCCAGGAACCAGTTTTCATTTCCTCGAGGGCATCAAGGCCCCATTTGAGAATGCATGCCTTAGTAGAATGTAAACTCCCTGAAGGCAGACTTACCTTTGCCTTGTTGGTTGCATTATTTCCAACATTTTGCACAGTGCCTGCATACAGCAGGCACTTAATAAGTATTGGCAAGTGCAGGAATGGTTACAGACCTCTCCTGAAGAAGAAGGGAGGGCAGGGCAGGCAAGGTGCTCACTGAGTTTAGGCCTGGAGGCAGGAATGTGGAAGGCTTTGGAAGGCAGTGGGGAAGGAACTGGATTGTGCATCCTTGGCTGACCCTGGAAGAAATGCAGAACTGGAATTAAATTAAAGAACGAAAACAAAACCACACCAGGATTGTCTAATACCTTCTGTCTGGCAACAGGTTGTTTTTGTTTTGCTCCTAATAAAATTCATTGTCGGCACTTATGCTTTGTCCTCGGCTCCTGGGAGGCTGTCTCTTCTGTGGACAATTTCTTTATTTCCCTCATTTTCCAAATCATACCCTTCACTGAATTGCCTCAGGGCCCAAGCACAAAATTAGAACATTAAACTGATAAAATATAACATGGCAACTATTAAGACAGCAACAAACAAAACAGTGCATTAAAAAAAAAATTAGCCTCAGAGCATTTCTCTACCAGTAAGAGAAAATGCCTTTGTTAGTGGTAGAAGCCAGATGCTCCCAGACCACTGAACTGCGAGTGCCTCTTGGGGAAGCAGCATGCTTTAGTCACCTTGGATTCCCATGCAGGGCACGGCGAGGTCACTTAGGAAATGAATGAAGGAAGAATGAACAACAGAAGAGAAGGAAGCTCAACAGATGGGGCACTCTACCTGTCTCTCCCAGCAGGAATGGCTCTGACACAGAGGTGGGAGGTAGCAGCGATACAGGGGAAAGGTTACTGGGCCTCTCCCCTGTGTTACTGTCAGGAGTCAGGCCCTTTTCACCTGGCTCAGCTGTGTGACCTTGGGCCAGTCTCTTGCCCTCTCTGGTCCTCAGCATTACCTTCTGTTAAATGAAGCTGTTGAACAAAGACCCTTCCAGTAGTGGAACTCTTAAGAGAAGGGCCCATCTGGGAAGGGTGCCCTTCCCAGTAGCTCCCTTCATCCATTGTAACAACAGGTTTTCCCTGGGCCAAGTCATTTTGGCCAGTAGATTTCCCAAGACTTCCTTCCCTTTCGTGAAATGACACGAAATCTTTAATCTCACAGGAGCTTTTAAAGGTTTACAAGTTGTTACTGAAGTAACAAGTTAAACAATTCAGAGATATATTAAGACAAAGTCCATCATTTTTCCCTCCCTCTTAGCCATTCCCTGCCCACTTCTCCACACTAGAGCCTCTTCATTTCCCAATCAGAAAGAAGCCTGGTATTCAATCCCTTCACATCCTTTCTCTGCCCAGACAAACACAGACATCCTTCATAAGGTTTAGTCCTCCTTCTCCTTTTCCTTTTTCACTTCTCTTTACTTCTTTTCTTTTTTCTTTTTCTTTTCTTTTCTTTTTTTTGAAACGGAGTCTCGCTCTGTTGCCCAGGCTGGAGTGCAGTGGCATGATCTCTGTTCACTGCAACCTCTGCCTTCTGGGTTCAAATGATTCTCCTGCCTCAGCCTCCCGAGTAGCTGGGACTACAGGCATGTGCCACCATGCCCAGCTAATTTTTGTATTTTTAGTAGAGATGGGTTTCACCATGTTGGCCAGGCTGGTCTTGAACTCCTGGCCTCAGATGATCCACCCACCTCAGCCCCTCAAAGTGCTGGGATTACAGGCATGAGCCACTGCACCTGGCTTCTTTGCTTCTTTTCTTACAAAAGGGAATCATACTAAACACTCAACTCTGCAACTCTCTTTTTTCACCTAATAACAATACAGCAGAGCTATTTCTCTAGATGCTGGGATCTGCCACACTCTTTTGAGTAATAGTAACAGCTATCATTTGTTGAGTGTGTGCAGTGAGCTGGAGCTGTGCTTCCAGGCTCTAACACTAACCAATCAAAACCTCACAACATCCTATAAAGCATGTCAAATGGTTGTAGATGAGGAAACTGAGGCTCAAGACAGGCTCCAGCTGCCAGAGGGCTCATAACCAGTCCCTCAGTAGGGCCATCAACAGACAGAGATGGGAGATGATATGATACAGGTTATTCGCCTCTAGTTTTTTGGCTAATAGAGTAGTGTTGCTCTAAATATCCTAGTAAATACATCCTTGCAGACTGGAGCTTTAATTCTGTATGATGTAATTGCAAGTGGACCAGAGGGGATGCATGAGTTTTATTTTAATAGCTAAAGCCCAATTAACTGCCAAAAGGGTTGTAGCAATTCATAGCCTCATCAGCATAATTTCTTATTTTTGTGGTTTTATTTCTCAGAGCTAGAAGGGTCCTTGGAGAGCATCTAGCCCAGCTCACTCCTCTTGCTGATAAGGAAACAGGCCCAGTGACAGGAAGTGACTCGACAAGGACCCCAGCAGGTTAGAGGCAGAGGGAACTACCTGTCTACCTTTCCCTGGGCCATTGCCACATCCTCTTCCCTCTGCGCTGCCCCTGCCTTGTCCTTTCCTGTCCACTCTCCACGCTGCACTTGGCATCACATCACTTCCCTGCTCATTAAACCTCCCCTAGCTTAACCGCTGACCACAGGCTCAAGTCACAGCTTCTTCTTAGGCATTCAAAGCCCATCCCAGTCTGTTCTCTGGTGTGTCTCCTATCATCCAAACCAGCAGCTAAATCTTGAGTACTCTCTGTCCTCAGAACATCTCACTCCCTTCACACCATTTGGACAGAACTGCCTTTTTGCTCTTTGAAGTTTGACTGTTTCCTATTTATGTTTCAAAGCCAAGTGCAAAGGCCGCCTCTGCAATGGTGCCTTCCCTGACTGCCCAGCCTTCCAACCCTGGGCAGTCAGTCATCTGTGTTCTGCAACAAGGTGGCCCTGCCTCCACCCCTGGCTGCTTCCTCCCGGAGGTCATGTGTTGCAGAAGAACCAGCCAGGAGAGGGCAGTGCACAACCAAAGAAAGTTCTCTCAAAAGGTCAAGGTCACCAGAGTGCCTGGGGCCTGCCCAGTGTGGCCACCTGTGGATATCAGGTTCCACCCCAGTGGCAGGACCTTTGGCTAGCTCCACCCCTCCGTGGGCCTCAGTTTGCATCTCTGTGCAAAGGCAGGGTTGGACTAGCTCAGTGTTTCTGAAAGTGTGGTGATGCACAAAGTGACTTCAAGAGATAAAAAGATGGACATTTTAAAATGGAAATCATTATGTATTTATTTTAATGTGTATTAGACAAAAAATAACTAGCACATCAAACCTGTTATTTCGCAGATATTATTGCTTAGAATGGGGCTAAAGTAGGCATTCAAGTAAAAAACAGTGAGTCAATGTAAAAGAAAGTACCAATTAAATAATATACAGGTGGTAAGACAGCAGTGAATGGCTGCAATCGGGAAAACATTAGTCTGCTTTGATGTTCTAGAATGCTGTGATTTGCAGACTCCTGCCTTTGGTAGGGGTGGAGACAGGGAGAAGGAGCTGCTCCAGGGCTGGAAGGCTGGGCCTTGGGCAGAGGGTCAGGAACTCAGCAGATGGGCCCTGTGCCCCTGCCCCCCAGACCCTCCTCCACCTGTGGAGGGTACGAGGGCTGGCTCCCCCTCCCACCTTCTTTCTCAGCTTCTCTGCGGTTACTAAGGAGTGGGAGGCTGAAAGGGGCCTCATTCTGGAAGCTCATCTGCTCCCTCATTCTCACCCAGCACCCTGCTTGGCATAAACTATTCAGGGTGATGATGATTAACAAGGATGCAGGAAGGCACTGGGGGTGGGGAGAGAAAATAGGCGATGTGGACAGAGTTTGCTCACATATCTGAATGTCCAACCTGCCACGATTGTCTAATGATTCCTAAGCTTAGCTGTGCAGTGGAATCACCCGGCTAGTCAATGGAAATACAATTCCAAGGCCTCACATCAAGCAACTCCCATTTTGGGACCCCCACATCTGGGCTTTTAAAATCTCTCTAGTGGATTCTGAGGCTTCAAGGTTTCGAAGTGCACACCTCCCTCAGTGTACCTGTCGAGATTCAGAGAGGTTGTGTCACTTACTCAAAGTCACCCAGCAAGTCAAGAGCAGTTGTCCTGACTCCCAGCTCAGTTCTTCCCACTGAGTGTCCCTTGTTGAGCCTAGTCCATGGTTAGCAAAGACAACTCCGCTGAAAAAGTGGTGGGGTTTCTTTGAGCCTCCCTCTGGGCTTGTCAAGGACTTTCTACAGAAGAAAACAGGCTGTATGAGCTACCATCTGCTGAGAAGGCCAGACGGGTGGCGAGGGATGGTGGTGGGAGAAGGTGGAGGGAGATGCCAATGGAGGGGGTGGCTGGGAGACGCGGCCTCCTCTCACAGTTGCCAGCCTGAACAGTCAGCCTGCTGAGGGCAGGAGCTAGTCCGCATGCATGCCATTAGCCATTGGATTTTCACATGGGATCCTTAAGGAAGAGAATTAGGGCCAATGAATGGGAAGTTAATTCCAGATGAAACTCTCAAACAGTAATCAGTGACCTGGAAGACAATTGACCTTAGGGCAACTGTCCAGCTCCCTGATTTTTAATAACTAAGATATTTGGCATGTGAAAAATGCAGGGACACACACATACAGTTCCATGTTCCCATGATCTAGATTTCTTTCTTTCTTTTTGAGACAGAGTCTTGCTCTGTTGCCCAGGCTGGAGTATAGTGGCACGATCTTGGCTTATTGCAACCTCTGCCTCCCAGGTTCAAGCAATTCTCCTGCCTCAGCCTCCCAAGTAGCTGGGATTACAAGCATGCGCCACCAAGTCCAGCTAATTTTGTATTTTTAGTAGAGATGGGGTTTCACCATGTCATCCAGGCCAGTCTCGAACTCCTGACCTCAGGTAATCCAAATGCCTCAGGCTCCTAAAGTGCTGCGAAAGGTGTGAGCCACCATGCCCTGCGTAGATTTCTTTTACTTTTTTTTTTTTTTTTTAGAGACAAGTGTCTTGCTCTGTCACCCAGGTTGAACTGAGATGGTGATCATAGCTCACCGCAGCTTGAAATTCCTGGGCTCAAGCGATCCTCCTGTTTCTTCCTCCAGAATAACTGGGACTACAGGCACACACCACCATGCCCAGATAATTTTTAGAAACTTTTTGTAGAGACAGGATCTTGCATTGTTGCCCAGGCTGGTCTCGATCTTCTGGCTTCCAGTGATCCTCCTTCTGCCTTGGCTTCCTAAAGTGCTGGGATAAGAGGTGTGAGCCACAGCAGCCGGCCTAGATTGTGAAAAAAGACATTTCAAATACATAAGAGCATCTCAGTTCATTTCCCTTCCCTTTGCCCAGAGATAGTCACCAGCCCATTCCCGGAAGTTGGCATGAGTTGTTCCTGCACATGTTTATGTATACATGCTATACATGTATTCATTCATAAAACATAGAAAGTGTTGCTTTGTAGCTTTAAACTCTTTGTAAATGACATAATATTGTGCATAGCCTTCTGCAACTTGCTTGTTTTCATTCAACATTGTGTTTGAAATTTATCCACATTTGATGTGCAGAGCACCAGTATACACATATCCACTATTCAATCAATTTCATTGTAGGGGCATGTACTACAGTTTATCAATCCATTCTCCTGTTGATGGGCATTTGAATGATGTCCAATTTTCCATAATAAAAACCGCACTGCCGTGACCATCCTCATGCGTGTCTTGCATGTGCCTGGGGAAGAATGGCCGGGTGTGTGAGTATCTTGGGGCTCCCTGCCATTGCCTGACTGTATCTGAAAGGGTCAGTTTCTGTGGCTCCACATCCAGACTTGACCTGGCAATAGTCAGACTTTGGGATGTTTATCACTCTGATGGGGGCCAAATGTCTCTCGTTCTTGTTTTTAAGTTCTATTTCTCTGAAGAGTGGAGTTAAACCGTTTTCATAATTGTGCTAGTGGTTTGGATTTCCTCTTCTGTGGATCGCCTCTTGTACCCCCTGTCCGTGTTTCCATGGTGCTGTTCGTGTCTTTCTTATTGATTTGCAGGAGCTCTAATCTTGTGGTCTGCTGCGACTGTCTTTTGTTAGTCTGTGAATTATTTTTTCACTTTATGTATGCAGTCTTGCGATGCACAAAGGCTTTAGGTTTGAATATAATGAACTGCGTCAATGTCTTCCTCTATTGTTTGGGGTTCTACAATCCGCAGCAAGCTGAGGCCATTTCTTGGTGTGGCACCCTCCTCAGGAGGCCTTGACCTCAGGTGGAATGTTAGCACGGGCTTTAGAGCAGGGCCCACTTGGGTTGAAATTCAGGCTGAGTGATTTATAGGCTGGTGAACTTGGGGATAAGTCATTTTACCTTTGGGTTTCAGCTTCTTTACTTGTAAAATAGGGAAGAGAACTGTCTTGAGCTCTCAGGGGTGTTATGAGGCTGGAGGAAGCAGGTCAAGGCACAGTGGGAAGTCTTGAAATCCCCCAGGGAGAGGGAGGACTCACTGAGAAAAGCCTCAGAAGACGCTGCTCCCTGAGAGCCATCCAGTGTGAATGTCCTAATCTTGCCTGGCCCCAAGATTACAGTCTCTTCAAATCTAACTTTGCATCTGCAAGTGGAGCTGAGTCTCTGGAGGAGCTGGGACATGCGAGACATGAGACACCAGTCTCCCTCCTTTTCCCTCCCACCCATGGCCCTGGGTTCTGAGCTGTTCCTGGGGCCATGCTTGGTGACTCTGGAAGCAGGAACTTATGGAAGTGGCATACGTGATGTCTCAAGAAAACCGGAAGAGGACGGAGGATGTATCCCATGGCCTCCATACACCATGGCCACTCAAAGCTGCCCAGTCACCCTCGCAGCAGGGTGGGGAGGGCATCTGAGGGCTCCAAGAGAATATTTGTCTGGGGAAAGAAAAGGACACACGTGCCTGGTGACTCTCACTCATATGTGACCACGTGCCAGCCCACACAAACAGGTCTCTTGAGGCCATGGCAGGGGGCTACCCCATCACCTCTGAGCAGTTCAATCCTGGGCACAGCATACACAGGAACAGGTTTGGAGGGGAGGTGGGCAGAGGCCTCTGGGTCCAGCAGCCTCTTGGACAAGGCCATAGAACCCATGGCAAATAGGTCTGGATGATGCCTCCTTCTTCGTCCCACTTACTGACCGCGAGTCACCCCACCATCACCACCTCTGAAAGGTCAGCCTGCTCACACGGCCAGAGCACTGGATTCCAGTGGAGAATGTAGTTCAAAAACTGAAACCTGTTTTTGGAGAAGATGATGTATACACATGATGCAAACGTGTAAAGGTATGCAAAGGGTACCGAGAAAAGTAAATCTCCTGGGCTCCCATCCTCTGTTCCCCAGCTTCTCGGTTCTCTTCCCAGGAGGATGCAATATTACCAGGGCTTAGATATGACTGCATACACACACACACACACACACACACACACACACACACACACACACAGAGGCACACAATATTGATAGTAGTACATTATATACACCAAGGTAAACCTTGCTTATTTTTTCACCCCATCTTCTCTCCCACAAATGTGGACCTGGAATGTAACAGGCGAGAGTGAATGCAGAACGGATGCATTAGTGGATGAGGTGGTGGAAGGATGAACAATGTCCGTCCAGGTGCAGGCTTTTTCTACTCTGTGTTTTGAGACTCATCCTGTCCCTGAGAGGATCTCTCTCCTTTGGCCCATTGCTGCAGGTGGGTAAATTCAGGCCTTCTTGACCCTGGCACAGAGCCATAATGGGGGAACTAAGTGAACCAGGCAGCTGAACAGCTTAATTGTCATTTCCACCAGCAGATGGTTACCAGGGAAACTCAAAGAATGTTAGAACAGGGACGGGTTTTCAGGCAATGTGGAGGCAGCCTGACAGAATCTCAGAATGGGAAAGGGGACGGTTCCGACAAGTTCTTCAAGAGTTTGATTTTTAATTTTCATTTCAATGATAATCTAAAATAATTAAAGATTTTAACCGGATGCAGTGGCTCATGCCTGTAATCCTAGCACCTTGGGAGGCCAAGGCGGGTGGATTGCCTGAGCTCAGGAGTTTGAGACCAGCCTGGGCAACCCGGTGAAACCCTGTCTCTACTAAAATACAAAAAATTAGCTGGTGTGGCAGTGCGCATCTGCAATCCCAGCTACTCGGGAGGCTGAGGCAGGAGAATTGCTCGAACCCAGGAGGTGGAGGTTGCAGTAAGCTGAGATTGCACCACTGCACTCCAGCCTGGGAGACAGAGTGAGACTCGATCTCTAAAAAAAAAAAAAAAAGAAAAATTTTAGGCCAGGCACAGTGGCTCACGCCTACAATCCCAGCACTTTGGAAGGCTGAGGCGGGTGGATCACCTGAGGTCAGGAGTCCGAGACTAGCCTGACCAACGTGGTGAAACCTGCCTCTACTAAAAATACAAAATTAGCTGGGTGTGGTGGCAGCGCCTGTAATCCCAGCTACTTGGGAGGCTGAGGCAGGAGAATCGCTCTAACCCGGGAGGTGGAGGTTGCAGTGAGCTGAGATTGCACCATTGCACTCCAGCCTGAGCAATGAGAACGAAACTCTGTCTCAAAAAAAAAATTATATTTTTCGATAATTTGAACATCTGCCTTATAACATTGTATGGACAAGTGATTTCAATGCTGTGTTGATGTTTGCCTTTGTGATCACACTGGCGCTGGGGTAATCAATGACTTTACAGCCACCTGAATAAACCAAGATTTTGCTGTAAATCAAACTTAGAAGGTTCTTAAATTTGTGTCTGCAGACTCCTAAGATTTCTGGGCATATTCTTGGGCCAGTGAGAATTATTTTGGAGGCATCTGTATGTTACTCAAGTATGAGAAACCCTGGTGAGGACAAAAGGACCCCAGGCAAGAGTTGGAAGCTTGGATTCGGCTCCTGTCTCTGCCTCTTCTTATCAATTGGGTCACTTGGACTCTTCTGTCTCTTCTGCTTTAATTTTTCCACCAGTAAAATAGGATCAAAATGCCTTCTTCACAGCATATTAAGAACACAAAATGAGGTAGTGAATGTGAAAGTTCTGACTTTGTAAGCATCAAGCATTTCATCTTATAAAGGAGGGAAACAAGACTTGAAGAGGTGAAATGACATCTCTGTTATCAAACCATCATCGGCAGAGCTGGGCTGGGAGCTTGGGCTTCTAACCCTCAGTTGCCCTGGGCACGTTGGCCACTAGCAGTAATGGTGTGACTAATTCTGGAAAGCGTAATAACATCTCAGGTGGGGCCTTTTGCTATTTGGGCAAACATGCTATCTTTATTTTTATTTGTTGAGAAGATTAAATTAGGGAAGCCAAACAAATAAATAAGCACATTGAATTTCCCACAGCTATACCTCTCTTCCTGGAGCAAAAACAAACTCTTTCCTCAGGCAGAAGGTCAGACAGGAGGCATGTGGGGACAAAACACCCAGGTACTTCAGTGTCAGCCTCCTGGATTTGCTGTTTTGCTGGGTTGAAGGGCCACTGAGCCAGGCGTGTGGGCTTCATGTCAGCACCCAGCTGCTCTGAGGAATGTGTTTCAAGGTTGGGGGCACCCAGGGCAGGCTGAGAGTTCCAGAAAGCAGGGACTTTGTGTGGCTACTGCTGTTTCTCCCAAGCTCAGCTCGGTGCCTTGCACATATGGGTGTGCAATCAATATTTAAAGAATAAGGCCGGATGCCGTGGCTCATGCCTGTAATCTTAACACTTTGGGAAGCCGAGGGGAGTGGATTGCCTGAGCTCAGGAGTTCGAGACAAGCCTGGGCAACATGGTGAAACCCAATCTCTACTAAAAATACAAAAAATTAGCCGGGTGTGGTGGCACATGCCTGTAATCCCAGCTACTCGGGAGGCTGAGGTAGGAGAATTGCTTGAACCCGGGAGGTGAAGGTTGCAATGAGCCAAGATCGTGCTGTTGCACTCCAACCTGGGGGGACAGAGCGAGACTCCATCTCAAAAACAAAACAAAACAAAACAAAAAACAAAACATAGGAATAATGGAAGGAAGGAATGAATGACTAGAGTCACAGTCTTTGTGTTAAAATATTTGGAGTGGTCTCAGAGAAGATGTATCTTGCAAGTCCAGGTTCAAAATCAGGAGATCAGGAAACAAGGGATCTCAGGGCAAAATGGTCTTCTGGCCTGGATTTCAGGAATCAGGGAGGTAAGTAGGAAGTGAGGCTCAGTGCAGAGGCTGAAGTCAGTCACAGTGGATCGACTGACTGCTTTGCTGTATCAGTCTGTTCACTGAGCGTCTTCCTCTGTGTCAGGCTCTGTGCCAGTTGCTGGGGATCCCAAGTGAAAAAGGCCCACATGCCAAGAACTCCCACCTATGGTAATGTGCCCCTACTAGTGAAGAAGAGTTTGGACTTTGAAATCACAAAGACATGGGCTCAAACCCCAGCTCTACGATGTATGACGTTGGGCAAGTTATAGTACTTCTCTACGTTTCAGTTTCCTTACCTGTAAAATGGGATTAAGAATGCTAACTGCTACCTTGAATGGTAAATAAGATACAACCCTAAGGCACAGAGTGAGCATGACCATCTGCCTGGGCTTGGATCCCACTAGAAAATGAGCCTATCTCAGGTCATGAGGTCAGGAGTTCAAGATCAGCCTGGCCAACATAGTGAAACCCTGTCTCTACTAAAAATACAAAAATTAGCCAGATGTGTAGTCCTGTAGTCCTGTAGCCAGACCTGTAGTCCCAGCTACTCGGGAGGCTGAGGCAGGAGAATCGCTTGAACCCGGGAGGTGGAGGCTGCAGTGAGCCGAGACCTCACCATTGCACTCTGGCCTGGGCAGCACAGCAAGACTCTGTCTCAAAAAAAAAAAAAAAAAGAGCCCATCTCTTCTGTCTGCCCTGAACCCTGCAGGAGCTTCTTTGAGCTGACAGAAGGAAGTGGCTTGGTTGGGCATCTCCCTTGCATGGACCTGAGGTTATTTATAGTTGTTTGGTTATTGTGGTTGTTGTGGTTATTGTTGTTTCTATTAAGAAGATTGATTCTACGAATAACCTTGTGCATTTCTCTTGGTGCATGTGAGCAAGGGTTTCTCTAGGGTGGACACAATAAAAATAAACAACTGGAGAGGTGAGGGCACTGAGCAATCAGAATGGACGCTGTGGAGCTGGAATGTGGTCCTGGGGGTAGTCTATGGGGTATTAACATTTTAGTTGTTGGATCATGGGGAGTTTGGGTGGATACCTAAAGGAAAGGCTGGGGGCAGCTGGATCACAGGTGGTCACAGGTAAATGGGTGGGGGAGACTTGGAATAGTAGCTATTTACCAACTGGCATGGAAGAATTTCAAGATTCTATCAACCAGTGTGTTCACAATGGTAAGCATGGGTGTGTATGTGCTTGGGAGTATATGTTGCCTAGGAGGGGAACTGTGAGACTGCAGGGAAAGTGATCGATCAGCTTTACAAGATCATACTGGAATGATTTTCCAAGTCACTTATTCCCATAGACATTCCTCCCAGCAGTGTATAAGCATCTGGTTGATCCACATCCTTGCCAACACTTGGTATTGTCAGGCTCTTTAATTACTTGCCAATCCAGTGGGTGTAAAAGGATGTCATAATGGTCTCAATTTGCATCTCTCTGAATTCTAATAAGGTTGAATATCTTTTCATATGTTTATGGGCCTAGAGCTGTTTGCTTGAAAGTCCTGGGTCCTATATATATTAAATATGTGCAGTTTTTGTTTATCAACTACACCTTAATAAAGCCATTAACACACACACACACACAGACACACACACACACACACACACACACACCACAAAGGCCTGTAATTTTATCCCTAATACAATGGCTAACAGTTAATAGGTGCTCAATAATATTGAATTAAAAAAAAGGGGAGCCTGGTTCCCTCACACCACAGTGAACATTCCACTAAATGCCTTGGACAGCAGCCAGGTAGAGCGGTAAGAGCACAGGACAGGGAGCAAGGATACCTGGGTTCCAGCCTCAGGATGACCACACCATAACTCTGTGGCCTTAGGCAAGGCGCATTGTGTTTTCTGACCTTCACATTTAGAATTGGCCAAGTTGAGGAGAGGCTTAGTCTGCTCACAGGGAGGGCAGTTAAGGGATCAAGTGAGATTATGAAAATCGATGTGTTTTGGGGACTGAAAAGTCCTGCACCAGTCAGGGATTAGTGTTCCCTCTCTGAAGACAATTTAAGAGGCTCTGGAGCGCAAGGGAGCAGGAGCAGCCAGCCAACCTCCAGCAGGCAAAGAGCATCAGCACCAAGGCTTAAATGCACATCTTCTTCCTTTACACAGCCCTCACCTCCAGGCACCCATCAAGCAGAGGAGGAGCCAAACTCCATTAACTCCTGACCTAAGCGTGCCTTAGGCTACCCTGAGGGTCCATGGGAACCAAAACTTGTGCCAGCCTGCTCTAATGTGAAGCCAGTGGCTCCCTGGTACCTGGTCCTTTCCTGGGAGACCTGACACTGCAGGCTGTTGGACCCACAGGCAGCCACAAGCTTAGCTCCTTAGGCCGAGATGCAGCAATGTGGCCAAGCCATCAGGTCTAATATGTAGGCTCATGGCTCTGTCCTGTGTTCCTTCTGGCCCCACGTGCCTCACTTGTTCAATGGCACGACTGTTAGCTACACAGGCATTTCTGACAGCATGTGCTTTGTGACATTCACCACTGTGGATGATGGTTAAATGGGGGTGGAGGAGGCATGGATAGGGGAAGTTTCTGTGGTCAGGTTGAAACATTGAGTAAAATTATTTATGCAGCTAACATTTACTGATTGTGACAGATGCTGGGCTAGGCATTTTATAAGCATTGCCTCTTGACGGTTTTTTTTTTTTTTTTTGAGATGGAGTCTTGCTCTGTTGCCCAGGCTGGAGTTCAGTGACGCAATCTCAGCTCATTGCAACCTCTGCCTCCTGGGTTCAAGCAATTCTCCTGCTTCAGCCTCCTGAGTAGCTGGGATTACAGGAGCATGCCACCACACCCAGCCAATTTTTTTATTTTTAGTAAAGATGAGGTTTCACCATATTGGCCAGACTGGTCTTGAGCTCCTGACGTCAAGTGATCCATCCTCCTCGGCCTCCCAAAGTGCTGGGATTACAGGCATGAAGCACTGCGCCCAGCCATCCCTTGACTTCTTACAATAACCTTAGGAAGCAGGAACTATGATTGGCTCCATTTTACAGGTAAGGAAACAGGCTTTGCAAGGTTAATGACTTACTCAAGCGTCCCTCAACTGATAAGTGGCAGAGCCATGATTCAAACCCAGGCAACCTATTTCCAGATCTCTCGTTCTTCACCAGGTTGAATGAACAGGACTTGCTGACTGGTCAGAGTGTGGGGGCTTCGGGAAGGAGATGGAAGCATTCATGTATCTTTCTTTGATTCATCTCAGTGTCAGTGTCTTGGGAGCTGGTAGAGGAAAGTAAGGGAAGAAAAAGGCCGCACCTCTACCCTCCCAGAAAGAACTTCAGGTAAGGAAGTAAGTTCAGCAGAGCATGGAGGCACACTGAGGTTGGTTTTGGGAGACAAGCCTTCCTAGTGTGGTCTCTTCCAAGCCATGACTTAAGGGATCATCAATCACATGAAGATCTGGGGAAATGGAGCATCGGGCAGAGAAAATGGCATGTGCAAAGGCCAGGAGCTAAGGGAGAGAATGTCAAGTCACATACTCAGCTGATTGAGGGGGTGGGGCATGGGAGGTGAGGCCAGATGTCAGAAAAGGCCTTAACTTTTTTTTTTTATTTTGAGACACGGTCTTACTCTGTCGCCCAGGCAGGAATGCAGTGGCAGGATCATGGCTCGCTGCAGCCTCAAACTGCCAGGCTCAGGTGATTCTCCTACCTCAGCCTCCCAAGTAGCTGGAACTACAGGCGCACCCACCACACCCAGCTAACTTTTGTATTTTTGTAGAGATGGGTCTTGTTATGTGGCCCAGGCTGGTCTCAAATTCCTGGGTTCAAGTGATCCACCCCCCTTGGCCTTCCAAAGTGCTGAGATTACGTGCGTGAGCCACTACGCTGGCCCAAGCCCTCAACTTTGAGGCTTCTAGATTGGGGTGGTACAAAGGAGAGACGAGAATGTTGTGAAAGTACCCAGGAACAGTGCAGCTGCTGGCTGAAACTGGGAACATGAGCAGAGGAGTGAGTGAGGGGCTGAGGAGGTGGTGAGAATGAGCTTGGCCCTGATTTTCAAGGGGTCTCTGCTAAGGTCTGTCCCAGTGCTGATCTTCTCAATGTCCCTGGAAGGAAGGCACATCTCACTATGGCCCCTCCACCCCCACATATTCTGGGCAGGAAGGAGCAGGATCTGTTTTGTCAACGCAGCTTGCAATAAAGACTCTCATTCAGAGAGGCAAACAGCTGCTTGACTATTAATAGGCAGGGCGGCAGCCACAGCCTGCTGGGAGGGCCTCCTCATGCAGTTCTGGAAAGGTGAATCGGTTCCTTCTGCCTGTCTGGGTTTTGCAACCCCGTGGTGGGACAATTGGCCAGGTGCATATTCCTCAGAAGGTCAGTTACCCCCAGTCGTTTTCTGGGGCAGCTTGGGAGCTGTGTGGGCTGGCCCTGCTGGGATGCTGACTCTCCCCCAGGCAGAGGGAGAGGGGGCCCAGAGGCCCCAGGCTGACCAGAGCAGTAGGCATCTAGGGTGACTGGGGTTGGGGGTGATGTTTGGGTGGGGTCTCATAGCTGCTCATGTGGAAGATCAGGCACCCACCCTTAAGGGGATCATGAAGAGATCAGGGTTGGGTGGCTGGAAGGGAAGGGTGTCAATCTAGGAGCAAGAGGACTGATGAGAGCAGCTGGGGATAGACAGGGTGGAGGTAGAGCCTGGGATCAGGGAGAACCATGAGGCATCCCTGATCAGGAGCCAGACCAGGCCGAGGGGAGCTTGGAGTCCAGACATGAGAGGGTGAGGCCTAGGGAAGGCCACAGTCTCCTTCTGGCCACCGCCATCATGACGCATGACCTCATTGTGGCCTGGCCAGCCAGATCGCCCATCTGAATGGGCCTGCAGAGAGGGTGGCTGGGAGTGAGCTAACAGCAACCCGACAGGCATCCTGGGCCCCACCGAGGCCAAGTCTTGCTGTGCTAGAGGCCCCGTGGCTGCAGCCCAAGCGGGCGCAGGGCTCACAGGCCCTCGTTGTTATCCGCCACTCAGGTGGCTGCTTCAGGTGGTGGCCACTTCAAAGAAGCCCCATTTAAAGCAGGGCCTTGCCTCAAGTTTCCTAAGGGCCCTGTCCAGGCTAATGAGATCATTAAGAGGCTCCTTGTTAAATGGGTTTAAATAGAGTTTGCCTGTAAGGCCTCTGGCTGAGCCCTGTGCCATGGCTGTATTTTTTTTTTTTAATATATGTGTATTTGTACCTGTGTGTGCACTTAACCACGTGCTGGAAAGTGTAGGCTCTGGACTCAGATGGCAGGGAATCCTGGCCCTAGCACTTTCTGATAGTGTAACCTCTGGCCAGTTACCTAACCCCTCCTTGGTGCCTCAGTTTCCCATCTGTAAAAGCAGACTAATAACTGGTGTTGAATTGTACTGCAGAACCTTCAGTGGCTCCCCATTGCCCTCGGGGAGGTGTCCAAGTTGGACACTTGGAATGGTTAGACTTCTGCGGCTTGCCCTTGGCCCCCTCAACAGGTCCATGTCTCACACCTCTCTCTGTGACCACATGGAGCAGTCCTCTCGGTCCAGCCTTCTGAATGCTGTACATTCATCTTGGAATGCTCCTTCCCTTCACCGTCCTTGGCCTCACCCTTCTTCTTCAGGTGTCAGCTGAAGTGCTTTTCCTGGGAAGCCTCTGTTGATGGGCTGCACTGGTTCCAGTTTGTCCGCCATGACGGTGCCCACCACGCTATGCTGTCATGCCCTGCCATTGTTGGTTTTCTGTGCTTGATGGTAAACTCCATGAGGGCAGGGACTATGCCCCACTCCTCACTTCATCCCTAGGCCCCAGTGCTGCTTGTGACAATTTCAATAAGTCTCTGTGGTTTGCTTCAGTTGATTTGAAGATTAAGGCTCTGAGTCTCCTTCCATTAGCTGTTCCTTGTAGTTGCTCCCTGCTCCTTCCCACCTTCTCACTGGCCTTGACTTAGAGCCTCACTGTAGCGAAGTCTGTACCAGGAATGGGGCACAGGAGGGCCCAGACCTAGATGTCTACGCCCAGCCCACCTGAAAGCACACTACCTTTTCCTTATCAACACCATCCATGATCTCCAACCTCCTGATACTCAGCGTATTGAGAATTCCAATGGAATGCAGAGCATTCCAAGTCTTTGTGATTTTCTTCCAGAGCTCCATAGCAGGTGCCTAGATTGATCCATTTGTATAACCCTGGTGGGCAGGAAGGTAGGGAGGCCTAGGGGGTGATACGTAGCTTTGGTGGGAGGTCTACAGGCTGTCTAGCCAGCAGGAGCTGGGTTATAGTCATTACTGAGGGGGTAAAGCATTTTTCAAGTCAAAGTGTAGGAAAAGGGTAAAAATGGGAGGCAGAGTCAAAAAACAAAGGTTGGGGGCAGGGCAACCAAGAGAGAAGGAAGGTCAGCTTTGAGAAGCACACGGAGGCCAGTAGTTCTGGATCAAGCCTGTGAACAGAGTGAACCCCACATCTAACTTGTTCTACACCTGGGCTAAATACACATCTCTCCATGAAACCAGGAGCTCCTCAAGTGGTGGGACCATATACTCTTCATCTCAGTGTTCCCTTTATTACAGAATGAATCAGAACTCCTTTCAGGAAGTTGGTGCTTAACGGAAGAGTTCTCTCCCCGGGGTGCTTGAAATTGATGATACTATGCTACTACTAATAAAAATAGGTATCATTTGTTGAGCTCTTACCAGGTACCAGGCACTGTGCTAAATACTTTACATTCATCATCTCAAAGACCATCAGATCCCCGAGAGCAGGAACCGAGTCTGCTTTGTCTCACCATTGCATCCCCAGGGCCTAGCACAAGCCTGACACATAGAAGATGTTAATAGATATTTATTGAATAAACAAATAATCGTGCCTGTTATTCCTATTTTACAGATAAAGAGCTGAATCTCAAACAGGCTAAGTAACTAATATTATTCAGCCAGTGGGATAAGGAAGCCAAGATTTGAACTCAGGCCTATCTGACCCCAGAGTCCATGGATTTAGCTGTGCTCTGCTGTCACTGCCATTATTTTGACCTGGGAACCAGCATCATGGCATCACCTGGGCACTTGTTCATGCAGGATCTCAGCTGCATCCGAGTCCTATTGAATCAGAATCCAAATAGTAACAGGATGCTGGGTGACTCAGATATACATTAAAGTGGGAGAAGCTCTCACTCGGGAGTCATCCTGCGCCCACAGTCACTCAGGGGGTCTATGTCCTTGGCTCAATCAAACTACATTGTGCCATTGCGTCCTTTGTCCTTTGCCACGAGACTGCTGAGTGTAATTGTAATGCTGGTGGTGTTGGCCGTGGCCTTTAAAATGATTACCACTTCAGGATCAAAAGCATATTTTCACCTTTTAAATCTTGTTACATGTCCATCAGGTTTCTACCACCCCAAGGAACTCACTCATGAGAACAGAGGCAGGGTTTTCTAGCCATTGGCCTTGCCTCTGAATGGGACCATCTCGGATGAGGTCTCATCCCCACAGGGGCCCTTCTTGATTCCTTGCCTGTCTACATCTAATCATGGAGGTTGTGGATTCTCAGCCTGGTCTCTGTTTGTTATGAAGAGATGATTTAATTCATAAACAATTCCCCAGTGATTTAAGAGGCTCTGCTTGTTTATGTTTTGAAGCTTATGAGTTTAGCCTTCTGAAACAGCATAAAAAATTGCTTCGTCTAGCAGAAGAGACAGAGAAGGTGGCTCATGGCTTATTTCACCCAAGCTTCCCCGTGACCCCTTCTCTCTGATCAAGACCTCTCAGGTCCTGGGGCCATCGATCCCAAAGTGTCTCTAGCCTCTCCTACAAGCTTGTATGGTGCCCTGGTTCAAGAATTCAAGTTAGGGATTTGCTCCAGACTTGCCCGACTTCTGCTTACAGGTTTATCTAAATCAATAGTTCTTAACCTTGATTAAGAACTGTGATGAGTTCTGTGAGATGAACTTGAAGGCCTGTGATCACCTGGCAATTGTATGTAAGATTTGGTGCATTTGGTATGGTAGGAGTGGGGGGAGGCCAATAATTGTCTCAATTTCTCAGTGGGGTCTATGACTTCTAAGAGAACTTTCTTGCCTTTTACTGGTCTCTCCTGCCTCTGAACTTTCAGGACCCACATCTGTTTCTCTCATCGTATTCAAGTTGCTTGGGTTATATCTTTGCTAGGCTGTAAGCTCTGTCCAAGTCAGGATGATAGCCAGTGCCATTCACACCAGAGCTTCTGCCCTTTCAAGTGTGAGGCCCTTATGCAAAGTTGATTAACCTCCTGTCTCCAACATACACAAAAGGAATCGTAATTTTGTATATTATTTACAGATAATGGTTGATGCATAGACTACTTCCCAGACCTCTTAAAAAAATTCTAGTCCCTCTGCTCTGGGAATCTGTAGCTCACAGGTTAAGATGTTGATCATAGATAATAAGAAAGGAAACATCCTTAGATATTAACAAGTCCAACACTCCATTTTGCAGATGAGGATGCTAAAGCCTAGAGGAGAGAAGTGATTTGCCCAAGATCACACAGAGAGTTCCTATCAGAGCTGGGGCTGGAAACCAAGTATTCGGATTCCTCAAATTCCATGCCTGTCCTTCACACTCTTTGTAGCCCCAGCTACACAGATATTCTCAAGTAGAAAAGTTAACTATTGGGTACTGAGCTTAATACCTGGGTGACGAAATAATCTCTACAACAAACTCCCATGACACAAGTTTACCCATGTAACAAACAGCCACATGTAGCCCCAAAACTAAAATAAAAGTTAAAAAAAAGAAGTGTTTGTGGAATCAATGATTGAATACTAGGCAGGGTGAAAAGCTATTAAAAAGCCTGAATATGCCCATAGCTTTGAAGTTTTTGGCTGGGCGCGATGGCTCATGCCTGTAATCCCAGCACTTTGGGAAGCCAAGGCAGGCAGATCACGTGAGGTCAGGAGTTCGAGAACAGCCTGGCCAAAATGGCAAAACCCCATCTCTACTAAAAATATAAAAATTAGCCAGGTTTGGTGGTATGTGCTTGTAATCCCAGCTACTTGGGAGGCTAAGGCACGAGAATTGCTTGAACCCGGAAGGTGAAGATTGCAGTGAGCTGAGATTGTACCACTGCCTGCCAGCCTGGGCAACAGAGCAAGACTCTGTCTCAAAAAAAAAAAAAGTGAGTTTTCTCTAGATAACTAAAATAAGTTAATAGAGCCTTGTTCTCCTCTCTGCCCCCAGCCCCAAGCTCAGGCTAATGCTGCAGTTTGAGCCTGGAGGAAAAGAAAGAGGGGGCTTCTCTCCTTGGAGTTTAAAATCAAGGAGCGTTAACTTGATTGCATTTGACTTCAACTTCAGTTTTCTAATAAGAATGCTTATCATACAGTTCAAGCATACATATATTTATTTGATCATTATTTGTTGAGCAAATTTTATGCATTGACCACCCTGCAGATGTGAGGGTTAGTAAATCACACATGGCCTCTGTCCTCTGGTTGCCTACAGTTTATGGGATAAAGGCTATACACATGGGTCATGGAGCTGATTGTCCCCATTCTCCTGATTCCAAGTTTGACAGGGTCTTCATTGAGCAGTTGACTCTAAGCAGTCAGGGTCATTTCCTTTTCATGGTGGGCACTACTGCATATGTCATTCCCAATGCCACGACTGGAAGGAGCTTGGAGGTCATGCAGTTCAATCCCTTTATTTTGTATGGGGAAACTGAGGTCCAGAGCAGCCAATCAGAGAATCTGGGGCCGAGCCAGGACTATTACTATTACCTGGGTTTTGGAGGTTGGTTCTGAGGGCTGGATCAAGCCATAGGGAGAGAGGAGGACATCGTAGGGGAAGGCAAGAGCAAGAGCAACAGCAAAGGCCTGGAGATGGGACTCTGTGTGGGGTGAAGGGAGCAGGGGAAAGGCAGCCCTGGTTTTTCATATATTGTTCTGGAGTCAGACAAAGAAAGGCTGTCTTCAATGTGAGGCCGATGTCACTATCACAGAGAAGTCATCAGGCCAGCTTCAGAAGCTGAGCCCAGGCCAAGGACTGATGCTGCCCTCAGGCACTAAGGCGCCTGGCAGGAAGGAAAAAGAAATATTGTTATCAAATATACGGACTACTTCTGTGTATGAAAACGTTTCTATATGTTGCCCCTGTCAATGAGAAAATTGTTGCTCATCTCACCCTTTCTCAAAGAATCGTGAAGACCAAATAATAATTATTGTTATAATGATAATAGCAGCAGCCATTTATTTGAGTGAAACCACGTGCTGAAGATAGAGTTGTGAGCCAGCAAGCATTCTTATACCCCTACTCCTTGCAGAGATAGTCAGAGCCAGTATGTGCACCGATTGTACAGAGAGGATGTTGCCCTGCAGAGGAAAAGGGCCTTGCTCAAGGTCACACAGTGGGCCAGCAGCAGGTGGGATTAGAACCTGGGTCCTCCTGCCCACATGTCAAGGCCTGGCCTGATACCACCCTGGCTCTGCAGCCAGCCCCAGAGAGGATGAGTCCAGCCTTGACCCTCCCGGGGTATGCTGAGCTCTTCCAACAGGCTTTTCCTGTAGACCCCCACTCCCGGCTCTGGAGGCCAGCACCCCCAGAGCTGTGTCTGCTCTCTCTGCCCCACAAGCAAAAGCATCACTTGCAGGCCCAGCTGTCACCAGACCTGCACTAAAGAAAGTGTATTTCTGTCCAGCTGAGTCCTGTTGGCAGCTCCAGAACCACTGACATCTCTAACAATCTCCAGGTGATAGGCTTGTGGGGTTTTAGTCTGCCTCTTCTTATCCGGGGAAGACCATGAGAGGGAAGCCCCAGGCCTGAATCTGAGGGACTGCTTTTGCAATAATGCAAAGCTCTTCCTAGCTCAGAAGAGAAGAAACCAAATGGACTCTCTGGACAATATTCGTGTGGCCTGAGAGGTGATAGTTTAGGTTCCTTTACCATGTGGCAGAACAAGGAGTTTTACACTAGGTGAACCTACTGAAGGGACATGCCCCACAGTGAACCTAGGTGATGCCCAGGTACAGCACTGAACAACGTGGAACCACTTACTGAGAAAGAGATGAAAAGTTCAGTTATATTTTCAATCCTTCTCATTATACCATTTCAATTCGATGCTAACGTGTCTTTAATACCTCTCTAAACCTTGCTAATATATATATACACGTATGTATATTAAAACATTTTTTTAAAGAGCAAGCCTTGGACTTGCAGCCTTTGGCAAGCAACAATATCTAGTTAGAATTTAATAGCATTGTTTTTATTGTATTTATTTTTACTTTTAGCTCTTATTTATGGCAGGTGAGACTGGTTTTCCATTTGCAATAGTGATATAAAGTTTCCATTTTAAAGACACTTATTTAAGTTAGAAAGCTTCTATTTAAAGAAAAAATACTAAATGAATAATAATACAGGTGGTATGCAGACGCAGTCTATGTGCTAAAGGTGGTACGGGAACAAGTAAAATCTGGGAAACTCTGACATATGCAATCATGGAATGAAAAAGTCATATACTCTGAGAATCAAAGACCATTGAATTTCAGAAGCTGATGCTTCTAGGATCCCAGAACACAGCATCTTAGCACCATAAATCCTAAAACGAACAATATAATCTATGAGATGCCTTAAAACATAGTCTCTCACAAAATATTAGCATGTGGGAGAGAAAGCCTTGAAGCCATCTGTCAGTTCAATTCCCTCATTTTGATGTGAAGAAACTGAGGCCCCAAGAGATTCAGGACAGAATGAAATAACATATGTGAAAGAGCCTTGTGAAACATAATGTGTTCTTCAAATATTAGGATATTTGTAAAGGTCTCCCAAAGTCACAGGGCTTTCCAGCAGAGATCTGGGACTGAAATCAGCACTCTTGATGCCTTTCCCTGCAGATGGTACTTTCTTGGGGCCCCTCAGCTATGACGAGGCTCTTGAGGCTCAGGCCTGGCCTCTGCTGGAGCTGGGAGCAAATCTGTGGGGGGATGGCCTGCTGGGCCCCCTCCAGAGATGAGAGCAGAGGTAGGGGAGGCCATGTTCAGGGCACCTGGGCAGAGGGAATGGTGCAATGCTGTGTGGAGGGTGTTGGGGACATACTTAGTCTCCTCTATTCTCAGAGCTGTACAGTTCTCACCTGCAAAACCAGTGTGTTGCCAGATGGCCTCCAAGGGAAAATCCATTCTATGACTTGAACTCAGCTTTTGTTCTGAGGCCTCAGTTTCTCCTTTTGTCTAATAGTCAGGCACCTAAGCACTCTTTTCCTGTCCCACAGGGCTGCAAGTGGATTTCTGGGGTCTTATCTGTAAACAGAGTAGGGCCTCATTCCATGGGAGTCTTGGAGAGTCTCAATGGGGACCATGACATTAAGTAAGGCAAGGTCTTGAGAACTGTTGATGTGATGAAGGGAAGAGAAATCCATCACCCGGCTGGGAAAGAACCCCATCTCCCTGCTTCTACAAGCATGGACTTCATTTCTTCATGTACCTGGAATTTATGGGCCTTCCTTGGCCTTGGGGGCAGCTGCCCTGGAAATTAGGGCTTCAGGGTATGGTTCTAAGTTGGGCCATGTGGTTAGGTCAGAGATGCTGTTCTGACTTCGTATTTCTGGGTATCCAGCTTTTAGAAATGCCCACCTAGCCACAGGCACAAAGTGTGGTCCCATCGGGGTCCAGGCCTTCATCGCACCACAAGGAGGGGGTGGGGTCGTGGGGCTGCAGCCGGGCAACAGTTTCCTCCAACCTCACAGCCAAGGGGCCCTTCCTCCTGACGATCAGATTGAAGGGAATTCCTTCAATGAAGTCTCCAGGATGTACAAGACCACAGAATTGCCCCTTTCTTGTGGATAGCACTTCTTGTCTGCCAGGCCCAAATTTTCACAGCCACCTCAGAAGTGTGTTCTCTCTCCCTGTCCCCCAAGAACTGTTTCATGTGGCTGCTGGGAGGGGAAATACCAGGGGTAGTTGCTTCTCTAGAGCTGCCTGGCTGGGACTGCAGCAGCCCCCTCTTCCTGAGGTCACCCGCAGCCCACCTTCTGGGTGCCAGGGGCCCTGGGTGTTCAGTGATGTGGATTCCTGTGCAAGTTCCAGGTGGCCCCGCAGCCGTCCCTATCAACACAACTGACCCTTCCCTGCCACCATTCTCCAGACGGGCGCCTGGGGAGGAGGGAAAAAAAGGACCACTTCTCTTCGCCGGCCCTCAACAGCGTCTAAGCCATTCTCTCCACATTAATCATGGAAAAGACAGCGTGCCCCAGCCTGGGAGGGAGAAAGTGCCTTTTTCATCTGTCTGGCTACATGTGTCTCAACACAAAGCTCAGTCCTGGCTAGGTTCTCACTCCTGACTGCTGTCCCACCGTCTCTAACCCATCTCACCTTCTTCCACCCACACCTTCAAAGTGTAACAAGATTAAGTCAATTTCATTTTTCTGAGAAGCTGATCGATAGCCTGTCTTGTCCACTGTGCCCAGCGGAGGCCAGCTCATGGCTCCTTGGCAGCCGTCTGTGGGCTCTCTGCCCTCCCTGGTCGTCACCCTGGGCTGGGCCTGTTAAGTATTTCCTCATTAAAGCTCTGGCAGCTCAGTTCAGGTCTGCAAGCCAACACCAATGGTTACAACTGCCCCAGAATGTTCGGACAGATTTATGCAGTTACGAGTTTATGAAGTTGAAAGGTTTTATAGATGGGGGACCATGTTGGTGTTAAGGGAGACCATTCCTCCAGAGGCCTGAATCTGCTGTCTTAAGATCTCAGCAGCAGGAAGAGGAGAGGAGAGGGCCAGAAGGAAAACCGGGGGGCCAATCAAGGAGCAAGAATAATAGAGCCAGGTCCCTCCAGCTGAGCGGATCTGCTGAGTTAGAGACAGGAGTGTGGGAGGGGGCACCAAGACATAGTTTTGGCTCCAAATGAGGAAATATAAACTCCGCAAAGACAGAGCACCAAGTCCTGATCACCTTTTACAATCAATGGAACACCCATTTGATCTTTGTTGTCTTCTGTTCTCAGATCTGAAAACCTCAGAGCATGATCAGGGATTCTGGGGTAGGCTTCAAAGGGGGTGGGGACCTCACTGGATGCACAATGTTATGTCTGTGCTTTCCTGAGCAGAGGATCCCTAAATTTCATTATATTTTAAAAGACATCTGTGACCAGAATGATTGAATTCTCCTTACCCTCTAATTGTATTGCTAGGCACATTGAGGCCCATTCAATCATTCATTCATCAAATATTTATTGACTGTCTAAGCACTGAGAACAAAGTGGGGAACCAGACAGTAGGTCATGGGCATGGTGTTCAGTGTCATGGGACTGGAAAGATGGGGGATGTGCAAAGATAATGAACATGAGAACATAGAAACAGGAAATGTTAGATAACAACGTGTGCTGTGAAGACGCTGACATGGGCTCATGGGATAAAGAGCTGTGTAGCTAGGGAAACCTCTCTGAGAGTGACATTTTGGCTCCAAATCCAAAGAGGCAGTCAGGGGAAGGTCTGGGGAAGAGAGTTCCAGGCAGAGAGAACAGCCAGTGCAAAGGCCCTGTTGGGGGAATGAGCTTGACACAAAAGCAGGGAGGTCAGTGTGGCAGGCGGGGCGTGAGCAAGAATCAGGAATGGGAGCAGACAAGGCTGGCAGAATGGATTGTGGAGGACCATGGTAAGGAGTTTGGGGTTTATTCCGGAGGCAATTGGAACCATGGAGAGTTTGAAGCAGAGAGGACAGGGGCCTCAAGAGGGGCAGATATTGCTCACTGAGTATTTCCAAATTAGAGTTCCTCTTCCCACTATACCACCCTGCCCTGCTCCAGATCATCCTGCTTCACTCCCTCTCTGCTGTTTGTGGAAAAGGAGGAAACTCAAGAAAAGGTCTTGGTGGCTGGAATTGCTTCATTGGCTGTTGCAGTCATTGAGCTGTAGACCACACTGTGTTAAAGGGCCCCACTGTAACATCAGGCTCAGAGAGGGAAAGGGACTTGCTCAAGGCCACACAGCGCATGTCTGGCAGAGCAGGGACTAGGCTCAGTTTCTCTGCCAGGGCCATGGTCTTTCTGCTGGCCCACATGCTCTGGTTGATCACAACACACTCTCGTCCTGGTCATCAGCCATTGATTAGAGCCAGGCTGGGGCCCCGAAGTGGAGTGGGCAGGGGTCCAGAGCCAGAGAGATGATAGGCAGAGAGGAGCCAATTGGTCCTGGAAGGGAAGCTGGGGGAATGGCCAGGAAACCCCATAATTCTTTCCTGTCCTACAGGTGAAACTACTAAAACACAGCAAAACACCCACTTCATTTCTATTGTAAAGAAATTCATACTTATATTAAAAAGTAGCTATACAGAAAAGTAGAAAAATTCACCCATGGTCTCACCCTCCAAACAGCCATTGATGAATAATTTGGTATATTGTATATTATACCTGTCTCAATAGGGACATTGTAGATTTTTAGTGAATAGATAATTTTAGGTTTTGCTTCCTCTGTTTAACTTAACTCCACCATCTAATGGAAAGCAGCGGTGAACAATGGCAAGAGCTGGACTCTCAAGCCCAGAAGCAGGGTTGCTGTCATGGGTGTGTGACCTGAGCTGCTGCACAGGCCTGCACTTAGAAGGGCCCCATGCTTGGTTGAACAGTCTGCTGTCCCCGTTTTAAAATTCTCAATAATTTATGAGTAAGGAGCTCCACATTTTCATTTTGTACTGACCTTGCAAATTATGTAGCCAGTCTCACAGAGTGGCCTGGGTGAGAACCCCAGCTCTGCCCCTGATTGCTGCATGACCTTGACCGTGACTTTAACCTTACCGTGCCTCAGTTTCCTTAGATGTCCAATGGGAATAACTGGAGTACACTCATTGCAGGATTGTGAGAAGTAGATGCGATCAGCGTCTGAGGGAGCCCTTAGACACTCAGGTGTCCTTAGAACAGGTTCTGCTGCCTCTTCCTTCCCTCTCCCTGGAGTTCCCCTTGGCTGTGGAGGTGAGGTGGTACCTGCTTTCCACAGCCCAGGGATGCACTCCACCTCTGAGAAGCCTTCCCCAGGGCTTGCATCTGCAGCGACTGCCCCTGAACCATACTCTGCACTTTGGCAGAGTCTTATGAAGGCCCCAGTTTCTACTTCAGGGTGAGATAACATGTGTCCATCTCTTTCTTCCTCCTCAACTGAAGAACTGAGATTTCCCTAACCAGGCACATTCCAAAAGATTAAGAACTGGGAGACTGAGGTAGGATTGCCAACTATTTTCTTTTGCTGAAGACACTTTTAAATAACTTTTGTTTACCGTAGTCACAAATTCCTTAAAGAAAGGGCTTTGGACATCAAACAAAGCAGGAAGGGCATAACCCCCGTAAAAGATGATTCTTTCAAAAGAGGGAATGGAGCTTTGGGAAAATCTCCCTTTTCTTACTGCCCCTTTGCCACAGAGCTAAGAACACGCCCCCTGGACCAGAATTTGGGGCTGTTCCTCATCACATTCAGCCTAAGCAGACCCCTGGCATGGCTCTGGATGATTTTTTTCCTCCAGACCCCAGCAGCTGTGATATTCAAGGGGTTATTTTTTTCACCTTGAAAGAGCAACAGGGTCCATGGATTCCAAAAACTGTTATTAATCCTTAAAAACTTCCAGATTCCAACCAAAACGTGGCTATGCTTTTCAATGTTTGTAGTGCCTCCCTCTCCCTCTCAGCTTTCAAGAAGCGAGGACTTCAAAGGCCATTTCCTTGCTGAAATAAACAATGGGGCTAGAGGGAGGGGAGAGAAACATAGGCTTGTTGAGTGGAAAAGAAAATTGTATTTTTCTTCTGCAAGGGATCCAGACCCATCACTGTGCAAATGGCCTCTAGACTGGAGGACAAATGTTCAGAAGGTTGAGGACAGGGGCTTGGGGTGTCTGTGGGATGTGACAACCCATCCCTTTGTCCCTGTGTGTCCCAATGCTTGGGTTGAAGGTAGCCTGGACAAAGTGCTATATTAGTGACTGCCTGAGAAATGCTTCAAAGGGAAGAGCTTGACTGCAGAGCCTGCTGGGTTCACTTGCAGCTCCAGCACTTAGTAGCTGTGTGGATGAGTTTTCATGCCTCAATTTCCTCATCTGTAAAGTGGGGAGGATAGTTTTTGTGTGGATCGAGCCAGTGAGCACACATGCAATTGCTTAGAACAGTGCCTGGCCCAGAGTAAGCCCCAGGTGAATGTCAGCTCCTGCGATTATTAATATTTATGAGAATATCCAGAGGACAGGATCCCTATCTAATTCCCTTCTCCTGGGTCTTGCTCAAGCTTGGAAAGTTCTATGATTTGAGTCCCCTCTCAACCTATCCCACCCCCTCATTAGAGGAAACAACTGGAGTCTCTGGAAAAGGAGCAGGCCCTGGGCAAGCCCCGCACAGTGTCGTGGAGTAGATGGGCTCTGAGGCCACTGCTCTTCCAGAGAGGCATGGAGTGGAGGGGATGCACAGAAGCACAGAACCCCCTGGGTTGGAGCCCCTGTTCAACTACTTACTATGGTGAATGTCACAGGCTTTCATCTGTAAAATGGGACTAATGAGAGTCCTCATGAGGATGC
Source organism: Homo sapiens (assembly GCF_000001405.40). Lineage (NCBI taxonomy): Eukaryota > Metazoa > Chordata > Mammalia > Primates > Hominidae > Homo > Homo sapiens. Next base: position 150,326,059 of record NC_000005.10, on the reverse strand, counting down.
ATGAGATGACACATGTGGCGCAGGGAACACTTTATTATTAAGTGGAGCCCACCCGAAATTGGCTACCTTGGATGTCCTGCAATGTCACCTGGGGCTCACATGGGAAAGAAATGCGAGGCTGCACCTGAGCTCCAGGGAAAGGGAAAAGGTGAGTGAGGCAGGAAAAAAGTGGAAGGATTCAGTGAGATGATGTCCTACAGGCAAGGCTGCAGAGAAAGGAACCCAGTCTGGAAGCTGGTGCCCAGCAGAGACCAGGGACAGTCTCCAGAGACCGACCCCACCATGCATCAAGAGGGAGGGGAGAGGGCTGCTCCCAGGAGGGTCCAGGCAGCCGGAAGTCCACGGCAAGGGAGAGGCAGCTCAGAGGGAAAGGATCTGGCCACCTTGGTGTGCAGAGGGTGGAGGGAGGGCCCTGCCTTAGCTGGGGCAGGGAGGCCCTAGGGTGGGTAGCTAAGGAGAAAGCATTCCCACAGGAAATGATAGCAAAGGCCACAGCTGGGAGGCTGAGCCCTGTCCCTGCACTGCCATGGTCCACACCAGGAGCCAGTCCCACCAGCCCCACCAGCCTCCTCCCCAAACCCTAAGTGACCACCCAGGGCCCACATCACCTGCACTGAGAGGCCCTCCTCCGACCCCTCCCTGCCCCCTGTCCTCTGTCTCCTAGTTACCTACATCCCTGTTCTCCTCCTCCCCTCACTGACCATAGTCCTGGTTACTATGTACGTTAATAAGATCAGAAAGAAGGTGGGGGTATCAGGTTCACCTTCCGATCACCTGGGCTTAACACCATACCTGGGCAGAGCTGGCCAACCGTGCGTATTGGTTGAACAGATAAATACAAGCTAGAAAGACATAGCCTAGCAACAGCAAGGGTGAGAAAGAAAAGGCATTTTATGTTATCTTAGGCTAACTTCATACAGATAGGTAAAACCCTCCTTCCTTTCTCCCTCCCTCCCCACTCCCTCTTTCCTTCTTCCCTCCTTCCCTCTCTTCCTTCCAAAATACATCAAGTAGCTACTAGGTGCCCAGCTCTATGTTAGGCACTGGGGTGCCATGTTGAACAAGTTAGAGAAGATCCCTGCCATTATGGGGCTTATATTCTATTGGTGGGGGGTGGGTGGGGCTGGCAAAAAGACAAAGTACTGATAAATGTGCAGTATGAGATCAGGTAATGATCAGTGTTTAGGGAAAAAGAGTATCAGGGCTGTGTATATGCATGTGACTTTAGGTTGGGTGGAAAGAAGAGGCTCTGCTGAGTAGTGAAAACCTGAATGAAGAAATGCACCGTGTGAACACAGCGGGGAACGGTGGTCCTGGTGGAGGGCATAGCAGATGTTAAGGCCAGGTGATGAGGATGACCATGGCATGTTCCAAAGGTGTTGGCTGTTGGACTCCAAAAAAGCCAAACTGGAAGGGCTTTCATCCAGGCCAGTCTCTTTTGTGATGGCAGGGGAAAAAGCCCTAAAGAAGGGAAGGAATTGGCTGGGCTCTGTGGCTCATGCCTGTAATCCCAGCACTTTGAGAGGCCGAGGCGGGGGGAATCACCTGAGGTCAGGAGTTTGAGACCAGCCTGACCAACATGGAGAAACCCCATCTCTACTACAAATACAAAATTAGCTGGGCGTGGTGGTGCATGCCTGTAATCCCAACTACTTAGGAGGCTGAGGCAGGAGAATTGCTTGAACCTGGGAGGCGGAGACTGTGGTGAGCCGAGATCATGCCATTCATTGCACTCCAGCCTGCGCAATAAGAGCAAAATTTCGTCTCAAAAAAAAAAAAAAAAAAAAAAAAAAGGAATTGCCCAAGCATGTCAGTGGCAGAGCAGGAGACAGGACCAGGCATCCTGGCGTTTGTCTGAACTCCTGCCACCGTGCCTATCCTCAGGTCAGGACCCAAAAGTGTCCTAAAGGACCACCCCAAGCTAAAATCACACAAAAAGAAAGGTGGCAGGGCCTCTCAGATCACCTAAAGCCCTCAGGGTACAGACTGCCGACCAGAAGACTAAGGACCAGAGAGACGGGCCCGTCCCCAAGCCACACAACAAACCACTGGGGTTTCCAAACGAGCAGGGCCCATCCTTTCTGAAGCCTGGCAAGGAACTGAGTGTGGCTGAAGCAAAGGCTGCTAGAGGGCTGCCTGAGTGAAGGCCTGGGGGCTAAGTAGAGAGGCAGTGGTCTCCATGTCCCGCTTTTCTGTATGTCAAATGTGGTATTTCTCTATGGCGATGATGCTTGCTTCAATATAAAATCAAACTAATGAGGGCTGAGGGAACAGCATCAGAAGTGCCTAATTAATAAGGTTGTGTAGAAAAAGTACCCTTGCAGGAACTCTCTGTCAAACTCACGGGTGAAGCGTAAGAGTACAATTAGGGCCTAGGAGAAGTTCTTCTCATCTGTGCATGGTGTTTGGGCTGCAAAGCAATTTTCCTACCTTTACGCTCCCTACCTTATTTGGGTTTCACAAGAACCTATCTGGTGAGCATGGGGGACACTTTTCCTCATCTTACCATGAAGAAGAATGAGCTGAAGGCAGGGTCCAGGTGTCCTGGTTCCCGGGCCAGAGCTCCCCAACTCACCCCTTCTCTCCTAGTTTCTATGACCCCTTCTCTCCTACTTTCTATGAAATGGGGGAAGCCCAAAGGTCCCAGTCTCCTAACTCCTGGTGTTACGGATTGAATTGTGTTTCCCCAAAAGGTACGTTGAATGCCTAACTCCAGTTCTTGTGAATGTGAGATTACAGTCGTGAATTGCGTAATGACGCTTTGGTCAACAACAGATTGCATATGCAACAGTGGTCCTATAAGATTACAATGAAGCTGAAAGATTCCTGTTGTCTGGTGATGTCATAGTACAATGCATTATTTACGTGTTTGTGGTGATGCTGGTATAAACAAACCTATTATGCTGCCAGTTGTACAAGAGTATAACACATACAATCATGGGCAGTTCATAATACTCTTGATAATGACAATAAACAGCTGGTATATTTCTGGTTTATGTATTTACTATATATTATTATTATTTTATTTTTAGTTATTTATTATTATCTTTATTAGTGTTATCAACATCATTATTTTAGAGTGTACTCCTTCTACTTGTACATAAAAAAAATGTTAGGCTGGTGCAGTGGCTCATGCCTATAATCCCAGCACTTTGGGAGGCTGAGGCAGGTGGATCACTTGAGTCTAGGAGTTTGAGACCAACCCAGGAAACATGGCCAAAAGCCATCTCTACAAAAAATACAAAAGTTAGCTGAACATGGTGGCACATGGCTGTAGTCCCAGCTACTCAGGAGGCTGAGGTGGGAGGATTGCTTGAGCCCAGGAGTTCAAGACCAGCCTGGGCAACACAGTGAGATCCTATCTCTAAAAATAATAACAATAAATAAAAAAATAAAAAGTAGCCAGGTGTGGCAGCACATATCTGTAGTCCTAGCTATCCTGGAGGCTGAGGTGGAAGGATTAATTGAGTCCTTCCACTCAGGTGTTCAAAGCTGCAGTGAGCTATGATTGAGCCACTGCATTCCAGCCTGGGTAACAGAGTGAGACCCAGTCTCAAAAAAAAGTTAGTGTAGCCTAAGTGTCCAGTGTTTATAAAGTCTACAGTAGTGTACAGCAATGCCCTAGGCCTTCACACTCACTCACCATTGACTCACTGACTCACCAGAGTAATTTCCAGTCCTGCAGGTTCCATTCACAGGAAATGCCCTACACAAGTGTAAAGTTTTTTTATCTTTTTCATCTATTTTTGTCTTTTTTTAGAGATAGGGTGTTGCCATGTTGCTATGTTGCCCAGGCTGATCTTGAACTCTTAGAGTAAAGGCTGAGTCCCAACCTCAACCTCCTGTAGCTGGAATTACAGGTGTGTGCCACTGTACCCAGATTTTTTTTTCTTTTTTAATTATCTTTTACATGGTGTTTTACTGTGCCTTTTCTGTTTGGATATGTTTAGTTACTCAATTACTTACCGTTATGTTCCAATTGCTTACAGTATTCAGTACAGGAACATGCTGGACAGGTTTGTAGCCTAGGAGCAATGGGCCCTCTCATATAGCCTATGTGTGTAATGGGCTATCCCATTTAGGTTTGTGTAAGTGCACTCTGTGATGTTCACACATGATGAAATTGCCTAACAACATATTTCTCAGAACATACCCCAGCAGTTAACTCACACATAACAATATTTGGAAATAGAGGCTTACAGATTAACTCAAATTAAGATGAGTTGTACTGGATTTGTGGGGAAGTCTAATCCAATGTGATTGGTGTCCTTATAAGAAGTGAGGAGACACACACATGGAATTCCATGTGAAAACACAGACACACAGGGACAATGCCACGTGAAAACAGAGGCAGAGATTGGAGCGATGTGTCTACAAGCCAAGGATTGATGGCCACAACCAGGAAGGAAGAAATTACAGATATCAACAGACATGGTTCCTGCCATGGAAGAGGCAAGAACAAATTCTGCCTAGAGTTTCAGAGGAGCATGGACCTACTGACATCTTGATTTTGGACTTCTAGCCTCTAGGACTGAGAGAATACATTTCTGTTGTTTAAGCCACCCACTTTGTGGTTCTTTGTTATGGCAGCCACAGGCAGCAAATCTACCTGTATTCGGTCTTTCCACCTGAAAGTGAGGGAGAGGGCCCCAGGCTTTTGATGCACTGACTTGATAAGACCAGCTCCTCCCAAGAGGCAAGGCCAACACTCAGAGCCTTCTTGTCCCTGCATGAACCTCAGTGATGCCCAAGGTAGCTCTCCCTACCCTGGACTATTCTGTTCAATGTAACCCCCATTCCTTGGTCCTCCTGTATGCCAGGCCACTGTGGAGGGAGGTGGGGATATCCAGATAATGAAGATGTGACTCTGCCCAAGGAGCTTACAACCTAGGGAGTTTGAAAGCACCAGGCAATTTGCCATAAGAGTGGGCAGAGAGTGCTTCCATTTGGGGGACCTCAGAAGGCTTCATGGAAATGGTGAAATGTGAGCTAGTCCTCAAAAGGTAGGCAGGATTTCAACAGGCAGGGTTGCTAATGATAGCTTAATGCTGATAAATATCTTACTATGTGTGAGACATTGTTCTACATGGTTTCCATATGTTAACACACTAAATCCTCACAACAGCTCTGTGAATAACAGAGTCACGACTATCCCATTTTACAGATTAGGAAACCAAGGCCCAGGGAGGTTAACTGAGGAGCCCAGATCACACAGCTGGCAAGTAGCAGAGTCCACGTCGAAACGCAGGCAGCCTATCTCTTTACCATGTCTCCAACTGGGGCAGAGATGGAGGTATATATCATTCCTGGCAGAGAGAAAAATGTAAGCAACGCTCTGACATGGGGAGAGTCAAGGGCACTTTGGGGAAATGGGTAGTTTTCCAAGGTAGTGGACTTGGGGAAGGAGGCAACAGTAAAGGTAAGAGCATTCCACAAGGAACATTAAGGCTTTGCTCCAGTCTTGGCTTGGTCAATGTCTGGCACAACACAGCAATTAAGACTGTGGGCTTTAAAGAGAGGGGCTGCATCTTTAATGTGATTTTAGATGATATGCTGTATGAGTCAGAATAGCTTAGGTTACGCTGCAGTAAATAAACAACCTGAAAGACTTAATGAATTATAACACCAAGCTTATTTCTTGCTTGTGTTACATAATCACTGTGGCTTAGCTGGGGGCTGTCTCTCCTCTTCACTGACCTCACTCTGGGAACCAGGCTCTGGACAAGAGAGGGCTGGCTGGCCTCACACCAGGAATTAAAATGTTCTAGCCCAGAAGTAATGTGCCATTTAGAAAGGGCCAGAACTGGTCACATGGCCCCACCCAATCACAAAGGAATCAGGAGGTGTCAACCCTCCATGTGCCTGGGAGGCAGAAAGCCAGAAATGTTTGCTGAACAGCACTAATGATGACTACATAGCTAAACCATATTAAATAACAGTGAAGCACGCAGTGAAAAACTGATTCCCTTTTCAATCTCATTTTAGCTTGCAGATTATTTCAAGAGAAATCCTGACTCAGTTCAGTGCTTGTGTATCATCAATACCTTTCTAACATTTGTTAATCTCTCTTGTTCATCAGTTGAATAAAGGTTTCAGATTTAGCTCTTTGAACAGCAACAGTATCCAGCTGGAATTTACTAACATTATTTCCTTTTTTTTTTTTGCTTTTATTTTTACTTTTGCCTAATATGTGTTTCCATTAATAGTAGTATTATAATAAGTTCCCTTTGAGAAAAAATTAATATAAGGAAATCAAACACAATGAAAACCAGAGCGAGCTCTAGAGTCAGAAGGCCGGGGTTCAAATCTTGAGTCCTCTACTTAGTAGTTGCTTGATCTTGGGCTTGTCATTAAACCTCTGAAGCCTCAATTTCTCCATCTGTAAAATGGCAGTAACACGAGTACCCACACCAAAGGTTTGTTAGATGTTACTCAAGCTCTGACCACACCGCCTGACCCATAGTAAGTTCTTGATGTTAGCAATTGTTATTATCTAGCTGGGTGGCCCCGTCCGTCTCTGGCTTCAGAGGATGATCTGTGGCAGGCTGTCTTCCCTGCTTAGGATAGTCAAGGTAGATACAGGTCCTTGAATGCCAGAGTGACTGAACTTTGCAGGCAGGGAGAGGACCCCAGCAAGCCTGGGCAGCCCCCTCCCCTGCCAGGCCCGGTCCCTTCCTGCAGGTGTTGTGCTGAGCCTCTGGCTGACAGCTGTGTTTTCTCTGCTCAGCAAAGGCTTTAACCATAAACAGGAGAAATCGGGTGACCCCTAGTCCCCGGAAAGCCTCACCTCAGGGGCCTGGGTGAGAAAGGGCTCCTTCTGTCTGAGGTAGGGGTGGGCTCTGCATTCCTCAGTTTCAACCATTTGGTCAGATTTCCTCCTGGAATGCAGCTGGAGGGCCCGGCCCCCCGCCAGAAATAGCACAGTGCAGGGTGGCTTTGCTGTGGTCTCCCTGCCTACTTTGGGGAGGGGCTCACTTTCAAGGTCCCTGCTGGTGCTGAGAGGGCTGATGTTCACAGCTGTCTGGATGGGACATGGATGCCCCTCAGAAAGATGGTTAAGCTCTTCTCAGCTTAGTTCTCATTCAGGTATTCGAGAGTCTTACTCTGAACTCCAGCCTACGGAGGCATGGACTTGCATTTAGCAAGAAATGAACATGTTTTAACATGGCCCACAAGGTCTGGCCACTCCCTGCCCACATCTCACCCTGCACTGCTCCCTTCTCCCTGCAGTCCCACTGCCTCCTTGCTGTGTCATCCACAGCAAAGCCTTCTCCTGACACTGGTGCCTGCCTTGACCTCGCCGTGCTTGAGACACTCCTCCTGCCTCTTCACAAGCCCAGGCTCCCCTCATGGCTCAGCCCTCCTGGCTCAGGAAATGCCACCTCTTCAGAGAGGTTGCCCCTGGCCACTCCATCCAAAGTGGCCTCTTCCCATCACTCTCCACTGTATCTGTCATTTTCTTGTTTATTGTCCATTTGTCTATTTATTGTCTCATTTTCCCCCACTAGAATATAAGTTCCATGATGGAAGGAACCATGTCTATTGATATCTGTATTTTCTTTGCTCAACGAAGGGGTTAACCGTGAACATCAGTGATACGGTTAGGCTTTGTGTCCCCACCCAAGTCTCCTCTTGAACTGTAATCCCCATAATCCCCACGTGTCAAGGGAGAGTCCAGGTGGAGGTAACTGGATTATGGTGGGTGGGTCGCGATAGAGTTCTCATGGGATCTGATGGTTTTATAAGGGGCTCTTCCTTTTTTGCTTGGCACTTCTACCTGCTGCTTTGTAAACAAGGTGCTTTGTTTCCCCTTCATCTTCTGCCATTATTGTAAGTTTCTTGAGGCCTTCCCCAGCCATGCTGAACTGATGAGTCAATTAAGCCTCTTTCCTCTGTAAATTACCCAGTCTCAGGCAGTTCTTTATAGCAGTATGAAAACAGAATAATACAATTAGCAATTGGGTGACCGTCAGTCCTCAGAAAGCCTGTTCTGAACTCTGTCCCCCAACTCCTATAGGTACTCAATATATAAATACTCATCACATGAATGAATGAGTGAATAAATGAAAGGAGAATGTTAGAAGAGACCCTGGATAATGTCTACTATAATATTATCTAAATAATAACTACCAATTTCTAAGAGCTTTATCAGTGTCCTATACTGTGCTAAGTGCATTACATACATGATCTCATTTAGTTTTGCAGTAGCAGGCACTGGTTTTCCCAGTTTCCCTTTTTCAGAGGCCCAGAGAGGTTAAGTGACTTGCCAAGGTCACACTGTAAGAAGCAGACTTAGGACTCCAACCCCAAACTAGGTTTGCCTTGTGGCAAAACCCATGCTCTTAACCCTCACCCCAACAGCCACCCGGAGATGGGGTTGACTTGTACTCAAAGGGGTAAGGGAGGTTATCAGGGAAACTTCTCACTGCCTCCTACCATCCCTTCCCAGCCCAGACAGTTGCTGGTACTTTCTGCCCAGTACTACTTCACAGAGTCAGTGTCCAGCTTCCGAACAGCATGGAGGCAGCTCTGAGTCATCCGAATCCCAGTGGCCCCCACAGGTCAGCTCTCAGGCCATGACCCAAGGCCACTCATCCGCTGACTCTTTTACTCCTAGCCTAGCTGGAGGATGTGCCAGGCTCACCAAGGTACAGGGGAAGGGCCCTGAGGTTGAGCTGCGCTGCTCTCAGCCACAAAGAATGCCGCTGACTCACAGCAGTGAGGCAGGCAGACGGTGACTCAGGGGTCACACAGGCACAGCCCCCAGGGAGGAGAAGAGAGGGTCTTGTGGTAGGATGCGGACCAGGCCCCAGTTCATGGCCTGACATGCAGTGAGGGCTCTCTCCATGCCAGCGATTATCATCTTGCTTAATGACTCAGACTGCCTTCCCCTCAGTGGGCCTTGACCTCCCTGCCTGTGCATGGAGCAGATGCAGAGGATGTCCTGTGATGGGATGTCATCTGTGATTAAGGTAATCAAAGCGGGTGAGAACCAGGTGATGCAAAGCTGCGAATACCAATGTGAAGAATCGAGACTGGATTTTCTGGAGGCCAAAGCCCAGACCTGAGAGTTGGGAGTCCTGGGTTCGAGCCCTGCCCTTTACAAGGACTCACTGTATGACCTTGGTAAACATTACCTTGCCTCTCTGAGCCCTGATTCTTGCATCTGTCAAAAGCAAGCTTCTAATGGACAGAGTGTCCTGTCACCAACTTGACTTTGTCTATACTCTGCCCTCTGCTGAGAACGCTCTGGCCACCGTCTCAGCCTCCTGATTCTTCAAGGGTCTGTTTTCAAATGCCACTTCCTCAAAAGAGTCTTGCAGAATCTCCTGTTCAAAATTAATCTCTCACAGATATTAAAATGATGGCATAAATCTACATTTAATGACATAAAAAATGTCCGAAATATATTAAATGAGAAAAAAGCAGGAGACAGAATAAAATGCATTTTAATCTATATATATGTCTATGAATGGAAATGCATAGGAAAAAAAAGGCCTAGAAGAATATATATAAATGTTAACTATGACAATCTCTGAGTCATGGAAATTATGTCGGTCTTTATTTTTCTTAATATTTTTTGAGTGTTTCTAAAATGCATGCAACAAGCATGTTCCTTTTATAAACAAGAGACAATAGAGCTTCTTCCCAATTAAAAACATCATCTCCACTTTTCCTAAACTAAGCCCTGAGTGTTGGTTATGGCTGCGGCCCTAAATTGTTGTGTGTGCTTATATAAGATGCTTCATCTCTCTAGGCCTCATTTTTCTCACCTATAAAATGAAGAAGTCGGCTGGGCATGGTGTGGCTCATGCCTGTAATCTTGGCACTTTTTGGGAGGCTGAGGCTGGTGGATCATCTGAGGTCAGGAGTTCAAGAGTGGCCTGGCCAACGTGGCAAAACCTTGTTTCTACTAAAAATATAAAAATTAGCTGGGTGTGGTGGCGGGCGCCTGTAATCCCAGCTACTTGGGAGGCTGAGGCAGGAGAATCGCTTGAACCTGAGAGATGGAGGTTTCAGTGAGCCGAGATCGTGCCACTGCACTCCAGTCTCAAAAAAAAAAAAAAAAAAAAAAAGTCATACTCTGCAGTCTCTAAATTAATGTTCTTCAATATAACTTTCTGTAATGGTAGAAAATGTCTACGTCTTTGCTACCCAGTTTGGTACCACTAGCTTTTGAAAGGTGGCTATTGTTATTTAGGAATTGAATTAATTTAAATCTAACTAGCCACAGGCAGCTAGTGGCCACCATGTTGATGGAGTAGTTCTAAATTTTCTCCTATCTCCAATGTTTGATTGTGTCACATCTTGTTTATTAAACTATAGTTTAATAAATAACTACTCTTTTCCAAAAGAGTACTCTGTCTTCCACCCTGCAAGAATGTGACTACCCTCAACTGTAGCCACCTGACTCCAGTGGGAGCTGCCCTTTCTTTTGTAAGTGCCACCCTACACCCTGTTGATTGATCATCATTTCAAAAGGAAACCCTCTCCATTCTCCCTTTCCCGTAGACCCTGGCAACCACCAGTCCAGGTTCTGTCTCTATGAATTTACCTATTCCAGATATTTCACACAAATGGAATTGCACAATACACGAACTTTTGCATGTGGCTTCTTTTACTTAGCGTAATGTTTCTGAAGTTCATCTGGGTTGTAGTATATATCAGGACTTCATTTCTTTTTTATGGCTGAATAATATTCCATTGTGTGTATTTACTACAATTTATTCATTTATCCATTGAAAGGACATTTGGGCTGTTTCCACCTTTTGGCTATTGTAAATAATGCTATGAGGAACGTATATTTGAATCCCTGTTTTCAACTTTTTTGGGTATATACCTAGGAGTGGAATTGCTGGGTCATATGGCAATTCTGTGTCTAACTTTGTGAAGTACCGTCAAACTATTTTCCACAGGGGCATTTTACTTTCCCACCAGCCATGTCTAAATTCTCTGATACATTTTAACTTGGACCTAGAGAGTGGCTCTTAGTTCCTTCCTGGTCATGGTGAGGGCTACTTGTCTGGAAGGATGACAATGACGCCCAAAGAAATGTAAAGGTGAAAGGTGGAAAGAGTTCAAGTCATCTCCGAAGCTTGATTCCATCCTGTCTCCTTCCTTGTGGTTACGCGAGTCAGGAAATTCCTCCTTCTTCCCTAAGCTGGCAAGTTGGGTTTCTGTCACCCAAAGAGTTCGGACTGATGCCCGCTCGGTGCTGGGTTCAGAGTCTTGTATTTGAGGGTGCTCTAGGTAGAACCATCTACAATGTCAGCCACCAAATGCCAGCCTGGACCCTGCAACTGAATCACTTTTTGATTCCCTCTGTTCTTCCCCAGGTCCTGAGCCAAGAGCTTCAGACAGAACCCTAAGGAAAACTTGACCCCCGGCAGGTCACCTGAATATGATAGCAAGCCAGAGAGGCTGGTGGCAAAGGCAGGCAGGAGGTGGGTTGGAGGAGGAGAAGAGGGCTGGGGTTCCCCTGAGGACACTGTGGAGCAGGGAAGGGAGCCTGGAGGCCTGGCTGGGGGGAGGAGGAGGAGGAGGAGGATGAGGAGGAGGAGGAGGAGGAAAAGGTGGAAAGAAAAACCCAGTGGAATCGCCGATGTTTAGATGGCCTTTCCCAGGATAATTGAGACAGCTCGTCTGTCCGTGGCCAAACATGAAGGCAACATTTTTTCAGGTTCTGAGAGGAAATAACTCCAATTTCATTTTCTGGCTGGAGGAAAGGAATGAAAAATGATGAAGAAGGGCAGTTTTGGAGACAGAGTCCAGGCCACTCTGACCCCTTAATTCTCTAGAACCTCAAACCTGACATCTGGGCCCATGGGAGCAGAGCCCAGCCAGTTGTTTCTCTAAATAGGACCCAGAGAGCACACTCAGGCACCAGGGAAGTCCTAGATGCAGACAACAGAAAAAAGGCCCAGACTCAGGAGCAGTGTAGTGTTGGGAGGATGAGCACCGGCCACAGGTGTCACCACAGTCTTGACAGGAAAATGGTTTTGTAATCATTTTCTAAACATAGAATGGAAAGATAATCCACTCTTCCCCCTTGCATGGTTAATTGAATTTTTCTCTTTAATTTTTGATGGTTGGAATGCATAAAACATGAGATGTAGTCACTGTGTGTAATGCTGCTGCTGGTTGGTGGGCCACAGACATGGGTTTTCTGGTAAATTCTCCTTCACGTGCTATTGGCTTGCTAGGGCTGCCATAACAAAATACCATAAACTTAGCAAGCGATCTAATTTCTCAGTCCTGGAGGCTAAAAGTTGGAGATCAAGGTGTTGGCAGGGTTGATTCCTTCTAAGGCCATGAGGGAATCTGTTCCGGGCCTCTCCCCCAGCCTCTGGTGGTTTGTTGGCAATCTCTGGTGCTCCCTGGCTTGGAGATGTGTCACGCTAATCTCGCCTTCATCAAAGCTTGGTGTTCTTCTTTTGCACGTCTGCCTGTGTCCAAATTTCCCCTTTTTATAAGAATACCAGTCATATTGGATTAAGGGCCTACCCTAATGACCTCATTTTAACTTGATTATCTCTGTAAAAATCCTATTTCCAGATCAGGTCTACATTCTGACACATTCTGAGGTAGGTGGGGTTTAAACATTTCTTGTTTTTTTATTTTTTTTTTTTTTTGAGGGGTGGGGACATAATTCAACCCATAACATGATATCCATCAAAAAAAGAAAAAGAAAACAGAAGTCCAGGCATGGTGGCTCATGCCTGTGATCCCAGCACTTTGGGAGGCTGAGAGGCAGGCAGATCACTTGAGGCCAGAAGTTTGAGACCAGCCTGGCCAACATGGTTAAACCCCGTCTCTATGAAAAATACAAAAATTAGCCAGGCATGGTGCTGTGCACCTCTAGTCCCAGCTACTCAGGAGGCTGAGGCAGGAGAATTGCTTGAACCCGGGAAGCGGAGGTTGCAGTGAGCAGAGATCATGCCATTGCACTCCAGCCTGGGAGACACAGTGAGACTTTATCTCAAAAAAAAAGAAAAAAGAAAAAGAAAAGTCCTAGCCAGGGCTAGGAAAAAAAAAAAAAAAGAAAGAAAGAAAGAAAAAGGTTTTGGTGTGTGTATTTATAATGATATGTACTGTATTGTAGAATATTCCTGACAGGAAATAATTTCCATTTTGCTTAAGCATCTTTGAGCACTGAGTCTTTTGCTTAGAATTTTACAGGTCTGATAATTGGAAGAATTTTCCACAGCTTAGCTCTTGGCTCCTTAGATTTCAAAATTGTCCCTCTTCTCCGACACATATACTTCTATTGCCGGGGACTGGAAGACACCTTCACGCTGCCATCCAAGCTTGGGGCCTGCACCTTTGTGTCATAATATGTCAAGTGAGTCAGCTCAGCAGACAGCAAGAGCCCTGGAAGACATTTCTATACCGAGACAGCCGACTTAACTGTGCATGTATCCCCAGTTCAACTTCCCGTGAGCCAGACCCCCAAAATGCCACAGTCCTTCTAAAGCCATCTGTCCTGAGGAAAATAACAGTGAAGAGGTCAGAGGCAAGAGTCATTGATCACAACTGATTGCAGTTAAGATGACGGGCTCAACTTTCAGATACGTGATCATGTGAACACAGTGTCGGAGCCCCCCTCAGGGATTAGAGAGGACCCTGTGCTAGGGAGGGGTCTGGAAGCTTAAGCTGTACTAATTTCATGGTCAATCTGTCTCAGAATGGGTGCCTCTCCCTATCTTAAAATAATCGTATGAGCAGGCTGGGCGTGGTGGCTCACACCTGTAATTCCAGCACGTTGGGAGGCTGAGGCTGGTGGATTACCTGATTGTCAGGAGTTCGAGACCATCCTGACCAACAGGGTGAAACCCTGTCTCTACTAAAAATACAAAAAAAAAAAAAAAAAAAAAATTAGCTGGGCATGCTGGCAGGCGCCTGTAATCCCAGCTACTTGGGAGGCTGAGGCAGGAGAATCGCTTGAACCAGGGAGGCGGAGGTTGCGGTGAGCTGAGATCGCGTAATTGCACTCCAATCTGGGTGACAGAGCAAGATTCTGTCTCAAAAAAAAAAAAAAAATCCTACGAACATTCATGAGATACAGACTTACTCATCTACTATAAGCCAGGGTCTGTGCTAGGAACTGAGGAGGCAGAGAAAAACTAAGCCAGCTGAGTGCAAATCCAATTTCTAGGTATCACAACCTCCGTGAGAGACCTGGCCCTGAGAGACTGGGTTTGCCCAAGAGACTAGGTTCTCCCAAGGGTGGGTCATAGGATAAAGGAAAAAACTAGGCTCAGGTTAGGCTATAAGATGGGGCTTTTCCCTTTGATAAGCATATTGAAAATCCCTGTGAGATGAAGCCTCCCTCCAGGGTAATCTTGATGCTGAAAGGCCTCTTCATAATCAGAATTCCAGACCAAAGCGAGTCCACCCATAAAGCCAGGAGCATGGGAATTGACACCCTCAAATGAGACCTTGGAGCCATGCTGCTCGCAGGAAACTATCCCCTGCCTGAAGTCCTGGATCCAGGGGACGAGGGCTCAGCCTCCAGGTCCAACTGCCAGCGTTGGTCTGGAAGCTTCCTGCTGAGCAGAAACTCACTAATCCCTAAACCAGCTCTTCCTGCCAGTGACCAGCCAATTACCACTGCCTGCCTCAGCTCCAGCCCAGCTTCATTCAGGACCGAGGCACTCTTAATCATGTGAAGGACACATATTTTGGGGTGTTCTCCTCTCTGAGCCTCAGTGTCTTCACAAGTCTAAGGGAATGACAATGGACCATCAACTCCAAGAGGGCCAGGTGGTTTGTCTTGTCCATATCTGTAGTCTTAGTCCCAGTGAGTGAAAGGCACATAATAGTTGCTCAGTAAGTGCTTGTTGAGCAAATGAATTGGATAAAGAGATCCTTGATTTCTGTGTGGATAAGACAGCATTCTCGCAGTAGTTGGTACTCATCCAGTAGCAAGTGACAGATGTCAACACAAATTGGTGTAAGAAAGAAGGAACGTATTGTTCCCATAACTGAAGTCCAGGGGAGTAGTTCTAGCTTCAGGTAGGACTGGAAAGGACCCATGTACTCAAATGGTGTTATTGGGAATCTGTCTTTACCTCTCACTTTGCTTTTTTTCTCTTCACTACAGTTAGCTCCAGGCAGGTCCAGGCTTCTAATCTTCTTGCTCCAAGTCTAGCAGCAAAGAGACAATGAACAATCTTGTTCTCAAAAATCCAAACAAAATTCTCAGAATTGAGTCTCACTAGACAGTCTTAGGTCACTTGTGCATTCCTGAACTAATCACTTTGACCAGGGACATTTGATGCTCTAATTGTCCAAGCCTGCTCCTGGAGTCAACCCATCAGTGGAAACCCATCAAAGAAAATCTAGGTTCTGTTTCCAAGAAAGGGGAGCAGCTGCAAGGCAGACAATAGGTGCCCATCACAGTATTTGACTAAAGTCTGAACACCTAGGCAACTCTTACCTTCTCTAAGCTTCAGTCTCTTCATATGTCATTGATAACAATGATGACACTAACAAAATTCCTGCCCCTTTTACATCCCAGAGCTTTCGTGAGGTCCAAACAAGATCATGAGTTATGATAATAATTAACATTTATTGAAGGATCACTGGACATCCGGCCCTGTGCTAAGTAAACCCTTTACACATTTAGTTTTATCGTTACCACAATCCACGTTACTGATGAGAAGCAGGTTGAGAGAGGCTACAAGGCTTGTATACTGGTCACACAGCTAGGAAGGGTGGAGCTGGGGTTTAAAGCAGTACCCTCAAGCATGAAGCTATATATAAACTGTAAATAATTTTACAAGTGTAAGGGATTATTAGTAACGGCCTGTACTATTAATAATAGAAAATATTTAAAACCCTGAAAGGAAATTCAAATAAATTCAAACAAATGTTTGTTTAGCACCTACTATGGGCTGATCACTCACCAGGGGCTCAGAAAGAGACACATAAATAACTCTGAAACAGGCAGACTGTGATCTAATAGAACCATAAACATGCCCCAGGGGACTGTGGAGAGCAAGAGATTGACTGAATAGGGAAGGAAGGGAGGAGGAGGTCTAGAAAAGTCTCTTGGAAGCGGTGGGATTTGAGCTGGGCTTTAAAGATTAAAGGACTTCAACAAAGGAAGGGAAAGGGAAAATCAACTTTTAAGAGACCTGAAAGGATCTAAAGACTCAGAACAGAGTTCTTGGATAAGGGTTCAGCACTTCTATGCAAAATAACTTTAGCACCAGCAGGGACTTCAAAAGTGATTGACTTAGCAGAGCACAGTAGTTGCCATGGGAACAGAGGCAAGCCTCATCCCTGTCATTAGAGAGCATCTCTGGCTTTGAGCAGTCTAGCCAAGGCCAGGAGGCAGCGGGGGCTGGGTTGTGCTATCCCTTAGAAGAAAAACCCAGCAAGATTGCTGCCCCGAGAGACTGACTCTCATTTCACAGGGAGGCAGAGCTGACAGGTGACATCTGGGTCTGAGAACATAGAAAGCCAGAGGAAGCCTCTGCCTCAAGGGGCTTTGGGACATCCTGAAGCTATTGGAGCAGGCAAGGGAGCCTCAAGGAGGGAATGGGAAGGGCAGGGGACAAGCCTGAGAGCGGCTTCCAAGATGGATCAATTCCCACTCAGTCTGGGAGGAGCAGAGCAGTGCTGGAGGCAGCTCCACCCAGCATCCCAGCGTGGCAGGGGGTGGAGGGCGTCTCCCAGAGCATGCACTCATGTCACTCCTAGGCCCACTCAGACCTCTCAGGCCTCTGGGGCCCACTGCCAGGGCATTCCAGTGCATTGGGAGCGTTGGCATCTAACCACTCAAGTGCAGAGGGGACCCCATTCACAGGCTTGGTGACAGGAGAGCATATGGTGGGGACTTTAATGCAGCAGGCAATAGGTTTGACACCTATATTCAAATCATGGCCTTGACACTTTCTAGCTGTGTGACTTTGGGCAAGTTACTCACCCTTTCTGTGTTTCTCGGTTTCTCCATGGGCAAGATGCAGATAATGATAATAATTTTACCTACCTTATAGGTAGGTAAGAATTTAGTGAGATAATAGATATAAAGAGTTACGCATGGTACCTGGCACAGTAGATCGTCAATAAATGTAAGCTATTATATTATTATTATCACTTCCGAATTTCAATTTGGTATCGAGTCAGGTTTTTTTAATTTATTTATTTTTATTTCAGGCAGTGTCTCTTATCATTTGTGCTAAAAGCCAGTTTCTCCAAGTATAGTAGATGATGACAATGACAGCAGTAATAGTAGTGACGGGACCCATTTACCTTCCATATATCCAGTGACATTATCATGAAGAAGGAAGGCAAAGTTCTAGTGCTGAATGCCAGGCTAAACGCTCGAGCTTTTTATTTCAGGCAGCTAGTGGCTATTGAAATTTTGGAGGAGAATAACTTGATCAGGGGAATGTAGATTTTTGCCCTGAGGCTATACACTTGTAGAAATAGAATCTAAGTATAACAACAACAAAGCTTAGTAACAAAAACAATAATAGCTACCATTTTCAGAGAGCTAATTGTATACCAGGCACTGTGCTAAGAGCTTCAGAAGCCTTGTCTGTTGTAATCCTCACAACAATCTTATGAGGTTATATATTTCTCCTTCTCCTTCTCCTCCTCCTCCTCCTCCTCCTCTTCTTCTTCTTCTTCCTCTCACCCCCATTTTACAAGTAAGAAAACTGGGCACAGAGAGGTTAAGTCATGCAGCTAGCAAATGGCAGAGCTGGGCTAGAACACAGGCGATCTAGTTCTAGGAGTCTCACATTTAACCAGAACACGCTTTTTCCTTCCCTGAACCTTGGAAGGCCCTCGTGGTGGGGTTGGGGGGCAGCCTGCCACCCTCACTTTTGGGAGCCCCTCTGTTTGTCTGCATCTGAGCACTGCCACTCTCTATTTGATTCTCTGGGACTTCACCTCTTTCTTTGAAAGTATGTGTGTGTTTGTGTGTATGTGTGTGTGGGGGGTGTTTGTATAAGAGAGAAACTGCAGCTGACCAGTGATGACAGAAGCCTCTGGACATCAAAGTGGGCAGAGCCCTGGATGGATGGGCTGGAGGCAGGCCTGGGTCCCATTAGGCTAATTCCTCTCAAGGTTGGAAGAGGCCAGGGCGGGAACTTCTGAGAACATGGAGAACAAGTCCTTTCATACGACCTCCCTTTGAGCAGGCCTTGGGGTGGGACCGGGGTCGGGTGGGTGGAGGGTGGGGAGTGTGTGGAGAGGTGAGGCCACAGTCAGGCTGGGCAAACAGATTGGGCAGCGGCTGTGAGCACAGAGCGCCCATTGTGTACCCAGAGCTCTGCTTTCAATAATCTTCTCGGAAGAATGTTTCATTGAGCGCCAGAGAAAGGAGCCATTGAAATGCCAGGGCTGGGCCCTATGAAGGGTTAAAGACAAGGAGGCCATGGGTACCTGGGCTCTTGCCTATCCTGGCTCAAAGACCTGATATAGGGATCCTGATCACTAAGACAAGGGCACTCAGTGAGACCACCCAGAGGTCTGGAAGCGAGGGTCAGAGGGGGAGATGTATGTCTGCCCCAGAAAGGCTAAAGTAGGTGCCCCAGTATCAAGGAGGAAAACCCCTGTCTTCCCAGCACCATTTTGCCCAAGTAATATCCAAGAAGATGTTAGATACCTTCTCAGATACCCCTTCAGCCTGCCTTCTGTGGAGAGCAACCCATCGGGCAGACGTGTCTCTGCGTGGACTTCCTGCGTGGACCTCCTGCGTGGACCCATACCACGGGTCCTGCAATCCATTCTCCACAATGCAGCCGTATGGCTTCCTTAAACACCTGTGGCCTTTCCATTAATCAGTAATTAATTATAATGAATGATGCTGAAGCAGAGAGTGTGGGAGTTACGGTAAGAGCCAGTGGTCACTAAACTAGGTGACCAAGGGAACATGTAGAGTTTTCTCTTCCAAATAGAAAGACCTGCTCATTAGAGGGATATGGCCTGGCTGTCAGAGAGGGCACCAGAGTGGGATTCTCTGCTTCCACACTGAGTCCCACGTGTCTTTGCCAGCTACTGAAGCTTGTGGGGCTTGAAGTGTGGGTAACACCATGCTGGCCTCAGTGGGCTGCACAGAGGAGGCAGAAGGTGGATGAGAGGGGCCTGCCACTGGGGAGGGAGAGCACTCTTGTTGGGCAGCTGAGAATGACCTCCGGCACCACCATGGAACCCGCTGAAGATGTTGCTGCCTCACTGAGCCTGTGTCTGCAGAGAGGATGTTCTGCAACTGAAGCTGACCTTGCACTATGAACCGTTCATATTAACCATTTTGGATGGAAACCTTAAAAAACAGATGATGCCTTTCTGGCTTTCTTAAAAAGAGATCCTCAACTCTTAAAAAGAGATCTAAACTCACTTCTGTGCGGAACGGTGATTTGGCGATGTTTCTGGGTCTGTTCAGGTGAATATAGTTCTTGGCTCCTGCACCGATAAACCCCAAACTCCCAGGCTTTTGGAATTCATCAGTTTGAATTTTTGTTTATTCTTTTGTTTCTCCTTAATTTTTCACTGTGAAACATGTAAGCATATTTTACTATAAAATAGGCAAGTGTCTCACTTTCTTATATATTCCATCTGAGCTGCTTCTAATATTCTCGGACTGGGAAAGGAAATGATTGGCCTTATAAGAATTGTGAATGAAGTAAGAGTCAGTAGACTTAAGAGTTAGGAAGGCCTGAGGAGCTCTCCTCTGAGTTAAGTGATTGAACTCTGTGATATTTTGAGTGTTCAGAGGCCTTCTATGTTTTCTTTTGGTCTTTGATTTGATCCTGCCTAGACAAATTGACCCCTAGAGAGAGGACGACAGCATGCATAATTTATGCATAAGGTCTTTGCCAAGGGCAATAAATCAGAAGGAAATAATATTGGTACTTAGATAATTTTAGTTCAAAGATGGCCAAACATACACATATACCTAGCCACTAACATGCACACACACACACACACACATACACACGAATAGCAATGACAGACAAAGCCACAAAACCAACTAACCCAGTTTTTCACTTTTATATCTCCGCTCCCTAAAAAGTTGTCTGGGAACAAATGATTAAAATCTTAACATTTTCAAATGGGAAAGAGCTTTCACAGTCCTTTCATTTTGCTTCCCTCTTTTTAGTTCAGGAATCTCTTCTATTATCTCCTGGATAGACAGGCACTTTAACCCCCTTCTTGCATGGATCCAGTAATGGGAAGCTCAGTACTTTCTGAAGTCTGATTTCATCAATGGAAATCTGTGACAGGAAGTAACAAAACTACACCCTGCCACATCTGAAATGCATTTTGTATGCAGATATTAGGCTTTCTGTAGTGTTGTAATGTGGATGTCGTTTGGGGGTTAAGGGAGGAGATCACATCTGTGAGAATGGGGGGACAGATCTTTCCTGTGTGGGGTGGACATTCCTCTTGTCAATTGTCTTGGAAACAGCTGAGTTCTGAGACAGAAACTGAAAAGGCTAGTTTAGCTTGCTGGAGAGGGAATGTCTGTGTCTCTAAGTCTTAATTCTTGGGCCTGAACTTGAGACATGTTGGAGTTTTGAGAGTCTGTGTAGGTTGGGGTAGGGCTGATGGACATTGTCCCAGGGAAGACGGCAGGTAAGCACCTTGTCTTGTAGAGAACACAAAGGGAAGATAAGTGAGCCAATCTTGAAAGCTATATGACCACGATTCACATTACACTTTGTGTTTATTCCCTCCTTGTCATCCTTGAGCCTTTGGAAATGTCTGGTTTAAATGTTGCAGCCTGGCCTAGCTGTGTAATGGCATCACTGGAATTGCTGAGGGTCAGTGTTTATTTCCTTAGAATGATAGAGGGAGGATAGTGCTCTCTGAGGCCTCTGTGGATTTTGGTGATTATGGAGACTCTTAAGAAAAAAGTGAGTATTGGGGAACAAGAGTTGGGCCCTAAGTCCACCCACTCCCCTCCACATGGTGATTCACCAATCACTGTCATCCTTTTATTAAGCAGGTGGCCGGATTTCTTACAAAAGCAATCCCTTAAATTGGTCCGAAATCTGTTTTCCTGTAACTTTCACCCACAGGACTTAGTCCTTCCTCTCAAAAGCACAGAGAACAATCATCGTAACCATTCACATTCACCAAGTGCTTACTGTGTGCTGGGCACTTTACTGAGCATTGTAGTAGATCTTATATATACTATTATCCCATTTTACAGATGAAGAAATTGAGGCTAAGGGAGGTGAAATAACTTGTGCAAGGCCAGACCCCAAATGAGTGGCAGGATTTGAACTCAAATAGTCTGATAGCAGAGCCCACTGTCTTGAATTCTGAAATACTACTTGTCTCAGTGACAGCCCCACAGAGGTCTGCCGCCTGTGACCTTTCCTCCCTGGGCCTTTTTTGATCCAGGTGGAACCCCCACCCCATCCCCTTGCTGCTTCTCTTTGTGCTTGGAGTAGAAGGGAGGCAGCCCTGCCCAGTTCCTTTTGCCCTGGGGCAATAGAAAGAATGCAAAACCCTAGTCCACCTGACCTCTGGTGACTTGTTCCACTTCGACCCCCCAGGACAGACAGCCTTGTGGAAGCCTCTGGAAGCACCATTTTAGCAGCCTTCCCCTCAGGAGGCTGTATTTTTCCTGTCTGTCCTCAACATGTCTTCTGCCAGAACAACAAGCTCAGTTTTCCCTTCTGATAAATCTGGTCACCCTAAATATGGGGCTTTGAGCAAATGGGAGCGGCTGGCCCCACGCAGCCCTCATTTCAAAATGCAGATTCACACGGGCTGCTATTTTGGAGGTCTGGTTTCTTTCCCCACACGCAGTGGTTTTAAGTAAGAGGGAAGGGATCATGACAGAATCTTGGCAGGGGAAAGATGCTAGGAGAGAAGATGCACCTGGGCAGTCTTTGCTTCCCAAAGTCCCCAAACACTGGCCCTTCAAGAAGCTGGTTGGGGGGTGGGGGGAGCAGGAAAGAGGGTCCATGGTAACATAACACTGGGAAATACAGCCTAACCAGCCCCTCCTGCAGATCAGCAGTGTGCATGTTAAACATTTGAAATCCTAGAAGTAAAGAAGCCTAACTGGTTTTGTTTAGCCCAGTTTTTCCATTTAAAAATGTAGCCTAGTAAAATTTTGCAAAACAATGATGCAGAGCAGAGCTTGCAAACCGGCACCGATGGTCTGATATATTCCTGGGAGAGGTCTGATTTGGCCTACAAAGTGCTTAAATTTTGCTTTCAATTAGTCACTAACATTTCACAATTGGAATAGTTCTCCTAATAGATAAAGAGGGTATTCCTCTTGAAAAATCAGAAGATCTGGAAACACTGGTCCGTATTCTTGCCTGACTGTAGTCAGCTGGAAGCCAGGCTGTGGTTTTTAACTTGCTGCAGCCCCTGTGTCTCCTTAGGGCAAGACAACTATCTCTTGCTCTACTCATTTATGATGCTCATCGGGTTCCAGAGTCCCCCAAGCTTGCCTTCTCTGGTGTGGAGGTTTCCTTGGGTAGGCTGGCCTAGGTGACCATTGGGGCCCATTCATCCATTCACTCATGCAACATATACTGATTGAGCTTATACTGTGTGCTGCACCCTGTGGATACGAGATGGATAAAACAGCCCCTGCCCTCTGGATTCCAGCGCTGGCATTCTAAGATTCTAGTTGGGAACTGCAGAACGAGGAGGAGGGAGGGGTTGAGGAGAGGGGAGCTGGCAAGGCTACAACCAAGCTTCCTGACTTGCAGCCGCGGGGGCTTGCCAAAGTGCTTGCCATTCTCCATCGCTTTCTCTACCGGCTCACCGAAGGGAGCCGCCACTCCAACAGCCACGGTGAGCCTTAGAGACATAGCCACTGACTTGTTCTGTGACTTAGACGCGTTGAGGCTCATCTCCGGGCCTCAGTTTCTCCATCTGTAGAATGACCCGGTTGGACTAGGAAATGATGGGCTTTCCTTCCAGGGCTGGCACTCAGAGAGGCTAAGACTCCATGATCGAGGAATGTCTGACCCAGCCATTCTGGAGCTGTTCCATCGAATTCCAAGCAGCCCCACTCCCTCCTTTCCCCATCCCGGTCAGGGGCGGGCGCTGGAGCCAGCAGGCCGAGAGGGCCGGGGCTTCCCGCCCGGGAGGTGGAGCCGCTGCTCTGCGTCCCGCCCCTCCACCTGGGGCTCGGCCCGGCCCGGCAGATGTTACAACTTTTTCGAATTCTCTCCCGCCGTGTCCCCTCGACCCGCCCAACTTGTGCCTCCCTCCCCTTCCCCTCTGGGGTCCTGCCCACCTCCCTGCAGGGAGCTGGGCTGTTTTAAGGACTCCGGGTGGGGCGAGAGGCCGGGAAAGCAGAGGAGAGAGAAATTAGGAGGCGGGAGAAATCCAGGGCAAGAAGGAAGAGGGGAGTCAGAGGATGGTAGAGAGCACTTTTTGGAAGCTGCCACGCCGCGTCTCAGGCTGGCCGGGCTGAGCTGGGGAAGAGGGAGCAAAGGCGGCGCAGGGCCTGCGCTTAGGCAGCGGGAGGCAGCTCGGCGCGGGCCTGACCTCCCCAGAGCGCCCCGCTGCGGCCGAGCAGATCCGGCCCAGCCGTCCGGCAGCCAGTCCCGGACCAGACACTGGACCGTCCCCGGGGGGCGCTGAACTCCCTCGCAGCATCCGAGCCGGCGGGCCGGTGGTGCGCCCTGGGCGCGCGAGGTGGTGAGGCCCCAGGAGCCCGGCGCGCCGGGACGCGCGGGCCGGCTTGGCGATGCACACCCTCACTGGCTTCTCCCTGGTCAGCCTGCTCAGCTTCGGCTACCTGTCCTGGGACTGGGCCAAGCCGAGCTTCGTGGCCGACGGGCCCGGGGAGGCTGGCGAGCAGCCCTCGGCCGCTCCGCCCCAGCCTCCCCACATCATCTTCATCCTCACGGACGACCAAGGCTACCACGACGTGGGCTACCATGGTTCAGATATCGAGACCCCTACGCTGGACAGGCTGGCGGCCAAGGGGGTCAAGTTGGAGAATTATTACATCCAGCCCATCTGCACGCCTTCGCGGAGCCAGCTCCTCACTGGCAGGTAGGCGTGGCTCAAGGCCCCGGGGCTGGGCATCTAAACCCCAAATCAACCCAGTTGATAGATTTCTCCTGCCAGTACCACCCCATGCTGGGATCTGGGAAATCTCCTGTTGGCTGTGTAATCATTAGTAAGTCCCTCGCCCTCTCTAGGCCTCAATTACCCTTCCTTTACACTGAATGGGCTTCATCATCTTTGAGGTCTTCTTGCTTTGATGTTCCAGGACACTCACATTCCACACAACGTGGAGACATCTGGTCATCCCTTTGTTAGAGGAACATGGCAGCCTCTGACATTTACTGCTGCTTCTATTTATGGACCCCGAGACCCTGAGCAAGTCATTTAATTTCTCTAAGCCTCAGTTTTCTTGTCCATAAAATGGAGCAAAGAACAGTTTTCATCTTGAAAAGGAGTGGCAAAGTTGGAATGAGTTGTGTGTAACCTGCTTGGCTGTCAATATATGGCAGCCTCTATGTCTCCTGAGGGATTCAGGTCCCCATACTGCTTGATGAATACATTGGGAGAAGACCAAGGAATTGATAGGTGGAAGAGAAAGACACATAGGATACCATGACCTGTGTAGCCTTAGGGTGGTTACTTCATTTCTCTGAGCCTCTGTTTTTTCATCTGCAAAATCCTCCCAAGTTGGCTGGGAGCCCCAAGTAGACATGCTGCTTCCTCCACAAGGAAATGTCCACAGGCGAGGCAGCAGGATTACAGGATTAAAAGAGCAGGGAAACAGGAGGTGGGGGTATGGAAGGCAAACTCTGGCCACTTAGGAGAAAATCCTTTGGCAGTGCTGAAGCTAATTCTCCTTGGATGGGGTCCAAGGCATGCTTTCTCCCAAGTTCCACCCAAGAGCCACTAATGTGATCTCAGGAACCAGAAGCCTTAGTCTCCCTGTTTCTTAGTCTCACTATTTCTTGGATGGGAGAAATTGAGGCAAGGACTCAGGGAGGGCCTAGTTTGGTGCCCGTGCCCAACTTCAGGGTCTGTGGGAGATAGGATTGAGAGGCCAGGTGTTTGGCGGGGGTCCCGGAGCTGGGCATCAAATGGCGTCCTTTGTTCCTTCGATCTGGCACCCAGCGTTTAGATCCAGGAATCAGAAGGAGAACAGAAGAAAGAAGGAGGGGTGTGGGGTGTGTATGGGTTGGGGTGGTGGTGCAGGTTAGTGGTGTAGTGGTGAAGACCAATGTTGACCTGCAGAAGAGGGTGGAGGAGTCTGCATTCCCAAGAGTTATACACAACTTAGCGTTTCTGTCCTAAGAGGTGACTTTTGGTTTAAGTAGCGGAATGAGCAGACAGCAGGAGGGCAGTGCTCCAGTCCCCTGATCTGCGAAGCTAACTGAAGGTGGCCGGCCAGTGCCTGCCCTCCCCCACCCTGCAGCTGGCTCCATCTCATTGATGCTTACAGCCCTCGTTAGTGTTTGTTAACACATCCAGTTGTGTTTTGTGACACTGGAGAGAGGCAAAGTTTCTCTTGTGACTCACTTGCAGGTGGGCTTTGGTGACTCTTAGCTGGCCCATCCGCTTTACAAGCCAGCGCTCCACAGCACCCCACCTCTATGAAGACCGGCCCAGTTGGGACTCAGGGCCCTAGGGTGCTTCTCATATCAAATCCAATAATTTATTAGCTTGATTGAGGCCTGGAGAGGCCGTTATCACCAAAAGATTTTGAGCATGACTTGAGTGGACCCAGGTTCAAAGCTTAGCTCCACTGCTTGTCAGCTCTCTGAACTTGGGTCATTGCTGCACTTTCGGGGGACTTGGTTTTATCATCTGTAGAATGGGGGTGGTAATAGACTTCCCTGTAGGTTTTTAAAATGAGAGTTAAATGAGATAATGTATGTGTATGGCACATAGTGTTAAAAATGGCAGTAGTAGCTAATTAGAGCTAACAACAATAACAGCTTTAAGATAAGGAAACCAAAACAGAAACTCACTCCTGTGCTCTGGTTAAAGATGTCAGGTATTCAGGGCTTGGATTAATTTGGATGCCTGGAGGTGAGAAAAAGGTGTGGGATTTTAACATACTTGTGAAGTTCCAGGCTTCTTATTTACTCTGGGACTTTCAAGACTTGAGTAAAGGCAAGACACCATAAGCAGATCACATGGGAGCCTTGACCACAGAAGGGGGAAGATGGGATATGAATGGATAAATGAGGAATTCAGGATTTGCCTAACCATTTACTCCTGCCTCAGGGTGATAGCCTGGATCAAGGGGTCATATGAGCTCACAGGCAGGCACTTGGGAGCTGGTCTTAAAAAACTGGGAAACTAGACGAGTCTTAGAGATTTCCCATTTCAACCAACTCCTATACGGGAGCAAACTGAGGCCCCCATGTGGGAAGAGATACGGCAGCCCAGTTTGCTGAAAAAGAGTCCCTGCTTAGACTCTGCTTGGATTTATGTTCAAGTCCTGGCTCTGTTCCTGACCACCGAGCGACCTCAGTTAAGGCCCTTCCCCTTCCCTTAAAAAGACCTTAGGTCCTTTTTAAGATGAGGTGAGTAAACTAGAGAATGAATTGGGTCCCTTCTGGCTCTAAAACCCTCTTAAGTGTCATTCATTCATTCATTTCATAAATAATTGAGTGCTCTTTGAACATCACTTGGGTGCTAGGAATAGAAGGTTGAATAAAGGACAGTCTCATCACATGTCACTGGGCGCAAGAGCATGTGCAGACGAGTATAATCCCACGGCCAAGTAAGAAAACGATGGTGTGTACTAAATGCTAGGGGAACCCAGAAGCAAAAGTGACTAATTCTTTGGGAGAGTTATGAAAGACTTTATAGCATGGATAACATTTGGACTGAGCTTTGAAGAGTGAGTAAGAGTTTGCCTGGGAAAGCAGGGCTTGCTCTAGGCCCCAGTGCAAGTTAATAGCTTAGAGCTTAGGGATTCCGAAGTCTGGAGCCAGACTGCTTGGGTTATAAATCCCACTCCAACTACTAGCCGTGTGAGTCACCGGGCAACTAATTTAATTTACCAAGCCTCAGTTCCCTTATTTGGAAAATGGGAACAATAATATGTACCTCTGAATTTGTGGTGAGGATTAAGTAAGATAATTCACATAAGAGGATTAGTGTAATGCCAAGCTCACAGTGAGTGCTCGGTATT
Source organism: Homo sapiens (assembly GCF_000001405.40). NCBI lineage: Eukaryota > Metazoa > Chordata > Mammalia > Primates > Hominidae > Homo > Homo sapiens. The sequence goes on along the minus strand of NC_000005.10, from coordinate 150,298,947 downwards.
AGCTATTATTATTGTCATTATTACCCTGGGTTCAACTTTTATCTCTCCAACTTCCTAGCTGTGTGATCTTGGGTGAGTGGCTTAGCCATTCTGAGCTTCAATCTCCTCATCTGTAAAACGACAATATGATCTACTTCCAGTGATTTTGAGGATTCGATGAGATAATGCATTTGAGGTGCTTAGCATAGTAGATAGTACCTGGTGGTTACTGTTATTATTTTTGCTGGTAGTGCTGGGACCACAGCCCACCTCACAGTGGTACTGGGGACTGGATGGCCAGAGCAATGGTCTGTAGCTTACCTGTGCCTTCTGTGCCTTCCCCTCCTCCCCACCAGGTACCAGATCCACACAGGACTCCAGCATTCCATCATCCGCCCACAGCAGCCCAACTGCCTGCCCCTGGACCAGGTGACACTGCCACAGAAGCTGCAGGAGGCAGGTTATTCCACCCATATGGTGGGCAAGTGGCACCTGGGCTTCTACCGGAAGGAGTGTCTGCCCACCCGTCGGGGCTTCGACACCTTCCTGGGCTCGCTCACGGGCAATGTGGACTATTACACCTATGACAACTGTGATGGCCCAGGCGTGTGCGGCTTCGACCTGCACGAGGGTGAGAATGTGGCCTGGGGGCTCAGCGGCCAGTACTCCACTATGCTTTATGCCCAGCGCGCCAGCCATATCCTGGCCAGCCACAGCCCTCAGCGTCCCCTCTTCCTCTATGTGGCCTTCCAGGCAGTACACACACCCCTGCAGTCCCCTCGTGAGTACCTGTACCGCTACCGCACCATGGGCAATGTGGCCCGGCGGAAGTACGCGGCCATGGTGACCTGCATGGATGAGGCTGTGCGCAACATCACCTGGGCCCTCAAGCGCTACGGTTTCTACAACAACAGTGTCATCATCTTCTCCAGTGACAATGGTGGCCAGACTTTCTCGGGGGGCAGCAACTGGCCGCTCCGAGGACGCAAGGGCACTTATTGGGAAGGTGGCGTGCGGGGCCTAGGCTTTGTCCACAGTCCCCTGCTCAAGCGAAAGCAACGGACAAGCCGGGCACTGATGCACATCACTGACTGGTACCCGACCCTGGTGGGTCTGGCAGGTGGTACCACCTCAGCAGCCGATGGGCTAGATGGCTACGACGTGTGGCCGGCCATCAGCGAGGGCCGGGCCTCACCACGCACGGAGATCCTGCACAACATTGACCCACTCTACAACCATGCCCAGCATGGCTCCCTGGAGGGCGGCTTTGGCATCTGGAACACCGCCGTGCAGGCTGCCATCCGCGTGGGTGAGTGGAAGCTGCTGACAGGAGACCCCGGCTATGGCGATTGGATCCCACCGCAGACACTGGCCACCTTCCCGGGTAGCTGGTGGAACCTGGAACGAATGGCCAGTGTCCGCCAGGCCGTGTGGCTCTTCAACATCAGTGCTGACCCTTATGAACGGGAGGACCTGGCTGGCCAGCGGCCTGATGTGGTCCGCACCCTGCTGGCTCGCCTGGCCGAATATAACCGCACAGCCATCCCGGTACGCTACCCAGCTGAGAACCCCCGGGCTCATCCTGACTTTAATGGGGGTGCTTGGGGGCCCTGGGCCAGTGATGAGGAAGAGGAGGAAGAGGAAGGGAGGGCTCGAAGCTTCTCCCGGGGTCGTCGCAAGAAAAAATGCAAGATTTGCAAGCTTCGATCCTTTTTCCGTAAACTCAACACCAGGCTAATGTCCCAACGGATCTGATGGTGGGGAGGGAGAAAACTGTCCTTTAGAGGATCTTCCCCACTCCGGCTTGGCCCTGCTGTTTCTCAGGGAGAAGCCTGTCACATCTCCATCTACAGGGAGTTGGAGGGTGTAGAGTCCCTTGGTTGAACAGGGTAGGGAGCCTGGATAGGAGTGGGTGGGAATAAACCAGACTGGGATGCCTGTGTCTCAGTCCTGCCTCCTCACGGACTTGCTCTGTGACCTCAGGTGACCCACATGAGCTTTTAGCCTCAGTTTCCTCATCTGTAAAATGAGCTCTAATGACTTTGTGACTCTTTGGTGTGGCCCTGGAGCCTGGGGCCACGGTGGAGTTCCTGGCCGGCCTTGCCACTTGACAACTCCTTTAAGGCTTCCCCCTTAACACGGGATCCCTGTGGTGGTGTTTGGGAGTTGCCTGGAGGCAACTCCAAGCCTGGCCCCCAGCTGAAGCATGGCAATCTGGCTGCTCTCTACAGGGACCCCCAAGCGCTGTGGGTGGAGGGCAGGGGTCGGGGGGGTTGACCTTCTTGGGTCTTCACATGGCCTAGGCCAGTCCTCCGGTCAGACTGGTGTCAGGCACCGTGGTGCAAAATTCCTCTTCTGGCCCCTCCAGTACCCAGAGAAACTGGCTGGGCCATTAACTGCTGCAGCACCAAGGGTGGTAGAAAGAGCTGTGAAGAGCCCCCAAACCAGTACCAGGACACCTGGGTTCTCCTGTGACCTGGGGCACAGTTCTTGCCCTCTAGGCCTTGATTTCCCCACCTGCAAGTGGGGATGCCAGCCCTGGCTCTGCCTCCTTCATGAGGCTCTGGAAGACTGGCCAAGGTTGTGGAGGAGCTTGTGAACTTGATTAAAGTGTCGTAACATGGAAGTGAGGGATGCAGTGCTGTCTGACTATGAGCATGTGTGGGTGTGTGCATGTGTGTCCTGGGGGCAGGTATGAGCTCACGGTCGGCCGAGTGAACAGGAGAGGAGGTGGACAGCCTGGCTAGGCGGTGGGGGAATGGGAGTCCTGCCACAGACCCACTATGTGACCTCAGGCACATCCCTGACCCTCTCTGGGCCTCAACATCCCACTATGTTCAGTGATGATCTAAGAGCACTTCCCATTTGGCCATTCTGGGCTAGTGTGCATGTGTGTGTGTTGGGGTGGGGGGCAGGCTGAGTGGTAGCGAGGAGGCCACGGGTGTTGCAGAGCCCGCCTGCCGCCTAGCGCGCCTCCATCCGCACACTGCGTTCTGCATATCTCCCTTCAGGTTCCAGTCGGCGCAGTGTGTGTAGGCGAAAGCCCTGCTGTGAATTTTTAAAATAGTTATTTTTGTCACTGGCAAAGGAGGCCTGTTAGGACTCATCAGCTTGTGGATGAGCAGGATGGGTGGGGTGGGGTGGGTGCGGTATGTGTGGGGGTTCAGGTATTGGTTACAGAGTTCCATCCCCACTGCAGATGTGGCTGAGTCCAGGAGTGAGGGTCTGGCCTGAGGCTGTTGGGTGGAGGTGACCATTCATGCTCTAAGCCCCTTCCTCCTGGCCCTATTCTTTTTACCCCTTATCACCTCCCCCAACTAGCATCTTTCCCTGCCTCTATGATGTTGATTCCCAGCTGTGTCGTGGGGCAGGAGCCAGGATAGGCAGAGGCCTCTGGATTCCAGTGACCTCCAGCATTTCAGTCTGCTCAGGAGGGAGGCTCTGAAGAAGTAAGTCACCTGTTAGGGCGGTGGCCCAGGCCTGACACACCCTGGGAGATGAGCTGTCCGTAGTTCGCCCACTCCTCAGGGTACTCTAGCTCTGCTGGGTGCTTGTCCCAGCTGTGTGGGTGGGGCCTTTCCAGGGTGGCATGGAGCCAAGGCTTCCCTGCCACTCCGGGCTTGCACGAGTTGTATGGAGGCCTCTCCTGTGCCTGCTGAGTCAGCCCTGCCCGAGGCTTACCCTCCAGCTCCAGCCCCCACTTCTCTCCCAGGGCCCCTGCCCTTTGGCACCGCAAGTGCAGGACCGTGAATGGCCCTTTCTGCTGTCCCCTAATCACCGAGGCTTACTGCCTGTGACCAACCTAAACCAAGAAAGACTAGCTGGGGATGGGGCTGGCACCTGTTCCTGGTGCCCTGAGAAGGAGACTTGACCCCAGGTCTTGGTCCAGTCTCAAATCCAGCCCAGAGCTTGCCTAGCTGAGTCCTACCCAACCCAGCGCTCAGCAAACAGCCCGGTGGCCCCACGCAAGCTTGAGCCTGCAACCTGGTCTAGAGGAGCTGGCGGCTGGCCTAGGCCTGAGATTGGTGGAGGGTCTTGGGTGCCCCAGAGCACTCAAGCACTACGATAACAGGCTCAGCCTGTGGTGACTTCTGCTCTTCCCAGCAATCAGCATGGCTCCTGCCAGCCCCCTCCCATCTCCTGTGGCCCAAGTTTCCTCCAGCCGGGGCACCTGGGTCTGGACTCTGTGCCAGGCCGCCAACTGGCACTGCCAGGCAGGTGCTCGTACCATTTGAGCACCTGTGCTTGTGGGGAGGGAAGGGAGGGCAGATCAGAGGCAGCTCCGGTCCCTCGGGCCACAGATCTGGGGAAGTGGAGCCCAGAGATGCCTGGTGAGACCCCCTGTTTCTTCCTTGGCTGCACCAGATGGCAGCTGATCTGCCAGCTGTAGGGGCCAGAGCCAGGGGGCAGCCTGTCCAAGCTGGGCCCTGCCAGTAGAGTCCTGGGCTCTGGTAACCCATTCCCCAAGGGCCAAGTGATAGCCCCACACCTGGATGGAGGGCCAGTGCTCTGGGCTCCATCTTTCTCAGGAGGAAGTGGAGGTTCTACTGGGGAGACCTCCTGCAAGCTCTTCCAGGACTCGAACTCAGGTCCTCTAACTGCAAGGAGTGCTATGCAGCCATCGGCCCAGTAGCCATTGTCCTCTGTCCCATGGCTCTCTGCTTCACTCTCCCCTGCAAGAGTGCCTCCTGTGTGGGAGACCTCAGGGACAGTTCTGCTCCCTGATCCCTGACTTCCCCCACTTCTTCATGTAGGCCTAGCCTTACTTACTGCAATGAATGAACCCAATCTCCCTCCACCCAGACCCTCAGCAGGACCATTTCTCTCTTGGCCCACTTTCCACCAATTCTGCCCCCCATGCTCACTGCCCTTAGTGGGACAGGCCCTGTGGGGACCCTTTGGATGGCACACTTTCTGTGGTGCCTGCCCAGGCCCTGCAGGACCCTGGGGCACTTGGGCATATGTGTGTGGGCTGTGGAAGGTGGGATTTGAGTCAGCTGTCACAATGCCACTGGGGCTACAATCACCCATGCAGGAACCCAGCCCTGGTCACTTTTCATCCCTTCTGTCTCTGTGGAGCACTGCCTGTGTTCACGTGCCAATCCCTATTCTGGCATGTCAGGACTGGGTTCAGCAACCTCCAGGGCTCCCACCCCTGGCGACCAGCCCATAGCATGGAGGCCTGCTCTCGAATACCACACGCGTGTTGCAGATGGGGGCACACGTGCTGCCTCTCGTGTCTGCTTTGGCCCTGGGGAGTGGGGAGTTTGGCAGGAACAGTCCCCCTCCTGCAATCATCGGCTCATTCTCTCAGCGCCACAGAGGCACGGCTGGCTCCTCAGTGCCCGCCACCACCGGGCACAGCTGCTAGCCTCGCGGGCTCAGGGGAGGTGGTGAATTAGCAGTCATGCCTTCTCAGCAGAGTGGCTATTACCCTCAGGAAGGTGGGGGGTGCCTGTCCGAGGCAGTGCCCACACCGCTGAGCTAGGCTCTGGAAGGCTCAGAGGGGTGTGTGTGTGTGCTCATGTGTAAGACTTTCAGAGGGGACTTCTTCCTCTTCTCCCTCCTCTTCTTCTCTCTTCTGCCTCTCCAGCCATCTCTCTGCTATCTGGATCCTGCAGCCCTCAACTTGCCCATCCCCCAGGACCGCATGCACAGTGCAGGCCAGCAGGGGAGGGAGAGAAGAGTGACAGAAAGAGAGGGAGCTGGAAACCAGAAAGGAAGTAAAAAAGATGAGAAAGACGGAGAACTGAGAAGGAAGGATGCAAAAGAGGGAACAGGAAAAATGAGGGAGAGGGGAAGGCAAGAGGAGAGAAGAAAGGAGAGTGGAAAGGAGAGATGGAAGTAGGGAAGAAAGAGATGACAGGAGCGGGGCTGTGCTGGCCCTGCTCCCAGCAGCCACAGAGGCTGCCCCCGTGGTCCACATCACATACAGGGAGAGAGGTGGCCATCTTCCTGCCTCCATTCCTTCACACCTTCCTCTGAGGGACCTGATGCCAGGGTCTTCCCCATGTGCTCTGCTCACTTCTGAGCATGCTCCATTTCATCAGTGGGAATCGGGAGAGGAAACAGGGGTCAGGCCAGCACCCAGCCACGCAGGACTGTCCCAGTTCAGAACATTAGATTTCCATTAATACAGCCTCATAATCTCACAGCATAGTTGCTTTTTTGTTTTACTGTGAATTTTTAAAACAGCATCATCATTCCTTTGGCACCCGATGAGCTGGAGAGCCTTGTGGTTCCTCTCCTTCTAGCTCTAGTTCTTTGTTCTACAGAAATTGCTGCAAACTAGGCTTAGACAAGGTGATTTCCAAACCATGAGCTAAACTCCAGTGCAGACTAAGGGAACAGTGCCCTGAAGTGCTGGGACTCAAGATGATGGTGTGTGCTTCCGTGATTCAGGGAGTGGTGTGTGAGGGGAGAGGACTTTTGAGTTTCTTGATTATAATTTCCCATTTATTGAGCATTTATAGTGTCAGCCACTGTGCTTGTCTCATTTAATCTACAGAACAGCCTGGAGGTAGGGAATATTATTGACCCAATTATGCAGATGAAGACACAGAGGCACGGAGAAGTTAGGATATTCATCCAAAATCACATAGCCCGTAAGTCGTGGAGTCACCCTAACTACTAAGCAACACTGCCTCTCCTGTCCCTGTGCAATGGCAGGTGGCCTTGGTGGTCACTAAGGGCTCTTCCAGCACTTTCTTGTGTGGAAGCCATCCCCTCCTGGGGGACAGGCTAGAGGGTCTGGGACAGGAGGGTGGCAGTGCAGCCCTCCCCCACCTCCCCACATAGGCCTGTAGCTTGGCCACCGTGTTCTGTGCCCTGCCTGCTGCCCACTGGCTGTGCGGCCCCCAGGCATAGGCCTCTCCACTCTGCCTCTGAATTGCAACGTTGGCGGCAGAAGCGGGAAGCATATTGTGCGCAGAAACAAAACTGAGTGGTTTTCCCTTTTCCCAAAGGTGGTAATGGTGCAATTAGTGGCTAAGCCATTACCCCCCTCCTCCCTTGCTCACTTCCCCTCTTCCCCTCTGCCACCCTCCCTCTCCCACCCTCCCTCTCCTCTCCTGGGAACAGCGGCTGAATGGGTGAGCTCACCCTTTATTCTCCCCCACAGCCCACTCCCAGGAAGAAGGGCAGAATGGGAGGGTTATCCAGATGTCTCCAGGGGGCCCCTGCAAGTAGGGTAGTGAGTCAGGGACTTCATGGGGTTGGAGAATACCAACAAGCAGATAACATGTCCTGCAAGTGAGAGGACTAGCAAGGCAATGTGGAGGTTCAGAGCGGGTGGGCTAGAATCCCTGAGGGTCTGGATGCCTGGATCCTTTTATCCAACCCATGCTCGCTGGGGGCAGGTGCTGGCATGAAGCCTCTGCCCATCAAGCTGCGAAATGGGCCAAGGCACCCTTTTTCCTCAGTGGAGAGGGGAAGGGGTATGCAGGGTCTGAGATGCCAAGCCCAAGCTAGAGTGATGGGGTGGTCACGGGCCAGCTTTAAACCTTCATTTTCCTCCTCTAGAGCCTAGAAAGAGGCCTCCTATTTACATAGTTCCCAAAGGCCTTCACAGCCCTTAGCCCACTCCATCTCCACAGCCTTCCCCTGCAGGGCATCTTCATTCCCCTGTTGTGTAGAAAAGGAGCTGGAGGCTCAGAGAGGGTGAGTGACTTGCCCGTGATCACTCAGCTAATAAATGTCCAAAGGCCGGGCATGGTGCCTCACACCTGTAATCCTAGCACTTTGGGAGGCTGAGGCAGGTGGATTGCCTGAGCTCAGGAGTTTGAGACCAGCCTGGGTAACATGGTGAAACCTTGTCTGTACTAAAACACAAAAAATTAGCCAGACGTGGTGGTGTGCGCCTGTAGTCCCAGCTACTTGGGAGGCTGAGGCAGGAGAATCACTTGAACCCAGGAGACGGAGGCTTCAGTGAGCCGAGCTTGCACCACTGTACTCCAGCCTGGGTGACAGAGTAAGACTCTGTCTCCAAAATAAATAAATAAATAAATAAATAATATAAATAATAAATGTCCAGGAATCAGAGCTCAAACTCAGATCCTTAGTCTTAAACTCCAGTCCCTTTTCTTCCTAACTCCAAGACCTTGGAGTAAGATCTTGTGGCTGTAGGTATGGCTGATGCCCTGAAGAGTTGAAGTTGGCAGGGAAGGTGCCCAGAAAATTTTGGATTGAAGATTTCATGGCAAGTCTCTGGCCAGTGGCCTAGCCCGGGTAAGCCATGCTATGCTCACCTCCCCACAGCCCCCTCTCGCCTTTTTTTTTTTTTTTTTTTTTACCTTGACTGGAAGCACAAGCAGAAACTGGGACATGAGCACCAGGAGACCAGATTTCCATGGTCCCGTTGGGGGCATGGGGTTGGGGAGAGGTTGCAGAGGAGGGCTCTGGAGGGGAGCAACTGTCACAGCTGTGAGAGGTGGGGGTGAGCAGGCAGTCAGGGCTGTTCCCTCCAGAATCCTGGGGTGTCCTCTGCACTTCTGCGCCAAGCTGGAGTGCTAGTGTGATGGACAAGGTGGTAAGAGAGCTGAAAGAGCACGAGCATAACAAGAAAGACAGAGGCAGAAGCAAAAAAAAAAAAAAAAAAAAAACAGAGGGCAACAGAGAGACAGTTACAGAGACTACAGTGATCCACAGAGGGAGAGCCATCCCTGTGAATTAGCCATCATTTCCCTGTAAACCTTAGAACCCAGCTGTTGCCAGGGCAACGGGGCAATACCTGTCTCTCTAGAGATGAAGTTGCCAGGGTAACTGCATCCTGTCATTCGTTCCTGGGGACCATCCGGAATGCGGCACCCACTGGCTGTTACCATGGCAACTGCCTTTTTGCCCCACTTAATCCCATCCCGTCTGCTACAAGGGCCCCACAGTTGGAGGTGGGGGAGGTGGGAAGAGAAAAGATCACTTGTGGACAAAGTTTGCTCTATTCCACCTCCTCCAGGCCCTCCTTGGGTCCATCACCCCAGGGGTGCTGGGTCCATCCCACCCCCAGGCCCACACAGGCTTGCAGTATTGTGTGCGGTATGGTCAGGGCGTCCGAGAGCAGGTTTCGCAGTGGAAGGCAGGCAGGTGTTGGGGAGGCAGTTACCGGGGCAACGGGAACAGGGCGTTTTGGAGGTGGTTGCCATGGGGACCTGGATGCTGACGAAGGCTCGCGAGGCTGTGAGCAGCCACAGTGCCCTGCTCAGAAGCCCCGGGCTCGTCAGTCAAACCGGTTCTCTGTTTGCACTCGGCAGCACGGGCAGGCAAGTGGTCCCTAGGTTCGGGAGCAGAGCAGCAGCGCCTCAGTCCTGGTCCCCCAGTCCCAAGCCTCACCTGCCTGCCCAGCGCCAGGATGGCCACCATCACCTGCACCCGCTTCACGGAAGAGTACCAGCTCTTCGAGGAATTGGGCAAGTGAGTTGTGCCTCAGGAAGTCCTGGAAGGCATGGGGGGCGGGGAGGTCAGGGTCTCTAGTGGGGTGTGTGTGCCTGCAGTGCTTGGGGAGCATTCCTTGTACACAGATGAAGGCAGGCTGCATGGGTTTGGGGGCACCTGCCTGTGTACAGAGTGTCCAGAGTCGGGCGTGGGTATGTTTGTGGGTGCACAGATGTGCCAAGCTAGCCAGGCCAGTGTGTATGTAGGGATGAAGGGTTGACAGTGTATGCCAGTGCACACACATACACACAAAATGCACACAAGTACACACAACCTGGATACACACAGATTCTTAGAGACTTAGGGTTAAAAAGGGATTTTCCTAGTCAGCTGGGTCCAAAGCTGGAATTCCTTCTCTAGTTTTGCTTGAGGTGGCCATCCGCCCTCCACTTAGATACCTCCAGTGACAGAGAATTCACCAGCTCCCGGTAGTTCTTCCTGACTTTAGACACCCACAGTGACTGTACAGAGTGGCCAACTTCTCCCTCCCTACCTCCCCTTTCTCAGCTCCTGCCAGGAGTGAGGGCGTCAGTACAGTAGGGGTTAATATCTGAGCATGACAGGCTTCCCGGGTGTTGGGAGGTGGGGAGAGGAAATCAGGAAAGCTGTAGCGGGGAGCACCGCTGTTTCAGGGGCTAGGGTATGAAGGGTGCAGTGGCTCTGGACAAGCAAAGTTGCCCAGCCCAGAGCTCATTTTCTGCCCTGATGACTGCTGTGTAGAGAAGGATGGGAGGATGAGGAAAGAGGGGAGGCCCTTGTGGGTGGCCCAGTAGGGTGTGGAGTGTCAGGGAGGGATTCCTGGATGTCCCCAGCTGGGTTTCTGGAGGATCCTGGGATGGGTCAAGGGTTGGGTGCATTTTGGAGGCAGAGTTTGCCTTGTGGGCAAAGGAGCACCGATGCCCTGGTTGGTTTCTGCTGAGGCAGCAGGAGCACGGGGGGAGGGGCCCTGGAGGCAGGTGTGTATTGGTGTGAGTTCTGAATGTGTGTGTACTAGTGTGCATTTTGAGGAGTGATGTGTGTGGCTGTAGAAGGGCTTTTGAGGGAAATTGCTTGTGACACTGGGGTACGCTGGTGTGCCCTGCCAGGGTGTGCAAGCATTCATGCATGTGCACCAGGAAGAGGTGCTTCGTGTGTAAGGCCTGAAAATGCAAGTGTGCCTTGCAAGGGTGCATGTGTGTGAGTATTACAAGAGTGCTGTTGGCTGGGTTGAATGAGAACAAGGGTGTAAACATGACTCATTAAATGTGCACATGTATGGCAGGTTAGAGCTGTGTGCACATAGGAAGGCACATGTGTGTGAGGTCTAGGGGTGTGTGAGGATGCTCATATGAGATGCGGACACAATGGTGTTCCTGTGAGGTCTTGATATGCACATCTACGTGAAGACTGGGGTCATGCACACAGGATGATGTACGTGTGTGTGCACACGCATGTGTGTGCATGTGTGAGGCCTGGGCTCACAGGGTTATGTGGGAGTATGGGTGTTATAGGCATGTGTGAGCTCATGCTGGTGTCTGCATATGTGTGGGAGGTGGCCCTGTGACTGTATACAGGAAGGCTGCTTGCACACACACACACACACACACACACACACACACACACACAGAGGCTATCCTACAGGCATGCACCACCTCCCTTGAGCACATATACCCCCATGTGTACGTGTGTTCACTCTTATCTGCAGACTTTCAGCTTTTCTGAATGTGCTTTTTTTGCGGGTAGGGGCAGGAACAAAATGTTTGGGGCTGCTCTGGAGGACTGAGGCTGTCTACAAACTTGTGCAGGGACCCCTCTCCAGGTGTTTTCCAGTGCTCGCCTAGAACCCAAGAATTCCCTGATTAGCCATGAAGCTGCCTTTCAGGGAGTGACCAAGACTGGGTCCTGGCAGGACTGCGTCATGAGTACAGTGAGATGGAGTTGAGATGTGACTCAAGTGCTCAAAGTGAAAATAAAAGTGATGTTTTGCCCCAAGAGGAGATGGATATCATTAAGACTGGGTTTTGTGGGGGCAACTTGGTAGAGAGACCCTTCGTGAGCCTTCACAGAGAATTTCAGGGGCAAGGGAGCCCTGGTGTGGCCATGGCAGGAAAACCGAGGGTAGCAGGCATAGCTAGGCCTTGTTTAATCAATTTCAGACTTCTTCCTTCCAGAACCATCAGACTGCTCTTAACCTTTTTTAGGTCACATATTCCTTCAGGAATCTGATGAAAGTCTAAATCTACGTTCCCCAGAAAAACGCACAAACCTACGAAATGTTGCATGCAATGTCAGGAGCTTGCAGGGACATCGGGAAGACTGTGTATGAGCCTAAGTTTGCAGAAGCTTGTGTTAGAGACAAGGGGATAAAGTGGACTGATTCCGCACCCCTGATGTCTGTGTTAAAAAGTCCAGACCACATCATTGAGGAGCCTGGGGCTCCTGCTCTCCACAGCAGCTTCAGTCTGAGCATCCAGTGGTGCAGGGAGGGGCAGTGCCCTGCGTAGCCACTAGGGACACAGGCGCTGTCCCTCATCACCCATAGCTCTGTGACACCAGGCAGGCTATGCTACCTCTTTACCCCCACCTGTAGTCTGGAGATAAAAAGGGCTGTGAGCATTCAATGAGATGGTGCATGTAGAGATGCAGCCTCGAGCCTGGCACATGACAGGCCCCCAGGGCCGATTGCTACTGGGGTGACTGTTGTTGTTCTCAAAGGCTGGGCAAGGCTGAAAGTGAGGAATGGGATCTGCTTGTACCTTTTGTCTGGAGTTGGCCCATCCGGGGCTGGGAGGAGGTTGACCAAACCGTGCTTCCCCCCTGGCTGGCCTCTTCTGTGGGAGGAAGCTATGAGGGTACCTGCAGGGCCCATCCTTCAATTGATGATCCACCGTCCCTGCCAGCTGGGACACTGCAGTCACCACCCAAAAGCTAAGCCCCCGTTCCAGAACCCACTTCAGATCACTAGCAGGGTGACTGGAAAAGGCAGCCAGGTTGGCCCTAAAAGGGCACATGGGAGCCTTTGGGTCTCCTTCAAGGCGTTGGGCTGCCCAGCAGGAGAGGAGGGCAAATCCCTCTGGAGGGCTTCTGGCATCCTGCCCAGTGAGGTCTGGCTCAGGACTGCAGGCCTTTGAGGAGCCCCGGATAGGGCTGGCTATGGATGTGAGAGTAGCTGCTCTTCTCCAGCCCTGGTGGGCAGCCCTCTGGGAACCTGTGACTGGGGCCAGGGCCCCAGGCAGGGCTACTGGAGCCTCTTGATGCTACTCGACTGCAGGTTCCATTGAAGCATATGAATTCAGATGAGTCAAGAACTTGATTCCGGTCTCCTAGAAGGTTGGGGTGGGGCTGTCTCTTGGGATCCAGAGATGAGCTCATCCCTCTTCGTTTGACCCAATCCTCTTCTCTCCTGAGGATGAGAGAAATAAAAGCCCAGATCCTAGCGGCACCGAAGCTTGCAGGAGGCGTGCTGCACCAGCTCCAGGGTTCAGTGTGGACTGAAGTGGTCAGGCCAGAGCTCCCAGCATACCCAGCCTTCTCCAAAGACCTCTCTGAGAAAGGGAAGAATGCTGGTTATTGGGCAAAGGGGTTGCCACGGATGCAGCAGATGGCCCAGGGAAGGGGTCACGTTCAAGGAAGTGGAAAACGAGCCTTTTCCAGCCATTGGCATTCTCCGGGCTTCTGATCCTACCCCCAGGAGAGGTTAGAAAGGTAGAAAGTTGCCCTGCAGCCTGTGTCATCACTGGGCTGTATAGGAAGAGTCTCTGAAGGAGATTTTACTTGAGAGAGGGAGAGAGAGGGAGGAAGAGAGACTAGAGAGAGAGCTCAGCCCACTCTTTTCTCTCTAGAAACAGAGATCTGAAATTGACTCAAGGCAGAGCTGGGGTTGGAGAAGGGGTTGCCAAGGCTGCAGTTGGCCAGCATGGTTGACAGGGAGGAGAGGGCAGCTTCCTCGACCTAAGCTCCTTCTCACCTGGGTTGATCCACAGGTGGCAGTGTGGCCCAGAGGCAACTCCCTGTACTGAGGTCCTGGGGCCTGGGTGCTCAAGTCCTCTCATGGGACCCAAACTCTAACATCTGTAGAATGTGCTTAGCAATCCTGCCTTTCCCAGGCAGAGCTGTTGGGTGGACAATGTCACGTTGGAGAGAGGACACTGGGCATCCATGTACCCAAAGACTGGGGGCCGTGCTTTTCTTCCACCTCTTATACCCTCTCCTATCCACAGCACTTTGGGGCCGGCAAGGCTTTTCATCCATGAGCTCATCTCTGAAGGAGCTGGGCAGGGCTTACTCATCCATCTTACAGATGAGGAGACCGCAGCTTGAGGAGGTGGAGAGACTGGCTCAGGGGATTATGTCCAGGTCTCCAGCACCCAGCATATCGGGGGAAGACTGCTGAGAGGGATCGTGACTGGTGCCGTATCTGGGGAACATCCTCCCTCTTACCCACTAACAGGGGAAGAGGAGCAGTGGCCATGTGGGCAGGGAAACTCTGATGTTGCTGATTTTCCAATCATGATTCTGCCTCTAATTTACTGGGCCATCCTGGGTGAATCACTTGCTGTTTGTGTGCCTCGGCTTTACCATCTGTAAAATGGGGATCATAATACCTCTGGAGATGCCTGCAATGCCCCATTAGAGATGCCACGCTCTGTAGCCTCCCTCTGTGGAGGGCACATATGGGAAATTGCAGACCTCCGGAACATCAGAATTGTAAGGACCATGGAGATGCTCTGCTCATTGCATAGATGGTCCTTGCCTTGGTCTCTGGGAGCCAACACTCAGAGAGAAGTGGTTTGTCCAAGGCCACAGGAGAGAGAGGGCCCAGGCTAGGGGACTAGATGACGTGCAGGGACCAGAGGCCAAAGGATGGGAAATTGAGGGGCAGGACCTCAAGGAAAGGGTGGCAGGAACAGGGAAGGGACGAGCTTTCCTCCCTCTCCTCCAAGCCATCAGAGCGGCAGGCACGCACATGTTCTGGTGCACGCTGCAGCCCTCCGCCCCCGCGCAGCCGCCCCCACACAGGCTGAGACACACTGACACTCTGCTGAGCCTCCCTCCCTCCCTCCCTTCCTCCCCACCTCCCTCCACAAGCACACAGTGACACTGCTGCCAGCATGCCCTGCAGTCTGGGCCATGGCCCTCTCTGTGGGGTGAGGGCAGAGCCTCGGAGTGCAACACTCGCATCCTGTTGCTGATGCATGCGTGCTCACACACACACATGCGTCTTCACACAGCTCACGGGAGCACACACATGCACATGGACACACACACACACACTGGCTGTGACAGGGCATAGAGCACGAGTCCATCTCCCAGTGCAGGGATAGCAAGATGGTGCTAGCAGGGCTTGTCTTTCTCTGTGTTCTTCTCTCCATCTCTCTGGTCTCACTCTGTCTCTGTCTCTCTGGTCTCACTCTGCCTCTGTCTCTGTCCCTCTTTGCTGCAGTCCCCTTCTGCATGTGAACCACCTGTGGCATTCTCTTGGAGCTTCTCTGTGGCACTGTAGGAAGCCTCCTACCCCAGGCAACCTGCTGAGTGCAGGTGCAGCCCAACCTCCTGAGACCCAGCCCAGGTCCTCTAGGTCCTCGTGTGGCATGGCTGTCTACCACGGTGTCAGGTGGGACTCTAAGGCCAGTGAGACTTTCTGTGCTGGAGAAGGTTGAGGGCCTTGGTGTCTTAGGGTCATATAAGAAGAGGAACACATCTGGAATCCTTGCATCCTTTCAACAGGTATTTCCTGGGCGGGGTACTCTGTTCCCAGGCCTAGGTTGAGCCCAGCATGCACCACATGCAAGACTTAAGTAGTCTCTGCCTCACGGGGCTCACAATCCAGTGCAAAGCCAACATTAATTAAATCACTTCAGAAATCATTATTTACATGCAACTGGATAAGGGCTTTGGCCACACACATGGAATTGTGAGCTGCAAAGAGACCTCGATTAGTTGGGGTGAGGAAGGTATCAGGGAAAGTTCCCTGAGGCGGTGACATTAGGGAGCTGGAGGCTGAATAAGAGTTACCCAGAGGTTAGCTGGGCACAGTGGTGCACGCCTGTAGTTCCAGCTACTCGGGAGGCTGAGGTGGGAGGATTGCTTGAGCCCCGGAGTCTGAGGATGCAATGAGCTATGATCATGCCACTGCACTCCAGCCTGGGTGACAGAGCAAGACCTTGTCTCTATCTTAAAAAAAGAGAGAAAGTAAGAGAGAGGAGGAAGAGTTAACCAGAGGGAAGAGGGTGGAAGAGTGTTCCTGAGAGTGGGAACAACCCAGACAAAAGCTCTGAGGTATGTATTTCAGTGGAGCATGTCAGCCCTGGGGGATCTGGGGTCCCACTCTTCTCTGGCCTGTTCAGCCTGACCCCAATTTCCAGATGCTGGGTCCTAGCAGGACTATTAAAAACCTGTAGATTGTCTGGAAGAGGGGGCCAGGCAGGGTGGTGAAGGTCTGGAAGCTGAATCAAGTGAGAGAACACCAAGGAATTGGGGGGCTTTAGCAGACAGAAGAGATCCCTTGGGGACTATGTCTCCCCCTTCCCCAACATCTTATGTCTGCAGAGATGTCCTGGGGCCTGAGGGGCCCTAGAGGCAGAGCTGCCGACTCTGTAGAGTAAGGGAGGTAGCTTTCAGCTCCACAGAAGGAAGACATTCCAATGGTCAGAACTGCTCCTGCATCCCACAGCTGGCTGTGGCCTCAGGAGCTAGTGCTCTGGCAGCAGAGATGTGCAAATTCCCACTCTCATCCATGGCCTTACCTTCCTTGCAGGCCTCCTGCCCTAGGTCCCTACCCTCATCTGGGGAGATGTTTTTCTGAAAGAATGATATGGGAGATGGTTTAGAGCCATGGTACCCTCAGTTCGATTCAGTATATTGGAGGGAAGAGGGCTCCATTGTCTTACAGATGGTGAGCTAAGGCCCAGAGAGGGTGAGGGCGTTGCCCATGGTCACACAAGCCAGTGACACATGAGAACTGGACACTCCAGTGTCTGTCCACTCCAGTGCTTGGCTGTCCTACCCCTGGAGGCCTCTCTCTCTTTGACGCTTGGACCTCTGAAAGCCTTTGTGGTGTATACTCTGGACAGGGACAGGCCATCAAAGACCGAGGAGTAAGTCACCCCTTGGCATGTCCCTTGCCTTGCTGGGCTCTGGCCCTTCCTTTAAGCACTGTAAAGAGAAAATAGAATATTTTTCTGTTTTTCTTTTTGTGACCCATACAAAAAAACCCTTGCACAGCCAAAACAAGGAATATGTTGGAACTTCTGTTGGTTCAATGTTCCCTGCAGCAAACAGATTCTTCCGGTTCCTAGCCCTTCTGTGTCCCCCACGAGACTTCTGCTGGATTGGTGTTTGGGGGCGGGGGGCAGTGTGGGACAGCTCGAGCACACTGCGTCCCTGCAGCATCTTTTAGAGTCTGGGAGTGGGTGGCTGCAGCCTCAGGCGGTCGAGAGGACGGGAGAGGTGTGGTTTCAGTAACAGGTCCTAGGATTTTCTAGCTGTATAATGCTTTGTTCTGTGGAGTTCTGCTTACAGAGCTGGGAAGAAGTGGGGAGAGTCAAGCAAAGGGGATAGTGAGCATCCAGCCCCATCTCCTCTGATCTATTTGCCATTTGAGAAGCTGCATAGCTGTGTTTTGTTTGTTTATTATTAACAAAAGGTACTAATGCCTAAATGGGAAAGAAAGAAAGAGAAGGCTTAAAAATTACTTATCAACAGTTGATTTCACAGATGGGTAAGCTGAGGCCTAAAAGCTTCTCATTGTTTCTGAATGAAACTGACCCCAGCTTTTTAACTGTTTTGGGAATTAGGAGCCCTCAGAGAATCTCAAGTAAGCTGTGGGTACTCTCCCCCTTCCAAAATGCACACTCACTGCAACACGCAGAATGCTGCTATTTTCCACAGGTCCTCCTACTCCAAGCCCAACTATGGACCTCAAGGTCGGACCCCCTCTAACCTGAGAGTACTGGGTATTGGAAAAAGCAATGACTATGAATCAGCAGTCCTGGGTTCAAAGTCTTGGCCCCAGTTTCTTCAGCTTTGGAATAGGAGGGGGTGGACTTCAAAAGTAAGACATTATGGGCTATACAAGGTTCTGATGCAGCCACATGTGGCCCAAACTCTAGCCCAGTGCGTGGTGCTGCCTCTGTGGCCAACCCCAGCTCTTTCTCTTCCCCCAGGCATTCTAACCTCTCTATTCTGGGTTCCACGTCCTGGGTGATCAAATCAGCCAGCTTGGGCTATGTGTTACTGACCACCAAGGGGTTTTGGATGCAGATTCTCTTACAGGTAACAGATCTATCTGCATTTGACCAGGAACTTTCTGAAATACCCCCAGCTCATCTCAGAGAAGTGAAATGCTTAAGTATCTTAACCAAGAGTGGGGAAATTTTGGGGAAGAGACTGGGCTTTGATTATGAGGTAACTGCCATGTAGCATCTAGGCAAGATAATGAGTAGCTAAAAATACGGGGCTAGAGTTCCTAAGACAGGAGGGGGCTCTGGATGTGGATTTCAGTTTTGGGTGATGGTCAATGGCTTTAACTATTTGCAGAGTCATGGACTGCTTTGCAGAGCTGATGACTACGCATCCTTTGCCCAGAACAATGCACAGACACAGAATCATTTTAATACAGTTTTAAGTGGGTTCACAAATGCCCAGAGCCTCCCCAGAGATCACAGCTAATGGCCCCTGGTAGAGGGGATGGGCAGGAGTGGTAAGAGGGTGGGTAGAAAGAGGCCGGGAGCAGCAATACTGAGGGAAGGTGGGGCAGCAAAGGCACTGTCAGTGATGGAGAAGGCTGGGAGAGCACGGCGACCCAGAAACAAAAGGAAGGGCGAGCTCAAAGCTGTGTTCAGTGGGGCCAAATGCTACCTGGGGTGGGGCAGGCAAGGTGCATTAGGCTCCAGCGGGGACTGCAAGGGGTAGTGGTGAGGGTGGGAGGAGGCATGGGTGGGCGAACCTGGCGCAGGCATTTCTTCCATGGAGCCCTGGGGGCGGCAGCCAGATTGTGGTGGGTTCATGGAGTGTGGGAGGTGGGAAGAGGAGGCGGCGGATGTCGGACATTTGTTCTGGAAGTTTGGCAGCAAAGAAGAAGGGAGGAAGGAAACAGCCCAGGCTGCTGGGTCGAGAGAAAGGTTCTCGGTTGTTTTGTTTTATTTGAGGAGAGAGTTTTATTTTTCTGGAAGGAAGGAGACCTGAGCGTGTTTGAGGAAACAGTCAATGAAGAGCAGACACTAAAGACTACCGTAAGGGGCCCAGACAATCAGACCCCCACGGAGAACAGAGTGGAGGGAAGTGTTGGGTGATTGCTGTCCCCAGAAGGCCACGATAGATAAAAAGTGTTCCTGTTTGCTGAGACTCACAGATGTAACGTGGCTCTGAGTGGCTTGGGGTGAAGGTGAAGAGGCTTCCTTTAGAGAAAGTGGCAGCAACCAGTCTTGAGTAGCAGAGACCCCTCACAAATAGCCCCAGAAGGGAGCAGGGCTGGTCGCATCTTTCAAATGAGGAAACTGAGGCCCAGAAGAGTAAGCAAGCTGGTAGCCAAGCTGAGTGAGGGCTCAGGACTTCTGACTCCCCATCTAGTGCTGCTGGAGCTGCACTTGGCTGCCATGTCAACTCTTCCTGCTGTTTCAGGCCAGAGAGGGCAGTGGGCCCCTTTGGGCTGGCAGCCAGCTACACCCAGGCCACCTTGTCTGCCAGGCAGCTAGAAAGCAATTTCCCAGCGTGAATCTTGCTTTTCACAGCCCATTAGCACGTTCCCACATTCTCAGCCATGCGCCGGACCCACTGTCACTGTGCCCTCTCCGTCTGTCTGCCGAAGTGCCGGAGGGGGGCCTCCCTGCCTGCCCACACTCCTGCTCGTCCACCCTCAGGGGCAGGCTACTCAACCCTGGTGAGCAGCCCCTTCTTTACCTCGCTGTGGCTCCCACACACGTCCACCTTGGCTTGCTTCTTCCCCGAGCTTGGCAAACAATGTCCATTTTGTTTCTGATGATGCCAGCTGTCCTCCTCTCTTCATGGATAATGATGCCTACACAAGGCATTGTTCCTTGAGCATTTACTATACCCCAGGGACTCTGCCAAACTCATTGCCTACCTTATTATCTCATTGAATCCTTGAAACAACTGCATAGGGTTGGTACTATTATTATCCGTATTTTGCAGTGGGGAGGAAACAGGCTTACTGAGGTGAAGTAGCTTGCTAGGAAGAAGTAGCTGACCCACAATGTGAACTCTGCTCGGTCTGATTCAGGAGTGCCTGCTCTTCTCTATGTTGAACCGCGCTCTCCAATGTGGCAGTCATTAGCCACATATAGTTATTTAGATTAAATAAAATAAGAAATTTGGTGCTCAGTTCCACTGGTCCCATTTCAAGTGCTCTGTAGCATCTGTGGCTAGTGGCTGCCGCAGTGGACAGCTCAGGGTGTGTGCATCATCACAGGAAGTTCTGTTGAATGGCACTGGTATGAAACACGAGAGCTGAAAAGCCACTGCATTCCTGAGCCTCATCCTTACCCCAGCCTCCACATTGTAGATGAAGAGACTGCGGCCCTCACTGGGGCTGGTTCTTGCCCAAGTCCTCCCAGCAGGGCTGAGGGCTGAGACTTGGTTCCTCCGGTGTCTGCCTGTCTGTCTCTCCCCCCACACACCCCTCCCTGCCTACATTCTGTGACCCTCTGGCTCACGTGGATGCACGCCTCATACCTAGGGTGATATACGTGTGCTTTGTCACACCTACAGCCTCACAGCATCACACTCTTAGGGGCTAGACCAGGTTGCCAATACACGCCTATGGCCAGACACCCGCCCCTTGCACCCAGGAACACTTCCCCCACCCCTCCTCCTTTGCACCCAGGGGCATTCCCCTACACCCCTCGAGGAATTCAGAAACACTTTCACAGGCACTTCCAGGACTGCCCATGGCCATCCGCCACAGCTCTCACACCCAGGCCTCATCCCTTCCTCTTGGGACTCTTGGCCATCGCTTCCCACCCTTGCCCTCCCCAACTTGGCCTCGTTGCCTCTCCTGCCCTGTCCTGTTCCCAAGCTCTGGCCCACCCACCCATCTGCTGGCTGCCTGCTCAGCTCAGGGCCACAAGAGGAGTGGGCTGGCTCTTCTGTTTGCCAAGGTTTCTGGGCTATTGCCACTTGTTCATGCAGGACAAGAATACAGAAACATGCTTTTTTTTTTTTTTTTAAACAGAAGATAAAAAAGGGAGGAAGTTAGGGCTGCCGACTCACTGCCTTCACTCTCATTTTGGCTATGACTTTCCTCTGATCCCCACTGCCATGGCAGGCAGGGATGGAGCCTGGGGCTGCCTAGGTAGCAGCCCAGCCCCTTTCCTTGCCTCATTCAGACCCCCTTCTTTCCCAACTATGTCTCATGTGCTTGGTACTGTGCCAAGTGTTTTGCACTAGTTACCTCACTTAATCTCCCCAACAAACCCAGGAGGTAGAGGCTATTATTGCCCTCTAACAGGAAGACGCAGAAAGGTGATGTGTCAAGTTCAGCGTCACACAGTTGGGGGTGAGCTAGGATTGGACTACAGGTCTTTGTGACCCCAGAGCCTCTGCTTTTGAGGACCACATTCTTCTGTTGTTGGTTGAGTCAGAAGAAAAAGTGCAAGTGACCTGGATTCTCTTCATAGCCTCAATTAAGAATATGCCTGCTCACTTGAGGCCTCAGTTTCCTGATCTATTAAATGGGAGATCAGAATTCCAACTTCACAGGATTGCTGTGAGGATCAAAAGGGTGCTTAGTGGTGAATGTATATTTGAAGGGAAGAAGACTTCTGCGCTTGTGAGGGGCTGGTACCCTCTGGATCAGCAGCTCTAAACTTGTTTTGAGAAACTCCTCTCTCTGAGCATCTGATAAAAGCCATGCACCCTTACCTGCCTCCAAAAAATGCACTTGCTTACATTGGGATGTACAGGGTATCCTTCAAGGGGTTCAGGGTCCCCACACTACCCCATCTACGGCATGGACCTTCAGTGAGGAGCCTCTAATTTACACAAAAGCTTGGTGCTGTTCTGAAGAGGAACTTCAGCACGTATGGCTTCTCTTGTTTTATAGACGTAGCTCTTACGGCCTTGGCTCACTGAGCCAGAGCCCAGGCTCATGGGGCCTGTCAGGCCTCCCTGTGCAGAGCCCCCCTCGCTGGCCCCCATCAGTGCTGATTTCCAAGGGAGACAGGATACACAGCAGGACTTCCCCGGAAGGCGTTGGGCAGTGCTGGGCTGCCTGGGAAAGAATCACCCACAGACAGAGTTAAAATGAAATTACAAATTCCCTGGGCCTACACCCAGAGGTGCTGATTTAGGAGGTGTGGGTGGGACCTTGGAATCTGCTTATTTTTTCTTTTGAGACAGAGTCTTGCTCTGTCACCCAGGCTGGAGTGCAGTGATGCTATCTCAGCTCACTGCAACCTCCCACTCTGGCACTTAAGTGATCCTCATACATTAGCCTTCTGAGTAGCTGGGACCACAGATGTGTACCACCATGCTCAGCAGTAGAGATGGGGTTTCGCCATGTTGCCCAGGCTGGTCTCAAACTCCTGGGCTCAAGAGATTCTCCCACCTTGGCCTCCCAAAGTGCTGGGATTGCGGGCGTGAGCCATCACGCCCGGCCAGAATCTTTTTTTTTAAAGATCCTCCAGGGGATTCTGAGGCAGCCAATTTGATAATCACTGATCTAAGGTCTTTACCTAGAATGGAGTTTTGCCTCTCTAATGGAGAAATTATACTCATCCCTCCCTCCCCCGTCCAACCATCCCTTCCTCTATCCCTCCATCCACCCACATATATTAATTGAGCTGTAGCTCTGGACCAAGCTTTGTCAGGTGCTGGTGAGCAGGACGAGACCCAGCTCCTGCACCCTGGAGCTCACAACCTTCCCTGCTTCCTGCCCTTCTCTTCCTGGAGTTCTCAGAACCTTGCCCAGATGTGGCCACTTTAAGCTTCTTTCTCATAGGGCTTTTGAGAATCATGGCCCCCAGCTAGAGGGGGACCTAAAGGTCTTTGGGGTCCATCCCCATGCCTGGGTAGGGTGGGCACCTTTGAGAGACTAGTTGTCCCCCACCTTCCTTAGATGACTGTTCCTATTCCTAACACCCCATCTGAAAATCTCTTCTCCTGTCTCACTTCAGTTTCTCTCACTCTTGCTGAAATCCACCTCCTTCTCCTGCAAGTAACACTCATGGAGGCTCTATTGGCACTAGACGCTGGGTATTCAAGCACTGGGGGCAGAGAGAAGAAAGTGAAAGTCCTGGCCCTCAGGAACTCACTGTCAGGGTGGGAGAAATAAGCAGGTGGAGGAGCCGCCACCAATCTAAGTTAGATGGGGATGTAGGGTTGTGGAAATCTAGAAATAAATAGTTGGTCATTGTCCCTGGTTCTTGGCACAGAGCTCCCCAAACCCTTGTAATTTTCTAAGTGATGGGGGTACTAACAGCATCTTTTGTTCTAATATTTGGTCTTAGAACCCAGTTCCTGACTGAAAGCTCCCAACTGCCTTGGAATTTCCTGGGTGATGAGAACATCTTTTGTTCTAATGAGGCAGCTTTGGGTGGGTGCCTGTATGGGAGCTGGTCACAGAAAGACCAAACCGTGGCCAGAAGCTTGGAACTTTCAGCCCCTCTCCCCATTCTCAGGGAGGGGAGGGGGGCTGGGGATTGAGTTAATAATCAATCATGCCTAGTGATGAGGCCTCCATAAAGGTCTCTTAAGTACGGAGCTGGGAGACCTTCTGGTTTGGTGAAAACATCCACATACCCCGAAGGTGACACACCCCAACTACATGGGGACTAAAGTTCCTGTGTTCAAGATCCTTCCAGACCTTGCTCTGTGCCCCTCCTCATCTAGCTGTTCATCTGTACCCTTTATCATAACCTTTAATGTAAACACACACACATGCACAACTGGTAAATGTAAGTAAGCGTTTTCCTAGTTTTGTGAGCCATCATAGAAAATGATAAAAGGAGGGGGTTGTGGGATCCCCCAGTCACTAGCTGGGTGGACAGAATTGTGGGTAACCTGAGGACCCACTATTTGTGATTGGTATCTGAAGCAAGGGGAAAGTCTTGTAGGACTTAGCCCTTAACCTGTGGGGTCTGCACTAACTCTAGGTAGTTAGTTTCATAACTGAATTATAGGATACCCAACTGGTGTCCAAAGCATCAGTTGGTGTGAAAAAAAACCCCTTCATAGCTGGTGGCCAGAAGCATGGGAATGATGGAAGAAAAGTGAATTTTTTCTAAGCAGGGGTGCTCTGGAAGCACGGAAGAGGGGCTGCATAGCAGGGGAGAGTCTCAGGGAGGGGACTGGGGTCTTGCTGCTTTCTTCCTGGTAGCATATGGACAGGCTGCACGCCCCAAGGAGGAGCCACAGCTGTGTGAGGCCCTCTGTGTGCCCATGAATTCTGGCCCTCTCTAGCTTTCCTACAAGGTTATATTTCTTGGTCTCTAGTCCGTATCCTGGCTCCTTCCTCCTCATCCTTCTGCACAGTTTCCCAGCCGCTCATTTCCTGCTGCCCAGACATGAAGCCAGTGATACCATGTTCAGGGCTGTGTGCAGAGCAGGCATCTGTGCTAGCCTGCAGGCTTCTTCGGTGCCTGCCAGCATCCTCCTCTGCCTTGTCAGCCTCATCTTTTTGTGGGCTCGGAGCTGCCCATAAGCTTGGGATGGGGCATCCAAGTTTGAAGGATGTGATGGGTGCAGCCATGTCAAAAACCTGGGCATGGCCCAGCATGCCAGGAAGTGGAAGACTTACTTGGTGTGGAAGTCACATACCCAAGAATGCTAACATCTGAGTTCTAGACACAGCTCTGCCTGTTATGAACCATGTGACCTTGGGCAATCTACACTGAACTATACTGGAGCTCAAAGTCTTGAGGAATCATAACCTGCATTTTAACAAGGTGCCTGGGTGATTTCCATGGACATTTAGATTTGGGAAGCCTGCCCAGGAGACTCTCTTCTTGCCATTAGCATGGGGTTAGGGTGCCATAGTGGTGACTACGGTCAGTATCGGGCCCTTTAGGAGTCTCCTCTGTAGATGAAGGGGTTGGAGCACATGGCCTTTTTGGCAAAGAGTGCAAAATGGCATCTAGACTCCAGATCTAGCCCTTAGACAACTTTTGTTTGGCCTAATACCATCCTCAAGTTCTTTTGGAATAGGTGCCAATATTTAAAAATTGGGAAACTTCTCATCAATATCCAGACTTGTAGCTTTTCCTGAAAAATCAAATGAGGTAGGAAATGGGCCACATTCTACATGGTGACAATGTTTTTCCCCTGTGAGCTGGAAAGCTCACAGACCTTGCCCCAAGTTCTCTTATAATTACTAATAGTTTGAGGATAAAATCCCAAGAGCCTCTTAACACATGAAAAGATGCTCAGCTTCACTCTTAATGTGACAATTACAAATTAAATTACAGCAAATTGCCATTTTCCACCTGTCTCTTTAGCAGATATAAAAAAGTTTGATAATACACTGTGTTGACAAGGGCAAAGGAAACAGGCACTCTTGCATTCTAGTGGGAAAGTGAGTTGGTACAATCTTTAATATGGACAATCTCTCATTATCCATTGAAATCAGCAAACAACACCTACCCCTTGACCAGATAACATAAGTTCTGGAAATGTATCCCACACAGACACATGCATACATAGGAGATATAATTCTAATGCACACATACACGGCTAGTCATTGTAGCATTGTTTGTAATGGCTATAGATTGAAACTAATCTGAGTGCCCATCAGTAGGGGACTGGCTGAATAAAGGATCGGACAGCCATACAATTACATACTAAGTAACAAGGAACTCTTATGTTATGATATGGAAGGATGATCTCTAAAAATATATTATTCACTGAAAAAAGGAAGGTGGAGAACTCTATACAAAGTCCAGTCCATTCGTGTGTGGGACACCATCTGTGGAAAGAGACTCAAGGACATGGTAACAGTGGTAATCTCTGGGAAGGGGACCTCAGGGGCTGCAGTACAGGGGCGGGAGGGGGTCATTTTACTACCTATACCCTTATATCTTTTGAACTTTGAACCATATCCACGTTTACCTACTCAAAGAATAAAATCTAAAAATGTTCAGAGACCTGGATTCCACGGTTCTAACACTACGTGATTCTAATGTTTTACAGCATGATGAGCCCGACTTTGATGACGTTGGCAGGCTCCTCTCACTTGAGGCCAAGCTTCTAATCTTCTGCTTCTGGATCCATCTTCTGGGTCTCTCTGGCCTCGCTGTGTCCCTGAGTTGGGTCACAGAAGCCCCTGTGAGCTTGAGCAGCTCTGATGAAGGGCTTCTGTCTAGCGTGGGGCAGTGATGTGAACTCCAACATCTCCTAGGGACACAGCCCTCAGGCATTCCCTCACCCTCTCCACCTTCTCTGTCCTCCTAGGGGAGCCTTCTCGGTGGTGCGAAGGTGTGTGAAGGTGCTGGCTGGCCAGGAGTATGCTGCCAAGATCATCAACACAAAGAAGCTGTCAGCCAGAGGTAGGTGCCTGATTTCTACCCTGCCCACCCTCCAGGGCTCTCCTCTCTCCCCTTACCTGTACTGCTTGGTTTAGACCAGGATCCAGGGCTGAGCCCCTGGGTGATACTTATGGCAGGGGTGGGGGCTGCTCTTCCCGGGGTGTCATGAGAATAGACCTTCCCTTTTTCCTTCTTTTCCTTTTTTTCAAGGCTGGAGAGCACAGACTCGCCCAGACAGGCCAAGCTCTGTGCCTCACGGGTGAGGGCTGAGACACCAGATGGGCCCTCCTTTCCCTACTCTCTTGCCACTTGCCATCACTTCTCCCCTCCAGACCTCTACCCTTGCCATTCCCTCTGCCTGAACGCCATCTCCTGGCTCCTTTCATGAATGGCTGTTTCTCAGCCTTCAGGTCTCAGCTGAAGGTCACATCCTTTGAGAGGTTTTCCTGACCCCTCAATCTGATGAGGCCTCCTCCATTTTCTGTCTCTCTCTCTCTCTTTTTTTTTTTTTTTGAGATGGAGTTTCACTCTTGTCGCCCAGGCTGGAGTGCAATGGTGCGATCTTGGCTCACTGCAACCTCTGCCTCCCGGGTTCAAGCGATTCTCCTGCCTCAGCCTCCTGAGTAGCTGGGATTACAAGCGTCCACCGCCATGCCCGGCTAATTTTTTCTCTTTGTATTTTTAGTAGCGATGGGGTTTCACCATGTTGGCCAGGCTGGTCTCGAACTCTTGACCTCAGATGATCTGTCTGCCTCGGCCTCCCAAAGTGCTGGGATTACACGTGTGAGCCATCACGCCCAACCTATTTTCTCTCTCTTATTACTATTCATTTCCTTTATGGCTTTCCCTGACCTAGACTCATCCTGTTTACTGATTAGGCCCCTTGTTTAATACCCACCTCCCTTTCTGGGCTGTAAACTTCAAGAGTATGGGCTACTCTGCACCCAGCACCTAGGACAGCACCTGGCACTCAGAGAGGGGCCAGTGAACTCCAAGTGTGCTTGGCTTCAGCCACGCCACTCTCGGGTCCTCCAGAGAGTTGGTCTGGGGTGTGATCTGGGTTTTGGAAAAGATGCCCAGATAACTCTAATTTGCAGATGAGTTTGAGAACCACTGCCTTAAGACCTTAGAAGTGGTCCTGGGCCAGCGACATCAGCATCCCTAGCAGCTTGTTAGGAAGGCAAAGCCTAGAGCCCCACTCCAGACTTGAAGAATCTGAATCTGCATTTTAACAAGACACCGGGGTGATTGTGGACGTTAAAATTTGGAAAGCCTGCCCAGGAGATGCGCTTCTTGCCATTACTCTGTGTTTGAGACAGTGATGGTGGTAACCATGGTCAGTGTGTTGGAAAGGGTTATCTTCAGAGAGGCCAGTCCCCACCCTGAATGAAATGGTGTATAAGCTTTCCTTGGGACCGCCTGGTGGTGGAGGGAATTCTGTTGGGTGAGGTGGGTGCAGGTATGGGCTGTACAATCCATGGTTTGTGCAGTGCGGGAGATGTTGTGTGAGGGGCTGGCAGAGTGTCCAGGTGTTTGATAGGCGCAGCTGTGTGGGGCCAGGGCCCAGCAGGTGCAGGTTCGTGGCAGTCCTCACAGTGGCTGGTACAGGAGGCTCATGCTGCTCCCCGCAGGCCTCCCGGCAGGCCTCATGTTGGACTGTGTGTTGCTGCCTTTCTTCTCTGGCTCAGTGTTGCTGGGAGCTCAGCACTTTCTTCCAGTTACCGACCTCCCGCCAGTGTCTTGCAGGTCAAAGAGGATCAGCAGAGGGGGTGGCTGGGGTTAGGGTGAGGGTCTCTGAAGGACCAGGAGCCCCACGTGCTATACAGTCAGTATGAAAAGTCCAAGCTTGTGGAAGGCTGGGAACTAGAGACAGGGTGGGCAGGAATGCCAGCAGAGGTGTTGCCTCATGGCCAGATGCCTGGATTGGCCTTGCCATTGCTGTGTGACTAGCAGCAGTCTGGTGCCCTCTCTGTGCATTGGGTGTTGAGTAACCAAGGGAGATGTCCCAATCCCTGAGATACAACAGGGACAGGGGGTGACGGGTTAAGATTGCCCCAGTGGGAGAGAGGGTCAGGCACCAAGGTGGTCCCTGGATGCTGGGGATCTCGGGTTAGTTCACCACACTCTCGAGGCACATTCACACACACACTTGCACGTTGACCAAAAGAGACAGATGTGTATGGGAGGGTGGAAGGGCCATGGCTCCTGTTTTGGAAGGTGACTAAGCACTCCTGGGACAGTGCAGACCCTGGGCTATGCCAGACAGTCACTGTCCAAACCGCCTCTCTTTGGCAACTTGTTGAGTCCTTGACCTCTTGGAAGGAAGGTGGCCCGGCCTAGGTGAGTGTTGAGGGGGTGGGGAGGTTATCAGGGAACCTTCTGGAAAAGTCTGCCAACTGCCAGCCGCTTTTCTTCCCAGCGGGAGAGGAGGAGCAAAAGCTTCTTTTAGCAGGATTCTTTGTTTGCCGCTCATGGTGCCTCGGGGGCGGGGAGGGGGGGTTAATGCTGAATATTTGGCAACACACTCTAAGCATCTCCTGCTGGTGCTCCTGGGTGACTTCTGGCAGCACCCAGCAGGGGCTGTGCCCACCCTCCCGGGAGCTGTGGCTTTCTTTTGCCCACCCTGCCCAGCCTCTTCTAGCAAGCGGTTCCCAAACCCACGATATATTTGTGTATGTATTTTTAATCTAGTCTTTTAAAAAATGTTCGTAGTATAAACAATTCAAAGAAACCATGAAGAAATGAAGTGAAAAGTGAAAATTTTGCCTGTTCTAATCCCTGCCGAATACCTTTGGGAGCTTTTTAAAAAAGGCAGCTGCCTGAGTTCCACCCATGAAGTTGGATTCAGTAGGTGGGGCCCAAGCCCCTGCATTAAAAAAATCCTATCATCAGTAACAGTAGCTATTAACACCAACCTAATACAATAATACAGGCTCAGTGTTAACCCCCATCAGGTGCTGTATAGCCTCCTAGCTCGTCCTCCCCACTGCACACACAGAGGTAGAATTCTAAGGGCGCATTGGGCACATGCATGAGGCTGGTGCAGCTAGAGGTGACTGGCCTGGGCACTGTGACCTCCACAGGCCCCACTCTCCAGCTCGAGCATGAGGGGGTCACTTCCTCGGCTCCCCAGTGACAAGTCTCGGGGCACCAGGTGGGGAGCATGACAAGCTCATCCAGCCTGCACTAGAGTGTCATTCAGTTCCCTGCAAGGAAGCCTCTGAGGGGACGGCAAGACATGTGCTTCCCATCTCTCCTGTTCTCCTCCCTACCCCTTGCCTGGCACTCTTGCTCCCAGGATCAGGCTGTCCTATGCAGGGAGCAGGTACTTCCTGTTCCCAGACTTCAGGTCTCTTTTCTCTCCTGGCTTGTGTGTCTCCTGCTGGAATTTCGGGCCGCCTGCCTGCTGGAGTCCACTAATTATTAGAATGGGGCTGGGTTTGGTGGCTCACGTCTTTAATCCCAGCACTTTGGGAGGCCAAGTTGGGAGGATCACTTGAGGCCAGGAGTTCAAGACTAGCCTGGGCAACATGGTGAGACCCCCGTCCCTATTAAAAATATAAAAAATTAGCCGGGCGTAGTGGCGGGTGCCTGTAGTCCCAGCTACTCAAGAGGGAGACTGAGGAGGGAGAATCACCGAGCCCAGGGGAGTCCACTCCCTTCTGGAGGTAGAGTCCTGCCCATTTGTGTGATTGAAGGTCTTCCAGGCCTGCCCTGTCCTGTCCCACCCTGCTGGGACTGTCTGGCCCCAGGGACCTCACCCCAGAATGTCCATCCACCTCTGCCTGCTGAGCTCTGCTGAGCCTTGCCATGCTCTTAGCCCCCACACCCTGGAGGTGACCCAACCATCTGGGGAGGAAGCAAAAAGGTTCCCAAGATATCATCATGGGCATTGGGGAAAGCTCCCCCAGGTCCCCAGGCAGGAGGCTGAAGACTTCTAGCTTCCCTCAGATCTCTCACCATCATGGGACTCTGCTGAGCCAATGGATCTATTCATCAATTAATTAATTATTAGAGTGGGGCTGGGTTTGGTGGCTCATGTCTTTAATCCCAGCACTTTGGGAGGCGGAGGTGGGAGGATCACTTGAGGCCAGGAGTTCAAGACTAGCCTGAGCAACATGGTGAGACCCCCATCTCTATTAAAAATATAAAAAATTAGCCGGGCATGGTGGCGGGTGCCTGTAGTCCCAGCTACTCAAGAGGGAGGCAGAGAAGGGAGAATCACCTGAGCCCAGGAAGTAGAGGCTGCAGTGAGCCGTGATCCTGCCACTGTGCTCCAACCTGGACAATGAGAGTGAGACCCTGTCTCAAAAAAAATTATTAGAATGGGAAGCAATATAGTATAGTAGCTATGTACATGGATTGAAATCTCAGCCCTGCCACTTGTTTGCTATGGGATCTTGGACAAGCTGCTTAGCAGCTCTATGCCACGCCCTGGGAACGTGGCAGTGACCAACAGAAAAGGTCTTACTCTCATTGTGCCCATTTTCTGGGCAGTGAGACTGAAAAGAACATTAAACACATATGTCAGCTGGGTAGCTTCAGGTAGTGACAAGTGTTAACCAAGAAAATAAGACAGGGTATGGGGACGTGATGTGGCAGGAGGGACATGCTTAGAAAAGGCAGCCAGGGAATCTCTCTAAGGAGGTGACGTTGTGCCGGGGCCTGCCTGATGAGAAGACCCAGGGAAGAGCTTTCCAGGCAGAAGGCACAGCAGGTACAGAGGCCCTGAGGTGGGAAGGAGCTTGGTGTGTCAGGGCAGAGAGGAGGCCAGTGTGGCTGGAGCTTCCTGGCCGGAAGGTGAGGCCGGACCCAGTGAGGAGTTTGGATTGTGCTCTAAGTATATTGGGAAGCTGTTGGAGAGTTGGAAGCCAAGGAGGGACAGGATTTAATTGATGTTTTAAAAAGAGCTCCTTGGTGGGTCCGGGCACGGTAATCCCAGCACTTTGGGAGGGCAAGGCGGGCGGATCACAAGGTCAGGAGTTCGAGACCAGCCTGACCAGGCCAGCATGGTGGAACCCCGTCTCTACTAAAAATACAAAATATTAGCCTGGCATGGTGGCATGTGCCTGTAGTCCCAGCTACTCGGGAGGCTGAGGCAGGAGAATTGCTTAAACCTGGCAGGCAGAGGTTGCAGTGAGCCAAGATCGAGTCACTGCACTCCAGTCTGGCCGACACAGCGAGACTCTGTCTCAAAAAAAAAAAAAAAAAGCTCCTTGGCTGAGGGGAGGAGTGGGGGGAAGATGCAGGGGTAGAGGCCTCAGAGCTCTGAGTTTTCAGAGTGATTTTGGTGAGTGATTTTGATAAAGGGACTCTTCCTTTGTCAACAGGCCTCAGTTTCTCCACCTATATAACAGAACACGGCCTCGGAGGTCAAAAGAAACATGGTCCCTACATGTCTTAAGGTTCTCTGTATATTGGAAAATGAAAACACTGCAAACAGAGTTACCAGAAATATTGTATAATGTATATGTTTACACTCAGTAGGATGAATGCTTTCAACAGTGAAAATGCAGGTTAATTGTACCATGCATAAGATGATGTAAGATTTATACAATTAGTTCCTAGCATTTCCAGCAATAAGGTCTGGTAACCAGATACAAGTTTACAGTTGCATGGCCAGCGTTTTCTTCTTTCAATCCTGTCAATATTCTCTGCTCCTGGGTAAACTCACAGGGAGAAAACAGCAACATTCTGGATTTGGGGCTTCTGCTTCCTGAATGTATAGCCTAAGCCAGAAGCCTCCTTCCCACTCTGACAGGCCTGACCTTGACCTGCCTGAGTTCTGGTTCTGCTGGAGGTGGGATGGGGGGTAGGGTATGGGACGTGGGGTAGGGCATGGGACGTGGAGCAGGGGGAGGGCCCCGCCTGGTCAGCTCTGGATGGGCATCCCTTCCTCTGCCCAGAAGTCAGCCTCCCCTACCCTGGAGGATATGAAAGGAGCCCACGGAGGGAGGAGGAATCAAGGGATGCCCCCCAACTTGGCCCCACCTCCTTATCCCTAGCTTGCAGCTGGTTTTCAGCTGGGGAGTTGAGCCATGGAAACTGAATTGGACTTAATTGCTTTGCTGGTGGAAAAGCCACCTTTCAGTATTGATTTTGGCTTCTGCAGCCCTTGGAGGACAGCCAGTGATTGCTCTAGTGAAGGGGGCAGGGGAAAGGGGAGCTGGATTCCTGGGAACAAGGGCTGGAACTTTCTTCATTCTCACCACCCCCCCACCCGCATACCTGCCTACTCTGAGAGGGCCATTCAGGGCCAGGGTTCTAGTGTTGGCTCGGTGTCTGAGTGTTGGCATGAGTTTCCTTCTGTGGGTCTTAATTTTTCTATTTGGGAATTGGGGGCAAGTGGAGGTAGTGGTTATGAGCTGGGGCACAGAGAACAGTATAGCCCAGGATTGAAAGCCCAGCTCTGGAGTCTAACTGTCTGGGTAAAAATCATAGCTCCACTGCTCACTGCGGGATTGACTTTGGGCAGGTACTTAACCTCTCTGAAGCTCTGTCTCCTCTTCTGGACAGCCAGAAAAATGATAGTAACCCCCTCAAAGGATTGTAGTGAGGGCTTGAAAGGCATATAAAGCCCTCTGCACAGTGCTTGGCACAGAGTTTTTAAAAAGAGATTTCTTTTTATGGTTTTGTTTGTTAAATTAAGGCGTTAACTACCAAATTGTGAAAAAAGCACCAAAAAGGAAAATGGGAAATGCATTTTCAGTTCCAGCTCTGCCACCACGGAGGCTTCAGCTTGTTCAGGCTGCAGTTTCCTTATCTATAAAATGGGGAGAGTGGTGGTCCCAGCCCAGGATTGCTTGGGGGCACGGAGTAGGATCATGTGTCCCACTGTTCCCAGCAGCTGGAGAATCAGAAGCCACAGTGGCAGATCCTGAACAAGGCCTCTCTCCCGAGTGTGTGGGGAGCCCCAGGAGACTTGCACAGCAGTCCAGAAGGCAGGAGGGAGAGCTCTGGGTGGGCCCCTGCAGATTCTTTGGGGCTCTCTGTGTCCCTGGTCCCAGAGTCTCCTGAAAGGGAGGTGGCTTCTGGGAATCAACACAGCCCTCTGGAAGAATAGCCACTCCCTTAGAAAGGCACATTCATTCAATCATTTATTCTTTCATGTGGTTATTTCTTTTTTCTTTTCTTTTCTTTTTTTTTTTTTTGAGATGAAGTCTCGCTCTGTCGCCTAGGCTGGAGTGCAGTGGCGTGATCTCAGCTCACTCCAACCTCCATCTTCAAGCAATTCTCCTGCCTCAGCCTCCTGAGCAGCTGAGATTACAGGCACCTGCCACCACACCTGGCTAATTTTTGTATTTTTAGTAGAGATGGGGTTTCACCATGTTGTCCAGGCTGGTCTCGAACTCCTGAGCTCAAGTGATCCACTTGCCTCGGCCTCTCAATGTATTGGGATTATAGGTGTGAGCCACTGTGCCCAGCTTCATTCAGTTATTTCTTGAGCACCTAGTATGTGCCAGGTGTTTGGGTAGATGTCAGGGGTACAACAGAGACGAAGTCCCTGCCCTCAAGGAACTAGATATCCATGAGACTGAGTGGGTCATGCTGTTCGGGGGCTCTGAAAGCACAGAGGATGGGCCCCTGCCTGCCGCCAGGGGCCTGAGACTAAGGATTGGTAGGAGTGAGTGATGGCCAGTGAACGGCAGGTGGGAGGTAGAGTAAGTGTTTCAAGCTGAGAGAACCGCATGTGCAATTCTCTCCTGAAGTGAGAGGGCCCAGCGGGATCTGCTTGTAGAGGTGAAGTCGGCCATTTAGTCTGGCTAGAGTATAGGGCCTGAGGAACAGGCCTGGAGGAGTCTCGGAGAAGCCTCACATTTAAGAATCATGGAAACGGAGGCCAGAGAGGGCGAGGGATGTGCTTGAGTCACTGCAACCCAGGCCTCTTCCTCTTTCCACTGCACCCCATGGTCTTCCTGGAGAACTCAGAGGCCCTGGCCAGAAGGTGAGCTTTCCCAGCCCCCAGGGGCTGCCCTGGGAGGTGGAGATAATACGAGGCTTTGAGAAGGGGGAGATGGAGGGTAATGGTTCCTTCCTCACCGGGGACTCACATGAGCCTCTGTGTTTCAGACCATCAGAAGCTGGAGCGTGAAGCCCGCATCTGCCGCCTGCTGAAGCACCCCAACATCGGTGAGCCTTGTGGGATGAGAGGGGCGCAGGGGAGCCAGGCCCTGCTCCCCTGCCCACCCTGGCACGTGGGTGTTTGCGGGTTGGGTGGAGAGCAGCTGCTCTCTTCTCTGGGGATGGAGGCAGCAGAGATGGGAAAGGGGGCGTCTTTAATGGTTTCCACATTCCTCAGAGCCAGCTTGTTTCGGGGGAAGGTGAAGAAAGGCCCTTCCTCCCATCCCACACTGCCGGCAGCCTCCGGAAAAGCTGTTTCAGGAAAACTTCTAAAGCTCTGGGAGAGATGAAAATAGGCCAGGGGGACATGCTTGGCCTTGACCGCTGTGGCCCATTCCCCATACCCACACCCATGCCGATTCAGCCTGGCACCGTGGCCCTGCCCTCCTCCGTCGACCTGGCACCTGCCTGCCTACAGGGTCAAGCTCCAACTCAGGCCCTGGCCCACAGGCCGGGCACAGGCTGCATGGAGAGGCTGGGCCATGGCAGGCTGGGACAGAGCCAGGGCAGCAGAACCCGTGGGGATGGGCTCTGAAACAACACCTCGCTGCCTGGCCCCCCTTCTTCAGCCCTTGTGCAATTGGGGGGCTGATCCCTGCCTATGAGGGTGCTGAGTCATGAGGGCAGGAAGTGTGGCTTTGAGGGCTAATTCTGTCAGGGAATTGCTGTGGGACCTTGGGCAGGAGCACTGCCCTCTCTGAATCACTTCCCCCCATCCTCTGAGGGAAGGTCTGTCTGAACCAGCATCTTGGGCACCTTGTGAAAAGGTAGACTTGGATTCACTGGGCCTGGGATGGGGCCAGGATTTTGCAGTTCTAACACTCTCTGAGTTGATGCCAAGCCTGCTGACTCATAGACCGCACTGAGGAGCAGGGCCTAGGTGATCGCTAAGGACTCTTCCAACTCTGACAGCCACCATGCCTTCTCACAAGGCAGGGAAGCCTCTCTCCGTGCCCAGGGCCCCAAGGGTTAACTCTCCTGCCAGAGAGAAGCATCTCCATCTGCTATTTATACCCAGAAGGCACCTCCCCTTCCCTGCACAAACAGCAGCCAGAGGCTCCGGGACCAGCATCAGAGAGACATCCCTGGGTTGGCAGGGAGCAGCCCTGTTTGAACCCTGGTCCCTGACCTACTAATGTCCTCACCATGTGGCCTTCAGCAGCCCCTGCCTATTCTGGGCCCCCAACCCCCCAGCTGTGTGATGGAGGGGGTTGAGAGTGATCTCTGACTGTAAGATCTTATGGTCCTTACGGAGGCTACCAGCTCCAGTGGAAGGAGGGGAGTGTGTGTTAAGTGTGTGAGAGTGTGTGGAGTGTGTGAGTGAATATGTGTGTGAATGTGAGTGTGAGTGCGAATGTGTGCGTGTGAGTGTATGTGTATGCATGTATGTGTGTGTGTATGTGACAGTGTTGGAGTGTGTGTGAATGTGTGTCTGTGTAAGTGTGTGTGTGAATGTGTGTATGTGAGTGTGTGAGTGTATGTGAGAGTGTGTGGAGTGTGTGAATGCACGTGTGTGAGTGTGTGAATGTGTGTGTGAATGTGCGTATGTGAGTCTGTGTAAGTGTGTGTGTGTGAATGTCTGTGTGAGTGCATGTATGTGAGTGTGTGTGAATGTGTGAATGTGTGTGTGTGTTGCTGCACAACTGCAGCTATCTCAGGTCAACACTGCCTCCTCATGTTCACACCTCCCTCTCCCTCTCATTCCCAGCTATAAAATGGGGAGCAGGAGGTTATGGCTTTGGAGCTGACAGACTACAGCTCAAATCCTGAGTTTGCTGCTTCATTGCTGTGTGACCCTGGACATGTAGCTCCACCACTTTGAAGCTCAGTTTTCTCTGCAAAATGGAAATGATAACTAGCTCATAGGATTGTGATGATTAAATAGACCACAGCACAATGACAGTCATTATCATTAAGCTGCCCCCCTCTTCCCCAACCAACACCTTCCATCAGAACAACCTTGCCTGAAGACATCTTCTTGCCTAAAACTCCATATGATTGTCATTCCTCGGGGCCATGAGGATTTTTAGTGGTTACTGGAGGCACTATATTATATATAACATGGTGGTTAGGAGAATGGGGTTTGCAGTCAGACACCCGGTTTCAATCTCAGCTCTGCCGTTAACTAAGTGTTTGAGCTTGGGCAGACTGTGAACCTCTTAGCCTCAGTATCCTCCTCTATGAAGTGGGGATAATCACAGCACCCACCTTCTAGGACTGTTGGGAGGGTAAAATGAGATAGCGTTAAGTAAAGCACTTGGCACAAAGCCTAGTGTGTGGTAAAAGCTCAGAAATGGTAGCTATCATCATCATCATCATTGAGTCATTTACTCCTTCCTTCATTCACCTGATGTCAGGTGCATCGTAGACCCACCCCATGCCAAGGTCTCTGCTAGGCACTGAGAATGTGCAGGAGAAGTGAGGATGGGGAATGGGAGTGGGGGTGGTGGCGATGCGCAGGCGGGACTGGAAAGCAGAGCTGAGCATCCAGCACAGGAAGACCCCAGAGGAGCTTTGAGCTGCTGTCAGGGCTGGAAGGTTCCTTGGAGGGTGCACTTCCTGATCCTCCAAGCATCTTCCTTCAAAATTGTAATCTTCCCAAAGACGTGCAAAGAGGTACAGATGTGGGCTCAAAACCCGAAAGGTGAGCTTGTGCCTAAAGACACTGGACTGAGTCCTGTTCAGCCTGCTTGGCCAATCTAGACAAGGTTACTACTGGTCGCTGCTTCTGTGTGGCCACTGCTCTGCTCCCCAGGGGTCCAGGTCAGTGAGGTCCCAGGTCAGTCCAGTCCCCAGGGGACCAGGTCAGTGAGGCTCAGCACAGGTCAGTCCAACTGTGTTGTGCACAAAGCATTTACCTCCCAGATCCTTCTTGGGAGAGGTCGGTAACCTGCTGTCTCTACCATCACCACCTGCAGATGAGGGAGACGCCAGAAGGCCACCCCAAGGCACAGGGGACTTGCACTGTGCTAGG
This sequence comes from Homo sapiens, assembly GCF_000001405.40. Taxonomy (NCBI): domain Eukaryota; kingdom Metazoa; phylum Chordata; class Mammalia; order Primates; family Hominidae; genus Homo; species Homo sapiens. Next base: position 150,261,990 of record NC_000005.10, on the reverse strand, counting down.
GACAACCTGAAAGTTTAGTAGGTGATTTGTGGTGGGGAAGGGAAGTATGGTAGGTCAGTGATGAAGTTGACAATATCTCCATTTATCGAACTCTTCCTAGTGCCAGGTGCTGTGCTAAGTGGCTTACAGGAATCATCACATTAATGACTATAGCAGTCCAGTGGTATTAGCATTACTGTTTGGAAGGGAGGCTCAGAGAGGTTAAGTCATTTGCCCATAGCTACATAGCTTGTAAGAGGTGGATCTGGGAGACGAACTCCGCAAGTCTGACTCCAGAGCCCTTGTTCCCAGTCCTTCTATTTAGCTTTCCAAGTGGATATCACATATATGGTGTCAGGGGGACATGCAAATAAGGGAACAAGTACTGTCCTTCAACCTCCAAGAAAAAAATCCACTGTCGGAAAATCACAGGCATGCCAGAAGTGCATGAATCAAGCCACATAAATAAAAAGCTAGGTTACAGATTTGTTTGTTCTATGACAATATTTTAAACAGTCAAAAGTGACAGAATGACTCAATGGGCACGGACACGTCAGTCACTCCACCAGGAGACAGGACCATGATGATAGCCTATGGCCCTTGAATCTTGGGCTCTGGCTGAGTCGTTCCTCAGGCAGCCTCCACTGATGGAAGGGGAGGCTTTGTGTGTGAAAACGGCCCTGAAACAAGAAATCCTGTCTCCTGGGCTCTGAGGTGTGACTCGACCTCAGGGACTGAAGCCAACTCTAGTACCATCACGTGTGTGGTGCACTGCAAACGTAGGGGCTGAATTCCAACCCATGTGCCCCTTGCCCAGCTGCTCAGAGGGGTAGCCTCTTACCATCAACACAAAGTCACCATCTGAGGGAGAGTCAGCTCTGGAGAAAACCTCCCTCAATTCTGTCCATTTCCCTGAGACCTGAGGACATTCTCTAAAGGGGCTGAGGCCCTGGGTCAGAGGGTAGATCTGGGACTCCAGTCTTCTTGTGGCTCCTTCCAAAGCCTGTTGCCATGGTTCTAAAAGCCCTTTCTGAGATGATTCTAGCTGCAGCTTGGCTTCTCAGAGCTTCTTACACTCAGGAAAGGGAGGTTAGAGATGATGGCCCACCAGAAAGAATAGGAGAGGGTTCACTCCCCAGAGACCACGTGGAGGAAGGCAGGGAGAGGGAAGAGTCTTTTGCAAAACTTTATCTTGATACACTAACAATACAAGTTTATTGCAGATAAATGAGAAGACAAATACTTTTTAAAGTATCTTCTATAACCTCACATCTAGAATTAACATTTAATGATACGTGCTACCATATGATATATGACATATGTGCCTTCTCAAGGACTGTATACTTACATATATCATCTCAGGTCAGGTTACCTGGAAGCAGAGCCTGAGTCAGGGATTCAGGTGCTGTTAGCATCCCGCACTCCAGCACGTGGGGTTTGGATGCACCAACTTACCAAAGGGCTTCTGGGCAGGGCCCAGGTATAGAATTGCCAGATTCTACACACCAAAAATACAGTTAAATACCCATTTACACTTTTTTTTTTTTTTTTTTGAGACGGACTCTCACCCTGTCACCCAGGCTGGAGTGCAGTAGCGTGATCTCGACTCACTGCAAGCTCTGCCTCCCGGGTTCACACCATTCTCCTGCCTCAGCCTCCTGAGTAGCTGGGACTACAGGTGCCCACCACCACGCCTGGCTAATTTTGTTTTGTATTTTTAGTAGAGAGGGAGTTTCACTGTGTTAGCCAGGATGGTCTCGATCTCCTGACCTCGTGTTCCACCCGCCTCAGCCTCCCAAAGTGCTGGGATTACAGTCGTGAGCCACTGTGCCCGGCCAATACACATTTACACTTTAAAAATTAAGCCTGCATTTACTTTGAAATGTACTAAAAATTAAATAAACCAATGGACAGAGGAATGGATAGAAACGTAATAATGCAAGTATAGGAAAACATTAATGATAGAACCTAGGTAGTGGATATCTGGGTGTTCACTTAACTGTATGTTTGAATTTTTTTTATTTTTAATTTTTTTTATTTTTTGAGATGATGCCTTGCTCTGTTGCCCAGGCTGGAGTGCAGTGGCATGATCTCGGCTTATTGCAACCTCCGTCTCCTGGGTTCAAGCAATTCTCCTGCCTCAGCCTCCCGAGCAGCTGGGACTCCAGGCGTCTGCCACCACACCCAGCTAATTTTTGTATTTTTAATAGAGACGGTGTTTTGCCATATTGGCCGGGCTGGTCTCAAACTCCTGACCTCAGGTGATCTGCCCACCTCGGCCTCCCAAAGTGCTGGGATTACAGGCATGAGCCACCGTGCCCGGCCTGAATTTTTTATAAAAAAATGTTGAAAGGAATTAAAGCAGAATTACATGTGCCTTTAAGATTTTGCTTTAGAATATATTTAAAACATCTTTTAGTTATTATTTATAAATATATATCATCATTAAAGAATGTTTTAAAATTTCATTTTATTATTATTGTGATTATTTTGAGACATTCTCACTCTATTATCTAGGCTGGAATGCAGTGGGGCAATCTTGGCTCACTGCACCCTCCGCCCCCTGGGCTCAAACAACCCTCCCACCTTAGCTTCCCAAATAGCTGGGACGACAAATGCCTGTGCCACCATGCCCAACTAATTTTTGTATTGTTTGTAGAGATGGGGTTTCATCATGTTGCCCAGGTTGGTCTTGAACTGCTGAGCTCAAGTGATCCACCCACCTCAGCCTCCCATAGTGCTGGGATTACAGGGTGAGCCACCGCACCTGGCCTAAATTTTTATTTTATTTTATTTTATTTTATCTTATTTTATTTTAGTTTTTATTTTTTTGAGATGGAGTGTTGCTTTGTCGCTCAGGCTGTAGTGCAGTGGCACGATCTCGGCTCACTGCAAACTCCACCTCCTGGGCTCAAGCAATTATCCTGCCTCAGCCTCTGGAGTAGCTGGGATTATAAGCATGGGCCACCACACCCAGCTAATTTTTGTATTTTTAGTAGAGATGGGGTTTCACCATGTTGGCCAGGCTGGTCTCAAACGCCTGACCTCAGGCGATCCACCTGCTTCGGCCTCCCAAAGTGCTGGGATTACAAGCGTGAGCCACCGCTCCCAGCCTAAATTTTCATTTTAATCTGTGCCCCTTCCCTCTCCATCTCTGGTGCCCATCCACCTCTCCCTACTGGCATCAGCTCTGGGGTATCTGATGCCTGCCTCTCTCCAAATTTTATGTGCAAATACGACAGCCATAAACAATTCAGGGGACTCAATATTGAGCCAGAAATATATGCACATGGCAAACATTCAGATGGCACTAGGATTCATAGTGAAAAGTGAGTCTCCTCTCATGACCCAACTCCCCCAATTCCCCTCCCCAGAGGCACCCTCAGTGCCTGCTTGTCTGTATTCTTCCAGAGAGACTTATGCCATATATAAACTTAAATACATCCTTTAAAAAAGTACTACGCATACTGTTTTGCACTTTGCTTTTTCACCAAGCAACATAATTTGGAGATGACTCTGAACCAGTAGATACATAACTGCCGCATTATTTTAGCAGCTGTGCCATTTTCCATTGTGCGGATGAATCGTCATTCACTGAGCCAGCACGCCCCTGCATGGACATTTTTAGGCTGTGGTGCGGGGAAGGATGTGAGCCCTGTCCTGTGAGACTTGCTCTTGACTGACAGGATGTGGTCCCAGAGTCAGCCCCAGGACTCAGGCCCTTCCTTCTAATAGCTCAGGGGTGCATGCTGGGAGCCCTGGGCTCCTGGGAGCTTTGCCTCTGTTCTGGGTAAATGGGGTGTGAAGAGATGACAGCTCCTCAGCATGCCAGAACGCAGGGACCCTTTCACTCCTGCCTCTGGCCTCCATGCTCCATTATCTCCTCAGACTTGGGAGCAGAGCAGGATATTAGCTCAGGCAGCACTGAGTGAGCACCAACTGCATGCCTCCTGGAACTCTCATAACAAGCCTGCAAGTCCAGGAGTTTCATTCTCATTGTCCAGGCAAGGAAAGAGAGGCTCAGAAAGGCCTAGCAACTTGCCAGAAGTCACACGGCTAGTAAGTGGCAGAGATTGGAGTCACAGGCTTTCCATGACTTGGGCCTGCCCAGCAACCAAACAGGGTTTCGGAGAGGGGAGGGCGCTAAACTCTGACCTAAACAGGCATCTTTCATGTTGAAGCCCAGCCCTCTTTCAGTAATGCCTGAGGTCTATTCGGACTCAATGCAGTGAGCCCTTGTTCACCAGCGCTTGTCAAAGCACCTGGCACCTGGTGTATACTCAGTGACTGTCTGGGAGCGGGGGGTGTTGGATATACACGGGAGGGGAGAGAGGGAGGGCGGGCCTGTGCAGCAGTGTGTCCCACTGTAACCAACTGCCTTGCCCCGCCCACAGTCCGACTACATGACAGCATCTCAGAGGAGGGACACCACTACCTGATCTTCGACCTGTGAGTTTGGCCCCGCCCTGGGATGCGCCAACGGTGTTGGGGCTGCCTAACCAGTGATGGCCTCACTGGACCTCTTGGGCTGAATTCCCTCTTGTGGTCCAGAGTTTCCCCAAATGTGGTGGGCCTGCCACCCAAGCAGTGCAAGCTGACTTTCCTAAAACACCAACAAACACTTTTAGCTTTCATCCTATATTTATTTTTGCTTCTCTTCTATTTGTGGCCAGTGATGCTGGTTTTCCATTTTCAGTGGCAATATAAAGTTTCCTTCTGGAATATGTTTAATTTTTTTTTGAGGAGTGTTGATTCAAAGAGAAGCAATAATGAAATGATAGGCCACAGTAGTTCCTGGTATGGCAATGAAAATCAGTGATGGGGCCAGTCTCATCGATAAAAAATAGCCTTTGAGATATTGATCATGGGGGAGGCCATAGGCTTCCTAATGAGCCTAGTGATGTGCTCTGACTTTCCCTAACCTCCGGACTCCAGCCTGGGTTAGGTGGGGAAGAAGGGCCGGGGATGGAGGAGGAGAGGGGACTGGAGTCAATGGAAGGGTGCTCTGGAAGACAGGAAGGGCATTGCAGCAGGGGACACCCCCGTGACCCTGGGGCCCCTCCTTTTGTGGCTGAGGTCCTGAGGTCCCTGGGCCCCATCCTTAGTTTCCTGGAGACTCCTCCAGATGAGGCAGCACCTGTCGCCTCTATTAGAGGGTGATTCCATGCCTGTCTCCCCAGGGTCACTGGTGGGGAACTGTTTGAAGATATCGTGGCCCGGGAGTATTACAGTGAGGCGGATGCCAGGTGAGTGTCAGGTGCTGCCTGGCAATGGCACCCGGGGACAGGGCACTCTTGCCTGCTGTCAGCTTCCCAGGGGAGGCCTGTGCTCACACCACCATGACCCCTTCCTCTCTCTCTCCCTAGTCACTGTATCCAGCAGATCCTGGAGGCTGTGCTGCACTGCCACCAGATGGGGGTGGTGCACCGGGACCTGAAGGTGAGCAACCCACCGTGGGTGTGGCTCACCCCGGGAGCCCCTCTCTCCTCTGCACGTCCCTAATCCTGCAGAGCTGGACATTATCAGAATCGCTTTAATTTCTCTGTGTTAGGCTGGAAGGTGGGGTGGGTGAGATTATTTTCCCCACTGTTCAGATGAGGAAGCAGAGCTCAGGAAGGTAGAGCGTCTGTGTTTGGGCCCCTGCTCTTCCAACTCCCAGCCCACATGCTTTGTGCCAGGATGGGTGAGCTGCAGTTATACTGTCATGACTGGCTACGGTGGGTGGGGAAGAAGGCAGGCTGGGTCCAAATCTCAACCAGGCCACTTTCCAGCCATGCAGCCTTTAGTAGCATGACCTTCCTGAGCCTCAGATTCTTCACAATGGGGGTTGCCATAGCAACCTCTGCAAAGGGTTGGTGAGGATATGAAATGAGATAGCACGGGGCCTGGTATACAGATGCATTCTTAGTCTTGTTCCTGCATCTCTGGCAGGCCAGGGGAGAAGAAAAACCAGACTCTAGGCCCGTGCAGTTCTCCTTTCTTTTACCTGAAGGAGATTGCAGAGTCTAGGACTGGCACCAGCTGCACAGCCTTGCTCCTTCAGCAGGGACTTCATGGATCTCCGCTGCTGATCCTCATGGTATCAGTGGCTGGTAGTTCATATTGTCTCCATTTTGCAGAGCAGGAAACTAAGGCCTAAGAGTTCAAGCAATTTGCCCAAGAACATGCAGTTCAATTGTCCTTAGCTAGGGCGGGGGAATTCTGGCCTTCTAACCCCTGATCCTGTGACCTTGGGAGTCTGGTGCCAAAAGGTCACTCTATCCAGCTCCTGCTTCCTCAGCAGCCCCTTCTAGGGTGACCCTGCCAGATGTCCATCAAACCTCTGCTTTTTGTTCTTCAGTGACAGCAAACTCACTTCCCATGGGGTAGCCCCTTGCACCACTGGGGAACACTCTTCCCTGCTGGAGGGGCTTTGCCCTGAACCTCAGTTCTGCCATTTGGAACCACACAGAGACCAAACCTCCAGCTTGGAAGAGCCCTAGACGGACTCCAGCAGCTTTGTTGTAGCTGCTAAGTCCCCTGCAGGGTGTACCCACCCCTGCCACGGTCCTCCCGGAGTGTGATTTTCAGGCCAGCCTCATCCTGGGCACCTTCCCTGGGCATGCTTCCACTGGTCTGGGTCCCTCTTTGGGGCACAATGCTCTGAAGAGAGACCCTGCCCCTCTCTGACTGTCCTGGGCAGACACGGCTTCTCTCCTGAGCCCTAGGCAAGCTCCCTGTGGCTCAGTCTAGATGAGACGAGTGTGCACTCCAAGAGGGTCTCCAGCCAGACTGCAGGGCACCTCTCCCAGAGGGCCTGTTCCCATTATAGCTGCAGCCCCTGCACTGGAGGAGGAAGGAGGAGAGGCAGCCCAAATTTAGGCCACTCTGGATATAATAATTAGTGACACATTCATCAAATCAGGGCAGGACGGTTACCGAGACCCAGGACATGTTAGGAACATTGTCCCCAGAGGACAAAGGAGGCCTTTGAGCCAGGCGGAGGGAGCTATATTTGTTTGGGTCCAGCCTAGCTTTAGACAGTGAAAGGTCAGAGGTGGGACCCTTCAGAAGTCCCACTGGGAAGGGGATCAGAGGAGGACTCAAAACCAACAGTCTTCAGAGACTCTGAGCCCCTCCCCAAGCCAAAAATAGAAGTACTAACATTTACCAAGCACTTACTGTAGGCCACAGCGAAGTGCTTACACAGATTATCTCAGTTAATCCATGCACCACCCCATAAGGTAAGCATTTTTCTCAGAGGAAACTAAAGCTCAGAGAAGTGAAATAATTTGCCCATATGTCATGGCATAGAGGTGGGCAGCATCGGGATCAGAAACTGGGACTATCTAAGCGAGCCCACAGTCTTAGCGCCCCTCCATCCTGAGTCTCAGGGTGAAGGGACCAGCAGGAAGTGGAGGAATTCTGGAGGCTGAGCCAGTGCAAAGCAGCAGCCTCGATGCCCAGAGGCCAGGTGTGGGACCTTCCCAAGTCAGCTGCTGGCCCCATGTATAAGCCTCATCATCTTTCAGCCTAGAGCAGTTAAGATAGAGTCAGACTTTGCCTCGATTCTGGCTCTATCCCTTACCAGCTGCGTGATCTTGGCCAAGTCACTTAACCTCTCTGAGCTTCAGTTTTCTCATCTTTATATACGTGACAAATACTTATTAAGTGCCTGCTGTGTGGCCCCCCAACCTAGGTGCTGGTGATACAGTGGTGAACAGGACAGATAAGGAACTCACATTCCCCAGGGCTGACAGATGATAAACAAGCACATAGACAGATGGGAGAAAACACTGCAAATTGTGATGAGATCTATGAAGGTAACAACAGGAGCAAAGACACAGGATGCCTGAGGGCTTCCCCTCTAGATAGAGTAAACTTGGATGGCCTCCTCCATGGGGTGACATGAGACTGAGGGCTGGACAAAGTAAAGGGGCCACTTTGAAGCTTGGGGGAGAAAAAATTAGAGGAGGAAAACAGGAAGTGCAAAGGCCCTGAGGTGGAAACAAGATGGACTGTTTCAAGGGGCATAGGAAGGCCACTGTGGAAGATGTAGGTAATAATACCTACCCGAAAGGGTCGTTGATACAAGAGATGATGCACGCAGAACACTTAACCCAGCAGCTGACATATAGTAGGGGCACAATCAATGCTGCTGCTGCTGCTGCTGCTTTATTGTGGTGGTGAATGTACCACCCCGCTCTCACCTCAGCCCAGCCCCAGATCTTGAAGTGGGGAGGGAGGAGTGGCTGATGGAGAAAGGGCCTTTCTGTTGTAGCGGATGGAGGTCTTGCCATAGGATAGTCCCCTCTCTGGGGACTGAGACTCAGGAGCCTGAGGCGGGGCTGGAGATGAAAGCAGGGGCCCCGGAGGGCCGGGCTGTTCTTCCTGTGAGCCCAGGCCCCTAGAGGTGAGGCTCTGAATCTGCTGACTGTCTCTTGGCGCTTTCCTCCCCTTCCTCCCTCTTCTCTGGTCCTGACAAGCCTGAGAATCTGTTGCTGGCCTCCAAGCTCAAGGGTGCCGCAGTGAAGCTGGCAGACTTTGGCCTGGCCATAGAGGTGGAGGGGGAGCAGCAGGCATGGTTTGGTAAGTGGGGTGGGCTGGCAGAAGTGTTGGGGGTCAGCACCCATTTGTGTTGACACATAAGCCTCTGGGAACCCCCTGCCTGAGTGGGTATGGCTGGAGATGCTGTTGGGCCAGCCGGGGCTGGTAGAGCAGAGGCCCTGTCCCACCCAGCCTCTGAGCCAGTGGGCAGCACCTATCTGTGTCCCCAGGGTTCAGGCATGGGACCCTACGGCCTTCCACAGGGCTCCCTGGGGCCCCCTCTCTCCTTTCCTGTCACTCCCCTCCGCCATCTCTCCTCCCCAAAGGGCTCCCTGTGGTTGAAGGCCTTAGGGAAGTTTCCACAGAGCTGCCCTAATAGTCTAGGTGCTTGAGATTATTATCCTGATTTTATAGATGAGGAAAAAACTGGCAGAAAACTTGCAGAAGGTCAAGAAAGTTTAAAAGGGATAGACCAGGACTTAACTCAGATGATCCAGCCTGCTTTGTGATTTTGGTATAACTGGGTCTCTTTAAGCTACCTGGGAGTACTTTTTAGTGGGCAATATTGAGCCATGGTTAAGAACCAGAGTTCTGGGTTCAAATCCCGACTCTGCTACTTATGAGGTATGTGACTTTGGCTAAGTCACTTCACCTCTCTGTGCCTTCGTTCCTCATCTGTAAAATGGGAATAATAATTGTGTGTCCCTCAGGAGTGGTGTCAGAATTAAATGTGACCAGGCATATGAAGTGCTCAGCCCAATGCTTAGCATACACACTCGGTAACTTGTAAGTGTTCTTAAAAGTGCTTGTTAGAATACCTCAGGTGTCCATTATTTGAACTGACCGGCTCAACAACCCTGGGAGGCACTTAAGATAGGAATCCCTAATCCTTCATTTGACAGATGAGGAAACAAGGACTAGAAGATAAAGAGACGTACCCAAGGGGCAAAGTCAGTTAGGACAGGCCTCCCGACATCCCATGACCAACTCCAACAAGGGGGTGCAGAGTGGGCTTAGCTCTCAGCCTGGGGCTGACATGGCAGGTGCATTTCATCTTGAAGCCACCAGCAATGGATCACTAGTGGCTCCTGGAAGAGTGGTGCTGAGAAGCTTATGATCCTGAGTCAGGACCCAGTAGGAAGGAGTTCTGTGGCTGATTACCACTGGCTCTGAAGTGGGAAGTGGTGACAGGTGTGCTAGGTAGTTGTCGATCTGATCTAGAGGCTTTGCTGGCTCATCAGGCTTATGTCTTGGGCCGACTGGGGTTGCACAATACAAGCCCAAGTGCACCTGAGGGGCAGGGGCTGTTTTCCTCAGCTCCAGAGCAATCCTCATCCCCTCTTCCAGCAGGATCTTGCTCCAGGTTACTTACGAGACAACCTCTGTGTATGTGTCTGCCTGTCTGTGTGTCTGGGAGCAGGGTTTGCAGGGACTCCTGGATATCTCTCCCCAGAAGTGCTGCGGAAGGACCCGTACGGGAAGCCTGTGGACCTGTGGGCTTGTGGTGAGTTCATCCTAAGGCCCTTTTGTGCCCCTGGCTGCACCCCGGCCTCTGGGGCCCCCTCTCTCCTTTCCCATCACTCCCCTCCCCCCATGTCTCCTCCCCACAGGGGGTTGAAGGTTCTCTGGTCCTCTTTCCAGGGGTCATCCTGTACATCCTGCTGGTTGGGTACCCCCCGTTCTGGGATGAGGACCAGCACCGCCTGTACCAGCAGATCAAAGCCGGCGCCTATGATGTGAGTGTCGCTCCTCTCTTCAGCTCCCATCATCCTCTGGTGCCCTTCCAGTGAAAGCCAGCGCCAAGCCACTCTCTAGTTCTGGCACAGGGGTGAACCCCAGGGGAGCATGAAGACTGACCAGGGCCAGGTGGTTACCATGCTGTGCCTAATGATTGGAGATTTATCTTGCCCCAGAAGGCAAGAAGCAGCACCAAAATGGAGTGAGGAGTAGGGGAGAGGCGCCTCCCAAGCCAGGGTTTCTCTGTTTCTCTCTCATATATACAAATAATAATAGCTAACAATTCTATAGCACTCTCTGAATGTTTTACACATATTATTACATTTAATCCTCACACCAATCTATGATATAGGTGCTGTTATTATTCCCATTTTACATATAGAGAAGCTGACATACAGAGAGGTCAAGTAACTGCCTAGATCACACAGCTAAGAAATGGTAGAGGTGGGATTTGAACCAGGCAGTCTGGCTCTACCATCCATGCTTCTAACTACCAAGCTATATTGCTTTTATGCAGATAGCTATTAAGCTCTGTGCCGTATGTTTTATATTGTATTTAATTCTCACAACATCTCTAGAGATAGCTCAAGAGGTCATGTGACTTACCCAGGTTACACAGCCCAGGAGGCAGAGCCAGGACTTGAATCCAGGCCTTTTGATTCTGAAGTCTGGGCTAAAGCCACTGACCGGCTGCTCTGCAAATAAGGCACAGTCTCAGAAAGATGGTTGGAGGGAGGCCTCCTTTCCCTCTGCCGTGTTCTGATTTGTATGGGGCTAGGGCCCTCCCCTGCAGTGAGGAGCCCCAACTCCTCCTGGTGTGGATGTCCGAGTGGATGGGCAGTAGGACCCCTGCCTGCTCCCCTGCCAGTCAGGGGCTGGGGGATCGCAGGGGTGGCCTGGGGCAGGCTGGGCAAACCTGGCCTCTCTGCCCCTTCCAGTTCCCATCGCCGGAATGGGACACTGTCACCCCGGAAGCCAAGGATCTGATCAATAAGATGCTGACCATTAACCCATCCAAACGCATCACAGCTGCCGAAGCCCTTAAGCACCCCTGGATCTCGGTGAGCCTTCCTCAGCAGGACTTCTCCCAGGAGCCCCTCCAGACCTCATGATCCAGGCCCCCACAGAGTTCTGGCCCTTCCCCTGGCCCATGGGGCCAAGAGGGCTTAATCCAAGAGACTGCCCCTGCTGTGGTTCTCAGGGGTAATGTGGAAACGAGGAGTGAGTGTTCTGGGTTGGCATACAACTGATGGTGCTACTGGCATTGAATGTCTGGTGCCAGGATGCTAAACACCCTGAAGCATCTCCTAGAGCAATGAATCGTTCTTCCCAAGATGTCAACCACACCTCCATTAAGATGCCCTGCTGAAGGGTACCCTTGGGTGGGCCTGTCTTCCAGCCTGCCTTCCACTCACAGCCCTCTCCCCTACTTCCTCCAGCACCGCTCCACCGTGGCATCCTGCATGCACAGACAGGAGACCGTGGACTGCCTGAAGAAGTTCAATGCCAGGAGGAAACTGAAGGTAACAGGTCCTCACCCTCCACAGTCCTGGCCATGGGACTAGCTCTGCCTGGGTCTCCACAGAGGCCAGGAGACTCGCTCACTAATTCTTTCCTTCATTGATTCAATAAGCATTTATTGAACACCTACTGCATACTGGACAGCAGGTTGGGCTTGGGGAGTGAGCGGTGAATGACTGAGCCCTTGCTCTAGTGGAGAGGACAGACAAGTTCCTGGGGCGTTATGGGGCAGTGGTGAGTGCCATGCCTGGGAAAGCCTCAAGATGGTGGCAGAATGCAGCAGGACAATGGTATTCTGGGTCTGGAGCCAGGGGCGTTTAAGCTGAGACCTTGGAGGATAAGCAGGTATTAGCCAAGTTAGAGTCAGAATGGGAAAGTGTGGCCGGGCGCAGTGACTCATGCCTGTAATCCCAACACTTTGGGAGGCTGAGGTGGGCAGATCACCTGAGGTCAGAAGTTCAAGACCAGCCTGGCCAATGAGGTGAAACCCTGTCTCTACCAAAAATACAAAAATTAGCCAGGCATGGTGGCACATACCTGTAATCCCAGCTACTCAGGAGGCTGAGGCAGGAAAATTGCTTGAACCTGGGAGGCGGAGGTTGCAGTGAGTGAGATCGTGCCATTGCACTCCAGCCTGAGTAACAGAGAGAGACTCTGTCTCAAAAAAAAAAAAACAAAAAAAAGAATGGGAACGTGTTCCAGACAGAGGAAGCAGCCTGTGCAGAAGTTTGGAAGTGCGCCTGACCCCTTAGGGGCACCACAAGTGGTTCAGAGTGGCTGGGGAGAGCTTTTGGGGGTGAGACATGACTGAACGTGAGACCCTGGTCAGGGAGGCGCCCCAGCTGCCCAGTACTGTGGAGGAATGGCTGAGGCACTCAGACAGTGATTGTGGCCCTGAGGAAGCTCAGTGGCACCCAGGTGGTCCCAGAGCTTCACACTCTTGCAGGTTCTGTGTGCTCTCAGGGTGGTGACAGCTCCTGGCCTGGCCTTTGCCAGGCACTGAGGGGCCCCTGGCCAGTGGAACAGAGGAGCCGTCAGCACGCTGGGGATGATGAGGGAAGAGGCGGAGGCCCCAGCTCTTGTGGAACCTCCTTATCTGCTGCTCCCAGGCCTGGAGTGGAGGCTTAGGATGGGGACACAGACCAAGGGGTGGTGGCCAGCATGATGCCAGGAGAACTGAGTCCCATCCCCATCCTGCAGTGGAAGCTGTGTCACAGAGGAAGTCTCAAAATATCAGAATCAGGGATTCTTAACATCATAAGCAGTGGGATTCAGACAGTGTCAAGTCAGGTCTGAATCAGATGGCTCTGGAACAAAAGGGGCCATTAGCCCCCAGCCTGCTTGTTGATGGAGGAGGCTTTCTCTACATTGAGAATCCTCCTGGGATTCAAAAGATTATAAATCATGGTGCTATAAAGACACATGCACACATATATTTATTGCGGCACTACTCACAATAGCAAAGACTTGGAACCAACCCAAATGTCCAACAATGATCGACTGGATTAAGAAAATGTGGCACATATACACCGTGGAATACTATGCAGCCATAAAAAATGATGAGTTCCTGTCCTTTGTAGGGACATGGATGAAGCTGGAAACCATCATTCTCAGCAAACTATCGCAAGGACAAAAAAACAAACAGCGCATGTTCTCACTCATGGATGGGAATTGAACAATGAGAACACTTGGACACAGGAAGGGGAACATCACACACCGGGGCCTGTTGTGGGGTGGGGGGAGGGGGGAGGGATAGCATTAGGAGATATACCTAATGTAAATGACGAGTTAATGGGTGCAGCACACCAACGTGGCACATGTATACATATGTAACAAACCTGCACGTTGTGCACATGTACCCTAGAACTTAAAGTATTATATAATATATATATATATATAAAATAAAAAACTTGGAAATAAAAAAAAAAAAGAGAAAATCCTCCTGGGATTCTCTGAGCCCAGGGGCCATGGAGGGATGAGCTAGTCCTGGAGCAAGATGCTCTCAGCACGGGGCAGAGGGCTAAGAGGTGGAGGGGTTGGGGGACACGAGGTCTGCTGTTGTTGCCCAAGCAAGAAAAGTCCATCATCTTCAGGAGCCTCTGCTGGTAGGTGTCCCTCAAGCTCTTCAGCTTGGGCGGGCCAAGGGGCCCATTAATATCTGCCCCTAGGACGGCCTTGTCCCAGGAGCTGTACTGGCTAAAGCCTAGCTCACCCCGACTTCTCCAGGGGGCGAGGGATGGGCTCTGGGCTGGGGTTGGGGTTGGGACAAATGGAGGGGCAGGGCAGAGGCTTTGGCTTCTTCTCTGAATGCAGCACCTGCCTCTCCTTCCCCGTGGCCCTCCCGTCTCTCTGTCCCTCCTGGGTCCCTTCACTCCGGCCTCCTCTCCCACTGCCCTCTTCTTATGTCTTGCAGGGAGCCATTCTCACCACGATGCTGGCCACCAGGAACTTCTCCGGTAGGTGGCAGGACCTCAGGGTCCCCAGTAAGCCCTGCACCAGTTCGTTGGGGGCACCGTCCTGTCAGATATTGGAGTGCCCCCAGGCCACTGGGCCTGGGGAGAGGGAGTTGTAGAGGACTCTGTGACTAAGGGCTTAGCTCACCTGCCACGGCCTGTACCCAGAAGTGAAGAGAGGTCAAAAGTCAGCAAGCCCAGGGCCCACCAGGACTGGTTACAGATTTAGTCTGGCTGCCCACTCCTACAGCAGTGCTGGGGTTCTCAGGCTGGGCCGCCTAGAGGGGAAGGCTTCTGATTGCAGGGGATTGAGTTCTAGATGGGGTGGAGCCAGGTCCAGGGAGTAACAATATTGCCCACCATGATTGGAGCCCTGTGCTAAGCAGTCCCGTGCTTCCACTCAGGTGGCCTACATGACAAGGCAGCAGAGGGGATGATGGGGGTGCTGCCATCCCTATTTCTGGGATGAGGAAGCAGAAGCTCAGGAAGGTGAGCTCTGACTTGTCCCAGGTCACATGGCTAGAGAGGCAGAGCCTGCATTCAGCACAGGTTTGACCAAACCCAGGGCAAGTGCCTTTAACTGGATTGGGTCACCAGTGAGTCCAGGGCAGGAGCGTCCCAGGCCCTTGGCCAAACTGGGCTGGTTAAGGCAGGGAGTGCCCAATCACCTGAGGCATGTGGCTTTGCAGAGAGAAGGGGAAGGGATTATTGTCAGGGTTTAGCAAGAAGCTCCTCTTGGCACATCAGAGAGGGCTGGGGCCAGTGCCCTCCAGAGGCTTCCTTCTGGGGAGCGCAGGCCGCTGGCAGGCAGTAGAGGAGATATAGATAGCAGATAGAGCAAAGCTCACCCGAGGGGCCCTCTGACTGGGGCTGGGGCCAGCCGAGAAAGCTGCTGCAGATTTGTGGCCAGCACCACAGCAAGAGGGCAGCTCTGAGAAGGGGGCAGCTGGCTGCATTGAGTGGGTCCACCTGCCCATGTAACCAGTTGGGAGGAGTGAGACCCAGAGGTGGGCAGATACTAGAACTTCTGACTGGGCTTTTCCTACCTCGTTAAACTGCCTTCCCACCCTCTCCCTGGACAAGGATCCTGCCATTCCGTAAACTGAAAGATGAGCTACCCAGATAGTCAGAGTCTTTTTTTAACAACTGAAGCACCCTAAAGAACTCTAGTCCTGAGCTCACAAAATGGCGGCCTGTGAGCTGGATTGAATCTCTTGATATGCTTTGTGGAGGTAGGGGTGTTTTAAAAATTTTTTTGAATGAGTTTCTAACACTTAAAAATTAGGAAATTTCATAGAAAACCCCAGATTGCTGTCGTCTCTTGAAAATTAGACGCTGTGGCCTCACTGGACCCACGATCCTGTGACAGTAGGCTGGAGCTGAGAGGGGCGTCTACCTTGAGGCTCGAGGAGAAAGCACTCCCCCTGCCCCACTGCACATCCTAGTCCAACCCTCCAAAGCCTGTGGTGAATGGACAGCCATTCCTGTCAGCTTCGGGATCCAGAGGTGGCCCCTGCCTTGGTTTGCAAGTAGGGAACTTGGAATGAGAGCCTCGAAGGGGTCATAGGTGGAAATGTGGGGGTGACTGGGAAGGTGACCTGCCATGAGCCCCATGCCTCAGAGCCCCTGGGGCATCAGTGGCTCATATGACCCTCCTCCCAACTCCCCCTCTCAAGGCCACCAGGAGAAGTCTTATCATGGCTACCATTTCCTGAGCATGTGCGGCTTATGGGTCAGGTGCTTTGCTAAGTACTTCACAGATACCTTGTTTCATTTAAGGTATTTGCTTAAGTCTGAAGCAGCCGGATGCCTGTGGGCAGGGCTGGACATTCAGGCCATTTCCTGGCTGATGCCCACTTCCAGGGCTCTGGCCAGGAGGTGAGGAGGGAGGTAAGGGGAAATGACAGCAGGGGAAGCCCCCAAAGAGCTGTTGCTCTGGTTGTCCCTGCCACCCGGGCCATAGCCAGTGCCAATATGGGGCTCTGGAGTCTGAGGTTGGGGAGGCCTATATGGCCTGAGGAGAGAGGCAGGGGATGGGTGCTCTGGCAGGGTGGGCCCCAGTGGGGGCATCTGCTTCTTGTCACTGGCAAGACGCAGCCTGCAGCTGTCCGGAGTGAGTAGGCAGGGCTGACACATGACCTCCGCAGCAGCATGGGGCTAAAATTAGAGAGGGCCAGGGTGGGGAGGGCGTGTCCAGCCTGGGGCCAGGCAGCCAGACCTCGGGTTGGCCACCGCCAGCACGGTGGTGACAGGGATTCAGAGGGAATCCCCGGGCTGAAACAGCAGCCCACAGTCCTGGGACATGTTGGACACCTCCCTCAACCCATGAAGCCAGAGGGTTACGCTTGAGATTGCTGAGAAGGCGGGGAACCCAGGCAGTCCCTGGGCCTCCAAGGAGGGAGGAGGAGGAGGAGGAGGAGGAGGAGGAGGAGGAGGCCTCCCCCAGGATCGCTGGGCCAGCTCTGCTCCCTGCAGTCTGCCCTCCGGCTGCGTGTGGATGCTGCTCGTCCTCGCCCTGTGGGCCCTGGTGCCCTGCCTGGCGTTGTTAACCCTCTACTTTTTCTCCTCCACAGGAGGGAAGAGTGGGGGAAACAAGAAGAGCGATGGTGTGAAGGTAAGCCCCTCCAGGAGCCTGGCAGGGCTTGGCTCTGGCAGCGTTTCTGCCAACAGAGACCGGCTTTCAGGCCTGGAGCAAGACCCGGGCCTTGCTGATGGTGTCCTGGGCAGACGTGGGCCACATTTGTGGCCAGGCTGTCTCCAGACCCACGACCTAGGCTTTGGTGCCCACCGTTGCGCCGTGACTGTTGGGGGGCAGATGGGAGAGGGGGGACTGGAGGAGGGTGGAAGTGACAGGTGTGCTGGGGTGGGGGCAGGCGCAAGGAAAGGGGCAGGTCAGAAGGAGATTTCTGTGGTTCTCCGAGGCTGGAGAGCTGGTGTGCAAGAGAGGGTGCAAGGAGAGGACAGAAATGGTCATGAGGGGTGACCTCCGTCCTGCCTATGTGTGGGCTGGATCGGGCCCCTGCCCCGCTGTACACCTTAGTTCCACCCAGAAAGCTCGTGGAGGATGGACAGCCATTCCTCTTGGCTTTGGGTTCCAAGGTGCCCCCTCCCGGCAAGGCTTGCTGGTGCTGGTTCAGTTCCAAAATCCCCTCCCGGCTCCAAGGGCCTGCCCTGTCCCACCCCTAGAGCCCGAGTTACCCTGTGGTCCCTCCACATCCTGCGGTCCTCCTTCCCGTCTCTTCTCTCTTCTCCCTCTGCTCTCTGGGGCCTGGTCCCCTGCTCTCTGCAGTTCCCTCCTCCTCTGCCACTCGATCTTATCCTCTCTTGAGACCCTGCCTTTTTCTGGGCTCAGAGCCCTGCCTGGCGAGGGCCCCAGGGCTGGGATGTGCCCAGGACATTGGAAGGTGTGGGATGCTGTATGAATACAGCCAGATGTGCTGGTGGCTTGATGGCTTTGTCTAAGGAGGCATTTATGGTCTCTGGCCGCTGGTTTTGGTCTGTCAAGGTTGCATGCGAGGGAGTCTGGGCTAGATGTCCAAGGCCAGGATTGGGTCTCCCCTCTGTACTTAGCCTTCTCCTCCCAGCTTGAATTTTCCCCTAAGTACAACGAGTGGGGTGTGGATTTGATGATCATTTCCAAGATTGCAGCTTTAAAAACAAACAAAAAAAGCAATAAAATCCTATCTAATCATTCTCCCTTCTCATCTTGGGTGCTAGAGGAATACATAATTATTTGGTTATTAGTCCAAGACAGTGGTTTTCAAATTGAACTCTTTAGATCCCAAAGGTACTGGACTGGGGAGGCACCTCTGGCAGCGGATGGGGTGCTGTGGGATGTGGAAGGGGGATGCCAGGTTAAATGGTTCTGGGCTTCTCATACCCACTTCAACCAGAGCATGATCATGGTGAAGAGAGCCCTTGGGCTTGCCTGCAGCTGGACCTCGGCTGGGTATTTATATTCCCTGAGCCTGCGCTTCTTCATTCATGCAATGAGGTTAAAAGAGATCTCCACCTCCTAAGCCTATTGGTGAGGATTAACTAATACAATGCGCCCTGAGAGCTTAGCAAGGTGCTGGTATGTAATACACACTCATGAGATGCTAGGCACTATTATCTTTCCTCTATTTTATGTATTAGACTTTTGGGTAAAATTTCTCTTGAAAACCAAGTTTTCTCAAGAATATTTGAAAACCACAGATCTAAAGCCAACTTAATTTATAAAGTTAACAGGCACTCATTCCAAATCCTGTAATGGAATCGGGCATTGAATTTTGGCTTGCCTGCTGTTTTGGGTTAACCCTGAGCCAACCCGCCATCCCTCTATGTGTAGGGGTAATAGAGGGATGTGCAATGTGGGAGCTGCCAGCTTTGGAGTAGCTGGGGCCCTCTCTGACCCCTGTGTGGAGACGCTGAGCTAGGGGTGCTGGGCGCCCTGGGGAAAGCAGACTTCCTGGTTCCGATTTGGGGGATGTGGGGATAGAGACCAGAGACACCGGTGGGTTGTGGCCCAGGTAACTAGAGGAGAAGGAAGTAGAGAGAGAAGCTGCCCTGGTCTGCTTGGCTCTTGGATGTAGCCCTGGTAGAGGCTGGGCAAGGGGTCAGGAGAGGCCTCCATCAGGCTGGTTCTTGGGAAGAAATGCTTATTAGCTCTTTTAGGGCAAGGCCAGGAGGCAGAAGCTGCCAGATGGCAAGGACAGCTCACAGCATGGTGGGGCTCTGCTGGCCACTGCAGGCTTTCCAGTGGGCACAGCTGAACAAAGCGTCACTGCTTCCTGTGGCGCAGGACAGACTTCTCAGGGTGGCCTGGGTGTGGAAGAAGAGGAGCTCAAAGGCAACTCCTGGCCCAACCATCTCTTTGTAGCTCATCCTCCTTCACTCCCTTGGATGGAGGACAGAAGAAGTCCTATTGGAAGATAAGAATAACCTGGGGGCCTGGCCCAGGATCTGGGGAGCCTGGCCTGCCATGTCTTGCTCCCGGAAGGAGTGTGGGGAGAATGGCGGAGCTGGGGGTCCAGGTGCATTTTCAGTACGATTGAAACTGGATCGCAAGTCAAGAAGCCATGGGTTCGAGTGTGGGCCCTACTGTTCTCCCCCTGGGTGACCCAGGCCAGCGATTCTGTTGCCTGTTCCAGGGGAGCACAGCAGTTCTTTGCAGGGGCCTGGTGAGAGGGTCACACCAGAAGGGCCTGGTGGAGCCACATCACAGGCTCCTTTCACTGTCTCACCTTCAGCCCAGCAGGGAGGCACACATTCCTCCTACCGCTGGGCAGCTGGAGACAAACCCCATTTCATCCGGGGCTTAACTGAAGAGGCAGTGATTGGCTTCAGCGCTGCAGGAATGGCAGAGATGTGAAGCTATATTATCCTTTATGGGCCTTGGAGGGCTTTTCGAGGCTAATTTTGACCATACTGTTTCTATCATCCTTGCTAACCTTAGAACCATGCTTCCACATGTGATTCTAAGAGATGCGGTTTCTACTTTTGGTGAAAGAGGGAGATTTCTACTTTCAGTGAAAGTCCCTTTAAATCAAACTAAAGTACTGGTCAATACAAGATTATTAGCATCATCGTTTGTGATCCAGGGAAGTTAAGTCTTTCTATCACCAAGAAGCAACGTCCCCCTCCCGGCCACCCCAGGCCTGGACTTCTAGGAGGAGGGCCGACTGCTCATTCCCCTCAGCCCCACTCACTGCCCCTGTTGGTGTCCCATTGTGCATCGTGACCTCTCTCCCCATGTCCCATCCTGTCACTGTGCGTCCGAATCTGATGCAGTCTCTGCTCTGTGTTTCCTCCTCGTGTCCCGCCTGGAACCTCCTGGCCCCTGCGCGGCTCCTCGGGTTTCTGCTGACAGCTGAGCTGTGTGGGGCCTGGCCCCTTCCCCATTCTGTGCCTGGCCTGGCTCCAGCCAGGGAGGGAGGACAACCAGGGGAGAGGGGAGGGGAGTGGAGGAAAGAGGGGAAGAAGGAAGAGAGAGAGGAGGAGGAGAGGAGAGGGAAGAGGAAAGGAGAAGAGAGGAAGAAAAGAGAGGGGAGGGGAGGAGAGGAGAGAAAAGAGGAAAAGAAGGAAGAGAGGAAGGAGGAGGAGTTGAGGAGAGGGAAGAGGAAGGGAGAGGAGAAGAGAGGAAGAAAAGAAGGAGGAGAGGGGAGGAGAGGAGAGGACAGGAGAAGAGAGGAGAGGAAGAGGACAAGAAGGAAGAGAGGAAGGAGGCAGAGGAGAGGAGAGGGAAGAGGAGGGGAAAGAAGAGTGGAAGAAAAGAGGGAGGAGGAGAGGAGAGGAGAGGAAGGAAGAGAAGAAGGAGGAGAGGGGAGGGCGAGGGAACGGAGTAAAAGAGAGAGGAGGGGAGGGGAGGGGAAGAGAAGAGAGGAAGAAAAGAGGAAGGAGGAGAGAGGGAAGGAGACAGGGGAAGAGAGGAAGAAAAGAGGAAGGAGGAGAGGAAGGAGAGGAGGGAGGAGAGGGGAAGGGAATCGGGGAGATGAGGGGCTGACTGCAGGCTGATGACTGTGGAAGCCACACCATCCAGCCCAGCTGGGGAAAATGCAGGGTCTGTGAGCATTTATGCCCCTGTGAGCACACGGGCATTGGAAGTGTCCAGTGAGCCACCCCATCCCTTCTGTGGAGGCCCCGGATGGAAGGCACAGGGCCTTGAGTTCAAAGGCCACTCCTGGCCCAACCATCACTTTGTAGCTCAGCCTCCTTCACTCCCTTGGATGGAGGAGGGAAGAAGTCCTATTGGAAGATGAGAATAACCTGGGGGCCTGGCCCAGGATTTTGGGGAGCTCACTGGATCTTGGAGTCAGAAACCCAGAATTAGACCTGAGACCCTCAAGGCATATCCAGTGCCTCCCATGGCAAAGGCCTGCCCTGTGGGCTCCTCGAGTCCCTTCTTTCCAGCAGGGAGAGGGGCCTCCTGGCCTCTCTGGTATAAGGGCATCTAGAATAGGATGAGCCTTTGGAGAGGGTCTGACTGTGGGTGCCTGGAGACCTGGACAGAGGAAAGAGCCTGAACGCAGGGCCTGGGTTCTAGCCTCAGCTCTGCTAGTGGCTTGCCGCGAGGCCTTGTGCAGGCCACTGCACCTCTCTGGGCCTCAGTTTCTCATCTGTGCAATGCAAGGGTCTGTCTTCACCTACCATCTTCTGTGAATGGGAGTCTTTAAGACTCCTGGCTTGGAGAGCTGAGGGAAGGAGAAGGTAATTTACATTTGTCCCCCTCTCCTTCTCTTGGTACCGTAGCCAATACAGGGGATGCTACAAATCCCCAAAATGCTAGTGTAAGCTGAATGGCAGGGCCAAAAGACTCAAGTTCTAGACTCAGCTCCACTTCTGGCTGAGCCTCAGTTTCTCCATCAGCATAAAGGGGTGGAATAGGCCAGCCACCAGGAGGTTGTGAATGCAAGCTGGATTGCAAAGGCTACTTAGAGGACTGGCTCCCATGCTTGGCCCTGCTTTGGCATCACCTGCAGATATTGTTTAAAATGGAGATGCTCAGGCCGCACCCCAGACCTAGTTATCAAACTCCTCAGAGGGGACCTGATTCTGTTTATTGTAACGAGTTTCCCAAGTGACTGTGACAGTCAATTGGGAATGAGGTCCTCCTAGCCGAGATGCACGGGGAGCCTAGGAGAAGACATTGGGCCTCACTTCCAGGCCTGAGCACCCTTTGTCCTTCAAGAGCATTGGATTCTGGAGGCCTCCAGTGACTGGCTTCCAGAGCCAGGATTGGCTTTTGCCATCAGAGTTAGGCAGGGTGGGTAGCCCTGGTCCCAGGGAGGCTTGGCCATGAGCTTGGCTGTTAGATCGCTAGACCCAGGCAGTGTGCATGAGGACTCAGAGCTTCAGGACGAGGACTGGCCCCGCCAGGTCAACTGTTGCTGGTGGCCTTGACTCCTTGACTCCTTGTCCCGATGCCAAGCCGACAAAGGACTACAGAGGATGACCCCGAGGCCCATCCTCCTCCCAAACCTCCCCTGTCGTTCCTCTGCTCCCTGCCGTTTTCACGCTGTGTCTTTTCCTGTCCCATCTCTTCTCCTTGTTTTTCCAGAAAAGAAAGTCCAGTTCCAGCGTTCAGTTAATGGTGAGTGTCTGCCGTCTCCTAACGCCGGTAAATGCTGGGCCTCGAACCCTTGCTCCTGCCTCCCTCCTGCAGGCTGCACTGGGAACCTGGGGCGGGGAGAGGGTGCTCAGGGCGTGCTTGGTACGTGTGCCTTGTGTGACAATATGTGTGTTGTGTGTGTGTGTTGTTTGCGTGTTTCTGTTGACACCTCCAACTCCACGGCCCAGACCAGCAGGCTGACAGCAGACCTGAGATCCTCCTCGGGTGTGAAGGTGGATCTGAACCCAGTCCTATGTCCAGACCTTGGCTTCTCGCTTCTCCCTGCCCCTCTGCTCTAGAATTCATCTCAGGCTTGGTTTGTGCCAATCGCGGCGAGGGTGGGGCTTGGTTTGGCCAAAGTAGTAGGTGCCACAGAGGCCCCTCTTGAGCTGGTGTAAGGCTACCAGGCCCGCCGGTGGCAGGGGAGCCACCAGCCCTGCCTCTGTCTAGGGTCCAGTGGTGGCATGGTGGCCCACCTCCCTCTTCTGGTTCCATCGCTGTCTCACTCAGTCGTGTGGTTTTTCTCCCCTCTGAAGAGCCCACCATCTCTCACACTGGGCCTCCCTCTCTCTCTCTTCCTCCCCTGCCAGTGTATGTTCCTCCCCACTCTGCGGCCGCCATGGTGTCTCTCTGCTCCTCCACACCCCTTCTTCACCCCCTCGAGCAGAAAGGACCCAGGACGCCCCTCAGTCCTTCCAGAAAGGCCAGGGTTCTCTTTGCAGCCATCCCTTTCCCCCACCCGGCCCCTGGCCACCTGCTCAGCTGGGCCCTCCCCGTCTTGAGGCTGGAGAATCTGACAGGGTTTTCAGGACAGCATCTGGAAGGCAGAGCCTGTGAGGCTCACAGAAACCAGCCGCGTCACCAGGCAGCCAGGGCCTGGCCATGCCTCGTCCCGCTCCCAGGCAGGCCTCACCATCTCCTGTATTCTCTTTGGCAGGAATCCTCAGAGAGCACCAACACCACCATCGAGGATGAAGACACCAAAGGTAGGGAGGGGCCTTCAGTGTCGGGACCCCTTAGACTTCTGGAACCAGCTCTGAGCAGACCTCTTTTTCCTGACAGCTCCCACGTGCCAACCTCATTTCTTGCTCATCTACAGAGAGCTTCGCTCTGGTGCCTTATAAACTGGGCACACTGGGAGGCATCATTCCCATGGAGGGCGGGGGTGGTACTGGAACTACTGCTGGTGTGTAGATAGGTTTTCTTATTTTATTTATTTTTATTTTATTTTTTTGAGATGACGTCTCGCTCTGTCGTCCAGGCTGGAGTGCAGTGGCACGATCTCGGCTCACTGCAACCTCTGCCTCCCAGGTTCAAGCGATCCTCCTGCCTCAGCCTCCCAAGTAGCTGGGATGACAGATGCCTGCCACCACACCTGGCTAATTTTTTGTATTTTTAGTAGAGATGGGGTTTCACCATGTTGGCCAGGCTGGTCTCCAACTGCTGACCCCAGGTGATCCTCCTGCCTCGGCCTCCCAAAGTGCTGGGATTACAGGCATGAGCCACTGCACCTGGCCAGTTTTCTTATGTTAGAGGATATATATTATATGTGTATTAGAGAAAAATTTAACATGTTCAAGTCATAAGTGTTTGGTAATGGTATACATGTTCCTTTTGAAGTAAGTGTTTTTGAGTTTTTTTGAAAAGTGAATTGATTTTAAAAACAGTAATAACTGTAAAGGAAGGGAGAGCAAAAATCCAGAAAGCTCCAGTGGCTGGAGTATGGGAAACACTGCCTAAGACCCACCAAAGATGCCGGCGCCACTGGAGCTAGTGGCCAGCAGTCCTCAAAAGCTCTCAGGTGGGGGAAGCAAAGCATCAGGTAATTGATTGGATTGTGAGTAAGGATAAAACAA
Organism: Homo sapiens; assembly: GCF_000001405.40. Classification (NCBI taxonomy): domain Eukaryota; kingdom Metazoa; phylum Chordata; class Mammalia; order Primates; family Hominidae; genus Homo; species Homo sapiens. Next base: position 150,237,829 of record NC_000005.10, on the reverse strand, counting down.
AAATAGTAATAAGGGCCGTCATTTATGGAATGCTTGCTGTGTGCTAGCCCCGGTCTCAGCACCTTATCTGGACTGACTTCCTGGAGTGTCACTATAGCCCATGAAGTAGGTGCTGCTGTGAACCTCATTCTACAGCTGAGGAAACAGAGGACAGAGAGGCCGGGTATGTTGGCCTGTACTCTGTCGTCCCGTGGCTCACAAGGATGTGGCTAGGGTTTGAACTCAGGCAGTCGGATTCTAGAGCTTGGCTGGTAACCGCCACTCTGAAGGCCTCGGTGGTGGGAAGTGCCCTTGGAGCTTGGAGGAAGGGGCAGGGATTGCTGACTTCTGCCCTGGGGACACCAAATCCTCCAAGTGTTAGCAGCCAGACCTCCTCCTTCCCCAGGACAGGGAGCTCAGTGGTTCACACACTCAGGTGTGTAGCAGAGATGCCTGGTGGTGGTGGTAGTGGCAGGGGGGGGTCTCTGAAATATAAAAAAAGGCCGTTGACCTCGAGGGAACTCAGCAGTACCAGTTTAGATATTTTGCCTTAGAAAACAGAGATGGGAAAAAGAGCATTGTATTACGTAGGAAACATTTTTGTAAAATTGTGATTCAGGCTTTAAGGCAGTTTTGACGCACCACATACCAAGGCTGCCTCCTGACGCTGCCAGGATGCCTGGAAGATGAGACCCGCCCCGTGTGTGTCCCTTCCTGGTCATTCCCAACCTGGGCGGTGGTGGGTACTCTATCACCACAACCTGGCCCTAGAGCAAATCCATCTTCTGTGATGGCACCAGGGACAACTTATAAAAATACATTATCTTGAACTACTCAGGAGGCTGAGGCAGGAGGATCGCTTGAGGCCAGGAGTTTAAGGCTGCAGTGACCTATGATGGTGTCTGTGAATAGCCACTACACTCCAGCCTGGGCAACATAGCAAGACCCTGTCTCTTAAAAAAAATGAATGAATGAACGAATGAGAAAATACACTATCTTGAAGAATTCCCTGGTAGGGTCAAGTCAGCATTCTAGTTTCACAAAAGTCCAGTGTTCTAACCACATTCCCAGCCCTGCCCTGTGAATTATGACCCCAGGGGCATGTGGCAGGCCAAGAAATGGTGCTTCTAAGCTGTTCCCCTTATTTGAGGCTAGCTGCCCAGTGATAAGAGTTGGGCCCTGGGATGTTGAGGAGACTGGATAGATATAGCCACATAATCCTGGCCTCAGAACAGGCAGGGACCGTGGAGGTAATCTGGCTCTGTCTTCTCCACTGGAGTCCATTTGCTGAATGACCTCAGACAACTTACTCAACCTCTCTGAGCTTCAGTTTCCTTCACAGTAAAGAGGTAATGAAAATAGTACCAACCTCAGAGGATTGCTGTGCAGATGAAATGAGAAGATGCATATGAAGTGCACATGTAGTGTTTGGCCCAGAGAAGCTATTTAATCAATCTCAATTTCTTTTTTCAAACTGTAGTTCGTGGTTGAATGACAGGAAGCCAGGTGACATTTTCTTGGAGCACCAATTTTACTCAAAGATTATTTTAAGACAAATTTAAATGTTAGAGAGAGAAATATTTGGAATACAATACCAAATTTGTATGCACTATTAATGTAAATTAGGAGCCATCAAGGACGTTTTTTCTCTTGGGGTAATGGCTTTGGGCTGCATCCCTGAGGTCTCACATTTGCCGTCATTATCCTCTGCTTTAGAGCGATCAGGATGGGGTAATTTGCAAAGTCTTGAATTTTGGCTCACTTTCCAGATTTTCCCCCTTTCCAGAGGGAAATTTGAGGCCTAGGGAGGAGAAAGGGCACATATGGCTTATTAATGGTAGGACTGGGACCCTGTTTCCTGCCTCAGTTTCCCCACATGTAAAAAACCCCAAAAGCCACGTCTGATGGAAGAAACGGTCAGCCAGGAGCTTCTCCCCGTGTTTGGCAGGAAAGAGGAGTCCTTGTGCCTCCCCCAGCCTCTCCCGGCCTCAGAGAAAATTTCCAGGGAACCGTTTTCTGGTGTTAATTTGTTAAGTCTTCTTACTAAGTGAGAATAACAGCTGGTGGGGTGGACTCTGACCTGACATTAAAGTTAATTAGAAATGTCATCCTCCAGGGAACATCGTCCCCTGAGGAGAGAAAGAGACATTAATATTTCAAAGCCCCTCTGGCTCACTGCACAGGCCTCTTGCCCTCCGAGCTGCCTGGGGCTCTGCTTCCTTCCCACTCCCCCATCCCTCCTGATTCGCTCCTTGAAAAATTAATTTCCTCTCCAACTAAAGAGCTACCTCTGCCTTGGGCAGAGACATTCTGGGAAATATCAGTCAGGAATGCTGATCCCGTTTCAGTCTTAGCATGCTGTATGATCTTGAGAGAGTGTCTTAACCTCTCTGGGGTTTGGGCTTTCCCATCTGTAGGGGAGCATTCCCGGATTGTCTGGGTGAACAGCTGGCAGATGAGAAAGGCCAGTGGTTGCTACTAAGCAGCTGCTGAATGAACACAGCAGTGGGGCTGCTGAGGGCATAGTAGAGGCCCAGAATCAGAGTGGACTTTCCAGATGTAAGAAGCACCAGGCCCCCAGATCTTCTGTCCCACAGAACAAAGCTAGGGAGATTCCTGCCCACTAGGCTTTATTGTTGGTAACTTGGTGTCCCAAGTAGCTGGAGACACAGCCAAGTCAGGCACTGTCTCAGGCTACATTAATAGAGGTATAATATCCAGAATTGGGGAGGGGATAGAGAGTGCTACCCCAGACATGATATTCTGCATTATTCAGGCCACACCTGATATTGTGTGCACGTACTCAGAGAGGTATCTAGACAGCTCCAGGACTCTCAAGGATTAAATGGCCAGCTTGAGTCAGTACCACAACCTGGAGGCCTTCAGCTCTGAGAAGAGAAGACTAGGCATAGAGGCTGGGGAAGCAGGTGTTCACTTCGGGGCCCCAGAAGGCAGAAAGAAGACAAGAACTGTATCTAGCGGGTTTTGGAAGGACAGATTTCAACTTGAAAGGAGAAGGAAGTGAAAATAGCCAGGGCAGTCCAACATTGCAGCCAGCTTCCGGGCAGGCCACAAGCCCTGGGTTCCAACCAGAGCTACACCCCCTCATATCAGGCTGCTGGGAAATATCCCTGCCCTGACTAGAGACTCCAGGATGTCCTCAGGAGGAAGTTCCAATTCAGAGATTCCCAGATGATAATAACCACACTCTCATTTCCCAAGAGCCAGGCACTGTGCTAACTTCTTTACATAATGCAGCATCCTTTACATAAGTGCTTTGATCTAAAGGACTCGGAACAGCAACTGGCTCTCTGTGAGGACCATGTACATGTTAGCTATTTCTATTGACATATTCTTAACTCAATCCTTAGAACAACTCTACAAGGTAAGTACTATTAGTATCTTCATTATACATATAGGGAAACTGAGGCACTGGAAGTTCCCTTGTCCAAGGGAACAGCTATTAAGTAAGTGGCATAGCCAGAATCCAAAGCCAGGGACTTTGGCTCCAGAATCCATGACCTCAGCCACTGTGCTAGACTCTCTGAGATGGCAGGGAGAAGCAGACCTCAGGAAACAGGCATTGAGCACAGGCTCCTGGAACGGTGAGCCAGAAGGGTCTTAAAGTCCATGCAGAGAAGGCAAGGAGAGTGACTCAGGTCTCACATCAGGAGCACGTGGGTTTGCTCTGGTTGTCACCCCTGATTCCATGTGGGAGTGGCAAGAAAGAGGTAGCTCTGGACTGGGCACAGTGGCTCACACCTGTAATCCCAGCACTTTGAGGCCAAGGCGGGCAGATCACCTGAGGCCAGGAGCTCGTGACCAGCCTGGCCAACATGGTGAAACCTCATCTCCACTACAAATACAAAAATTAGCTGGGCGTGGTGGTGCATGCCTGTAATCCCAGCTACTCAGGAGGCTGAGGCAGGAGAATCGCTTGAACCCACGAGGGGGAGGTTGCAGTGAGCTGTGATCACACCACTGCACTCCTGCCTGGACAATGCAGAGAGACCCCATCTCAAAAAAATGAAAAACAAAAAACAAACAAACAAAAACACAAACAAACAAAAGAGGTGACTGGCTGGGCTAGGCTTCTTCCCAAACTCAGTTTCCAGCTTCTGGGAAGGAGGGCACAGGTGATCAGGAAGCCAGGTTCTGGGTCTCCTAGGGACAGTGGCTACCAGGCAACTTGGGCAAGTCCAAGGGGCAGGATGAAGATAGCAGTCCAGACTCTGGTTTGGTCCCATTCACTCATTCATTCATTCACTCAACACGTATGTATTGAGTGCTGCCTCTGCCCCAGCCCCAGGAAAGTCCCCAGAGAGAGAGGTGCAGCAACACCTGTGTGACCCGGTGGCACTCATGGTCTAAAAATGGACTCATTCCCAGCCCAGGTGATTCTGACTGGAGCCAGGAGGGAGAAGGGAATTAGCTGTTCACAGTGGTGGCTGACGTTGAATGATCACTGCTACATCTACCATGTGCCAGGGGCGGTGCTGGGTGTAGTGTGGGAGAATGTGATGGGCTTTAGGGCTGCAAACTCTGATTAGGGTCCCAGCTCCACTGGAGCTAATTATTTAGCTTCTTTCACCTTCAGTTTGCTCATCTGTGACGTGGAAATAAAGTTGTGCTGTGAGGCTCTGGAACTTGGTAGACTAAGCACATAGCACATGGCCTGGTACACTTATTCATTCATTCAGTGATAAAGGCTTATGGGGCCAAGCCTGTTCCAGGCTCCAGGACGCAGTGAGCAAGGGATGTCACAGCCCAGCCCCCAAGAGCTCATCTATGAGCTGGGGCATAGATAAAGCATTCGGGCAAAACAATTGCGTGAGGTTAGTGTTAGGACAGACAGTGAGCTGGGGCCTCAGGGGCCTATGGAAAAGGCCCTGGGCGAGGAGCCAGGCTCTCCACCTGGTATGTGCCATGTCCTTGGGCAAATCACAACCCCCTCACTGGGCCTCAGTTTCCCTAAAGTTTGATAAGGAGGCTCTGGCCTCCAAGGGTTCTTCTAGCCTGGATGTTCTATGATTCTGTGTCCTCTGGGCCTGAGGTGTGCTCCTGTGTGGGGTGGTGTGGTGTGGGCAACTGGTGAGGACAGGGCTGGTGAGGGCCTCTGCTAGGCTTGGGCTCCCTCCCAGGCTTCCAGACTGAGAAATGCTGAGGCCAGGCCTGAGCTTGCAATCCTGGCAATGTGTTCATCTATTCACCTGAGACAACTCCAGTGGACCAATGAGCTGGCCAGGTTTAAAGCCAAGCTTAAGCCTGTGGAAGGAGGGAAAGGGGCCTGCCTCTGGGAGACGGAGCAAGGCTTCTGTTAGGCTCTGCCAGGAGCCAGGACACCTGGCTTCAAATTCCTCCATCACTGAGGCTCAGTCACCTTGTATGTGAATTGGGAGGAAGCTGACCTTGCCTACCTCCCAGGGTATTAGTGAAGAGCAGAGAGGCAACCCCTGGCAGGGGCCTAGGGAGGCAGGGCATGGTTGCACTTATGAGGTGCACCCACTATGTGCCAGGCTTTGGCCAATGCTTTGTGTACATCACATCACCCCACCCTCATAACAACCCTCGGAGAACACTATCATCTCCATTTCACAGACCTTCAAACCACCTTGTGGCCCGCAGTTGCACAGCTTGAGGACCTGGACAGTCATTTAAATAAACATCTGTCTAAGCTGAAGCTTGGATTCTGCTCACTATGTATTTGGCTTTGAATGAATGAGAGGTGGTGGTGTCCTCATTTTACAGATGGGAAAACTGAGGCTCAGAACATCACACATCTAATAAGACGGCCATCTAACTCCACCAGAAAGACCAGCTGTTTGTGGTGTTTCAGTGGCAGATAGGGGAGGGCCAGGTCTCAGCAAATGGGATTCATTATGCCTAGAAAGTTCTGGACAGCTCTGTGCCTAATTCCTATCGGCACCCAAATAGAGCAAGAAGCTCATCTAGGCTCAAGGGATGCGTATACCCTAAGATTTTTCTTAGTGGTGCTGGTTTTGGCCATAAGAAAGCCCCTGGCTCATGGCTATCAGTGACAGTGCCACAGTTGATCCTGTTTTGATTTACATGGCAAAGCAAAGGTGGTAGGAATAAGTATTTGGGAGCCAAGACCTGGATTTACATCAGGCGTAGATTCAGAATGTCCACCATGTATTAGAGGCAAAGACCGCCAACAGAGACACTGGCTCTGGCCTTTGTAGTTGAGGAACTTTCACACCTTTTTTTTTTTTTTTTGCCTTTCTGGGCCTCAGTTTCTTCTGTGAAATGGGGGTGATGATGCCTAGCCCCCAGCAGCAATGCGAGGATAAATGAGATCATCTGCATGAGGTCTTCAGGTCCCAGCACAGAGTCTGGCACATGATAAGGACTCAAGAAATGGTAGTTGGTGCTTCATTACCATCACTATTATTATTATTATTATTATTATTATTATTATTATTATTTCTGTGTCCCCTTCTGCCTTACAGTGCGGAAACAGGAAATTATAAAAGTGACAGAGCAGCTGATTGAAGCCATAAGCAATGGAGATTTTGAGTCCTACACGTGAGTCAGCTGGGCTCATTCTGCATGTCCTGCCTGGATTGTTGTTCAGGGGGTACCAATGGCTAACTTTGGGGGTCCTTGTCTCCGATCCTCATCCACTCACTTTGCATGTGCTGTGAATCGGGCTGAACTCATATTTCTATTTTGCATCCGGACTTGATGCTTCTATTGAGCTTTCTGTTCGCGACACTGCTCTATATGTCAGTCCTCCTCCTCCTCCCATCCTTCCTCCTCCTCACATCTTGTTCCCTGGGAGGAACTCCAACAAAACTCCCTTGCTTCCCCAAGGAAAGAGGGGGTGGACAGTATCACAGCATGGGCCTCCTCAGGAGATGAGCTGGGAAGGTGGGAAGGGAGGCACGTTCCCTTCATTCCTGCCCAGTAGGCCTGAGTGCTCACCCTAGACTCCCTTGGACCTCTGACCTCAGATGGGCAGGAGCAAGCAGGATCCACAGGGCACGTCCCTTCAGTGAGCAGGCATGAGCAGAAGTAATTCTAAGCAGAATCTGAACTCCTCTGAGAAATAAGGCAGCTTGCACAAAAATAACATAAAATGAGACATCACATACACACCTGGACTTGCCTTTGGAGGGGCAGCTGTGTGTGCATGGGCTGAGCCAGAGCACCCTGTGCTGTTCACTCACACCTTTCCTGGCCTGGCCCAGAAACAGACTTCACTTGGGCCCTCAGCTGGCCCCCGGGAGAGCAAATATTTTGGGCTTAGTCCTCAATATTTTGGCCAGTGCTGACAAGGCCTGGGCCTAGAGACCAGACATAAGCTTTTTGGAGGACAAAGACTGCCAGCCAAGGCAGAGTTATTTTTGCCTGTTGGGTTAAATTGAGTTGGGCATAACCTGGCTGGGGTTTGCTCCTTGGGCAGCCTGTTCCTGATTTCCAATGTGCCCAGAGCTGAAGTTTGCCTCTCAAAGGCTTGGCAGACCAGGTGCATTCTTTTTTTTTTCCCTTTTTTTTTTTTTTTTTTTTTTTGAGACGGAGTCTCACTCTGTCACCCAGACTATAGTGCAGTGGCACGATCTTGGCTCACTGCAACCTCCGTCTCCCGGGTTCAAGTGATTCTCCTGCCTCAGCCTCCTGAGTAGCTGGGATTACAGGTGCACGCCACCACGCCCAGCTAATTTTTGTATTTTTAGTAGAGACGGGGTTTCACCATGTTGGTCAGGCTGGTCTCGAACTCCTGGCCTCATGATCCACCCACCTCAGCCTCCCAAAGTGCTGGGATTACAGGCGTCAGCTACCGAGCCCGCCCGGCCTGCCAGGTGCATTCTAATTGTGGGAGAGTTTTCAGGAGCAGCAGGTGGCAAAGCCCCCTAGAAGGTCACTGGCTCCCTCTGGAAGAACAAGGGGCTTAGAAGATGCATGTGTGGAACTGAGGGTGATGTGTACATATGTGTATGCATGCACTTGTACACATGTGTGCACGTTTAAAACTGTGCACAAGGAGGGTGCGCAGGTGCGTGTGCATGTATATACCTGAGTGTTGCATAAAAGCATGGAAATAGGCTGTTAAGCTGGTCTTGCAACCAGTTCTAGAAAGAATGGACTTGGAATGTATCATGCCAGTGGCTCTGGAAGGACACAGCCAGGGAGTGAAGGAAAGAGAGGTGGCCCCTGTGGTCCCCAAGCTCCTCAGTGGCACTTCTGGGGGTCCTGGGGAACCCCTCCCACCTATGTGATGTCACCTCCTCTGACATCTGCAGCCTGCTCTAGGTTCTGACCCCTTGTCATGACCTCTGGGGTCCAGGATGCCCTGTGTAATCTTGAACATGTTCCTTCATCTCTCTGAGCCTCAGTTTCCCCATATGTACAATGGAGTTGGGGCAGATGGCCTCCAAGTCCCTTCACTCTAGGAGGCAGGAACACCCAGGTGCCTCCAGGGTTGGGGCTTCTTCAGTGGGGGCGCTCAGTCTCCCACATGTCCAGACCCCCACTCTTGGGGGATTCTGGAGCTGGAAGGGTCCTGGGCATCCCGTTTGGTCTGAGCACAGTCCCCCAGCCCCAGGCTTAAGCCATCTGGAGAATTTGGGGTCATGAGTAGAGAAGCAAGTTGTCTGGGGTCACCCAAACAGAAAGGACAGAGCAGGGACAGTGCACCCTGTGAATGCTTTCTCCAGCTCAGACGGTGCTGGGCCTGACACCTTCTCCTGGGTGTCTCCAATTCTACCCTGGGTTGGGAGCTTTGCTTGTCCTGGGACATTTCCTGCCCCTGGCTTCATTGCTATTGTCACAGGGGTCCATGTTATACCACAAAAGATCCCACAGACCTGGAGATGGGAAAGACAGCTTGTTCCCTTCCCCTGCCTGGCTGTCAGGATCTCCGAGAAGACTAAGACCTGGAAGGGAATAACAGCTGAAAATACACAGCCTCCGTCATGCCCTGTGCTTCTCCTCCCAGATATTACCTCATCTAATGCTATTTTTCTCATCTTACAGAAGAGGAAACTGAGGCTCACAGCCAAGGCTGCTGTTAACAATAGGGCACCTTTGTTCAAATTAGAAAACTCGCCCCTTCCAGGTATATACCTGGCTTGATGAGCAGAAGTCACTTTTATGTGAAGGAAAAGGCAGTGTCCCCCATCCCGACCCCACAGGAAGACAAATTAGAAAAAGCCCCCTCTGGATCCACTGCCCTGAACCAGGGAGTACAATTTGGAGAGTAGAGAGCAAGCTGAATTTCCTCCCCACCAGCACCTTTAGTGCACTGCACAGCCCTGTACACTATTCATGGTGCTCTTGCTTAAAGGGATTAAGCCACTTGCTTGGGGTCTCACAGCCATTGGCAGAGCCAGGGCCTGAACCCAGGCTTCCCGGATCTAGATGGCACCAACCAGTCAGTGATATCCCATACTTTATAACTTGCAAGCCCCTGGCCCCTTCCCATCTACTAACTTCAATGATCCTGTGAGGTAGGTGCAATCATTCCTATTTCACAGGCTCACCCTCCAAGGGTCCAATGAGAAGCCGCCCCAGTCCCTCTTCCCTCTGGCTTCTTTCCCCCAGGAAGATGTGCGACCCTGGCATGACAGCCTTCGAACCTGAGGCCCTGGGGAACCTGGTTGAGGGCCTGGACTTCCATCGATTCTATTTTGAAAACCGTGAGCAATTCCTTCTCTCTGTGGTGCCTGTTGTCTGCTCTCGTTCCATGTCCTGCTGGATGGCACAGCAGGGTGACGGGCAGGGCCCCAGGGGCGGCTCAGGAGCCAGCGAAGAGGAAGCTCCCGTGTGGACTGGGGTTGGTACCCTCTTGGTTCCCTCTCCTAACCCTGGCCCATCAACTACCAGCTGCCCCTCCTGTGGTTGAAGATGGGGCAGGCGAGGTCCCAGAGACCAGGGACACACAGGACAAGCCCTCCCAGGCCTCTCCTGCCCATGACCCTGGGAGGGGCCTGGGGAGGGCCTTGATTCCCATATTATAGATAAGGGAGGCTTCCCACTGACACACACACCCGAGTTACAGTCATCTTGATGCCTGGGGCCATCCCAGCTGCCCAGCTGGTCACAAGCTGGCTGGTGGGTTGTTACGCAAGTGCCCTCTGTGGGTGGGCAGTTTGGGAAAGAGGAGGACAGAGAGCTCACACTGCTGTGCCCCTGCCTGTTTGTCTAGGTCTCTGTCCTGCATGTCTGTCCTTCCTGGGCCTCTCCTTTGCAGGAGAGACCTTGGCAGCTTTGCAACCAGGAGCTTCAGGGGGTTGAGGCTGGGGCTGACCCAGGGTGCTTTCTGCCTGTGTCTGTCTTTCCCTAGGCCGGGGGTCAGATAGGGATGAACCAAAACGCACACAGGTTAGAATCATGCAGCTTAGGACAGGGAGGAAGGACCTAAGAAGTGGTATATTCAGGGTCCCCCAAATCAAGGGCGTGTACCACTGAGGCTACACAGTGATTTAGGGTGTATGTGGGCACCACTTAAAACAGCATGGGTTTGCACAGTGAGAGAGCTCTTTCCTTCTTAATTCTCTCTCAATACTCTGGCTCCATCAGGGGGAAAGACTCTGCTGGGTGCTAGCCTGTTTTCAACACCTCTCTGCCACTTTGTAATTTCCCTCTTTATCAAAGAGAAAGCAAATCTCAGGCTCAGATCTCTTTCAGGCAGGAGCATGGTGCAAGGATTATGTAACTTTCTTTCATTTTCACAGGCCTTATTATTAGAACTTTATTCATGATACTGATTGTTCATCAATGACTATGTCAATAAGTTTTCTTTTAAAATAAATCTATAGCCGGGCGCGGTGGCTCACGCATGTAATCCCAGCACTTTGGGAGGCTGAGGCGGGCAGATCACTTGAGGTCAGGAGTTTGAGACCAGCCTGGCCAATGTGGTGAAACCCCATCTCTACTAAAAATACAAAAATTAGATGGCCATGGTGGTGGGTGCCTGTAATCCCAGCTGCTCGGGAGGCTGAGGCTGCAGTGAGCCAAGATCGCACCACTGCAATCCAGCCTGGGCGACAGAGCAAGATTCAATCTCCACAAAAAAAACACAAAAAACAAAAAACCTATAGAAATTAGTAAAGTCAATCAATTCAGGAAAATCCCCCCCCCCCCTTTTTTTTTTTTGACTGAGTCTCACTCTTGCCCAGGCTGGAGTGCAGTGGCACGATCTTGGCTCACTGCAACCTCCGCCTCCTGGGTTCAAGCAATTCTCCTGCCTCAGCCTCCTGAGTAGCTGGGATTACAGGTGCCCGCCAACACACCCGGCTAATTTTTATATTTTTAGTGGAGACGGGGTTTCACCATGTTGACCAGGCTGGTCTCAAGCTCCAGACCTCAGGTGATCTGCCTGCCTCGGCCTCCCAAAGTGCTGGGATTACAGGTGTTAGCCACCAAGCCCACCCCAGGAAATACTTTAATGAAGTACGTACAGTGGCACTTGTGAATGGCAAAAATAACAAAGAAGGTACTTCAGTGACTGAAGTAGGATCTAGTCCAGCTCTTCATCATACAGAGGGGAAACTGAGACTCAGAGAGAAGTGACTTGTCTAAAGGAACCCAGGAAGCCGGTGGCAGAACCTAGACCTGACTCACCCCAGTGCCCTTTCCCTTCCCTGTAGCACCTGCTGTATCTGCACATTAGCAAACCCCACTGGGACTGACACTCCTACCCTGGCTTGCACCCTCTCTGACTGAACTTTGTAGAGTACAGAGGCCAAGGACACCCTCCAAAAAGTTGTGAAGAAGAAAACAACATCTTCCTTTAATAAATCAAATGAATTCTCCAAGGCTAACAAGGAAGATTGAATTCTCGGCCGGGTGCGGTGGCTCACGCCTGTAATCCCAGGACTTTGGGAGGTTGAGGTTGGGAGGATCACCTGAGGTCAGGAGTTCAAGACCAGTCTGGCCAACATGGTGAAACGCCATCTTTACTAAAAATACAAAAATTAGCCAGGTATGGTGGTGCACACCTGTAATCTCAGCTACTTGGGAGGCTGAGGTACGAGAATCACTTGAACCTGGGAGGCACAAGTTTCAGTAAGCTGAGATCATGCCACTGCACTCCAGCCTGGGCAACAGAGCAAGACTCCATCTAAAAAAAATAATAATAATAATAATAACAATTGAATTCTCATGCAAGGAGAGGTAGCTGGACCCCATATGTCCCTATCACCCTGGAGCTCCCTCACTGATCATGGTAGCCACCATCTTACAGTCTGTCCTCTGGGGGCACTGGTCCCCCAGTGTGAACTTACAATCCCCACAAAGCAGGGACCAGGCTAAGGCCCAACTGTAAAGGCTCAGCGATGGCAAAATTGAAATAATCACAGAGAGGAAGCCATGCAGCCCTTGGCCTGCCTCTATGCAGCGGGCCCCATCTTAGTGCTGGCCCCCAGACTCCAGGCTTAAACATCTGCTCACCTCCAAGGCTGAACCCACAAGGGCAGACCCAGAGTAAGTGCTCATTCCCGGCCAAGTTCCACCCTCCAGGGCCCTATTTTTTCCTGTCGGGGACTTGGTTCTCTCCCACCCTATGCACAGGGGTAGATATTGGAAGCCACCTATCTTTTCAAAAGACACCATGTCAGGTGGCTTTTCTTTACAAATGCCTCCTAGGACTCCAGCCCTTGCTGACTGCAGCAAGGCCCAGTGCCCCCAGCAATGCTAAGCTCTGTTTGTCCCTTCTGGGATTGTTCTAGATTGTTCTAATGCAGTCTCACTTGGAAACTGACTTTTTTTTTTTTAATTTTATCTATCCATTGTCTCTCTCTCTCTCTCTCACTTTCTCTCTCTCTCTCTCTCTCTCTCTCTCTCTCCCTACCTACCAGGTTATGAGACTGGCTATTTTTTTGTATTTTTTGTAGAGACTGGGTTTCACCTTTTTGCCCAGGCTGGTCTCAAACTCCTGGGCTCACGCAGTCCACCTGCCTCAGTCTCCTAAACTGTTGGAATTACAGGAGTGAGTCACTGCTCCCGGCCAAAACTGACTTTTAGATTCCACTGCGTTTTTTTCAGGAATTAGCCCAGCTTGGGACGAGTCAGATTGCTTCTCTGGACCTGAGTTTGCATATCTGTGGAATGGATATGTTGGTCTTGTATGCCTCCAGCCCTGAATGCTGTCAGGGACGCTTATAGAGCCCTTCTCAGATTCTATAGTTCGGCTGCTGGGTGACCTCTGACCTCTGAGGTCACTCCCAAGTCTATGACGCTGAAACCCTACATTCTGTATGTCTGAGAGCCCAAATTCAAAGTCTGTTATTCTATGGTGCCTAAGACTTGGTGATTTTAAGTCCTTATTCAAAGCCTGGGTGTAGCGTGCTTCTGATATTAGGGGATGGGTGTTATTGGATATTTTCTGCAATCCTGAAAAAAAAAGACATTTTACATTTTTCAGGAAATAAGTGGCTCACAAACCTGGCTTGGCACCAGGATCAAGTGGTAGGGAAGGAGAAGGGAGATTTTTAATATTAGAGATTCTTGAACTGGGCTCTCTAAGGGTGGGGTTGGGGAAGCTGTGTTTTAAGTCAGCACCTCACATGATTCAGACCTATATTCGGGCTACACAAAGGGAAGGGCTCCTCTCAAGCCCAAGATACAGATCACCACTGTCCAACCCCTCCCTGGGTCATTGTCTTTCTATGCTTTCATTTCCTATCTTGAGGAAAACATCGAGTTTCTAGAATTAATATAATAATAGTCCTGGAGATGCCTCATGTTTCATCTGGTGGAAGCTGGTGTCAGGGACTTTGTCAGCCCCATCATGATTCCAAGAGCTATGCATCTCTCCCTAACGCTGGAAAGTCCCATGACCTCACCCCATGACCACCAATACCATCCTTATCATTTCAAGGTTCTAAGATTCTACAATTTTCATATTCCTCCACGTTTCCACAATTCTGTATATCTACAGTAGAAGTAGATATACAGTAGAAGTAGATATACTTCAGACAGGCCCACGGGCCGTGTCTGAACTGTAGATATGTTTCACTTGGCTTGCATGATGTTTTAAATTTGAATTAGATGCCAATACTAAAAAATGAAGAGTTTTCATATAAAAATTCAGATTTCCAGATTCTCTTGAAAAACGAGGCACGTCAACACTGGTCTCACTCACATGGCAACCACCAGGGAAGCTGTGTGCAGGATGCCCTCTTTAGGTGGGACAAGACATTCTATTCGCCACAGTCCCCATCACTCCCTATCGCCTCCCTGACCCAGAGGCAAAGGGTCAGTTGTCATTTAGCATCTTATACCCAGCTCAGCCCCCGTTGTTTATGTGCCTGCCTGGTACCTGGGGGGATCCGGATTTGAGACTGTGCTCACAGCTCTTCTGGTTCTATGATCCTCTAGGCTTATTCCATGTGGCTAACGGTCATGATTCAAACATTCCATTTTCTCATGTTTGATGAATTCTGCATGTCTGAACTCCACTGTATCTAAACTAGGATGTGATGTCCCCATCATCTAGAAGTTCTACCTTGATCCCAGGTAGCTGAGTCCTGCCACACAGGCCCCTTCCCTGCAAATGAGTCAGGCAGGGCGCCTCCATTGAGAGGGCTGCTGGGAGTGGAGAAAGTGAAGAAAGTGAGACAGGAGGCCCCCGGTTGCATCTCCTCTGCCCCTCCCATCCCCTCCTCCAGTGTGGTCCCGGAACAGCAAGCCCGTGCACACCACCATCCTGAATCCCCACATCCACCTGATGGGCGACGAGTCAGCCTGCATCGCCTACATCCGCATCACGCAGTACCTGGACGCTGGCGGCATCCCACGCACCGCCCAGTCGGAGGAGACCCGTGTCTGGCACCGCCGGGATGGCAAATGGCAGATCGTCCACTTCCACAGATCTGGGGCGCCCTCCGTCCTGCCCCAGTAAGAATCCCTCCTTCCTGCCTCCCAGGGTAATGTAAAGGATGGGAGTGTTGCCCTGGAGGGGGTTACGTCGGGGAAGCTGCTGCCTTCAGCTCTGAAAGGCTGCAGAGTGGGGTGGGGAGACCCCAAGAAGGGGGCCAGGCCTGCAGGTCTGGGGGAAGAGCTGGGCAGGAGCCACCAGGGACCGCATGGACTCCATCTAAAGCGGCAGGGTGGGTGGGTTGCCCAAGCAGGAAACACCATGCCCTGAGAAGCACCCCGTGTGTGTCTTACAGCTGAGGGACCAGGCTGGGGTCGCTGCGTTGCTGTGCCGCAGAGATCCACTCTGTCCGTGGAGTGGAGCTGCTGGTTCTCCCAGGTGGATTTTGCTGGAATTCTCCCATGTCATCACCCCACCACCGTCACTTCTGTACCTGCATCAAGAAAACCTGCTTGTTCACAAAAGTCATCGCAACTTCAGAGCGAACGGCCACATCTCCCCACCTCTCACCCCCACCCTCTCCCCTGCCAGGCTGGGGCTTCCTCAGGCATGGGTGTCCACAGCACTGGCCCCCTCTCCCCAGCCTCAGCTGCTGTCCGCCTGATCTGTCTTGGGCTGTAGGCTAGAATGCCCGGGCTGGTGCCCACCAGGGGCTGGGGAGAAGGAGGGGTGGCATGATGAGGAAGGCAGCATCCGTCCGTCCCTCTCCCAGACCTCTCCTCTTCCAGTGTCCCCGGGGAAGGGCAGATGACACTCCCTTCCCCCTAAGCCAACCGCACTGAAGGAGTGGGGAGAAGAGCATACGCCAGGAGCCTCCTGCCTCAAAGTGCTCCCCTAAGTCTTCTTCCTCCTGTGCTGACCTCAGGGTGGTCTGACCCTTCCCTCGGTGTGGGGGATGTGGCCCTCTCAGGTGCCCCTACTTGCTTTCTGCTTCCTTCTGGTGAAGTCCACCTCCAACATTAACCTGCCCACCCCACCCCCGTCATCCCTGGAGAATTCCAGCTTTGTCGTATCTCAGAGAGGGAATCTAATTGTTTTTGGGGGGCAAAAGAAAGCAACGTTTAGGTATCACTTCTACTTGGACCGCATGCCTTTTTATAGCCAAATTTCTGTGTATTTCGTAAATGGATTTCGCGTTAATGGATATTTATGTAATAACTAGACTTCTCAGATTATTGTGAGAAGGGTCAGGTTGGAAGGGGTGTAGGAAGAGGGGTGAGGGGTAGTTTTTTTCTGTTCTAGTTTTTTTTTTTTTTTTTGTCATCTCTGAGGTGGACCTTGTCACCTGTGGTTATTGGGGCCAAGGTGGACTCAGCTCCGGGGAGAAGGGCCTCTCTGCCATTTCGGTCCCAAGGTGAGCTGACACAGGCGTTCCTTTTGGGACTGTGGAAGCATCAGATGCCAGCACTGACTCAGGAACAGCAAGTCAGGGCAGAGAGGAGGAGGGAGGCTGTCAGGATGGAAATACCTGGACTTTTCTTTGCTTCCCTCGCAAACTGGGGTCTTCTCTACCGAACTTCCCAGGATTTCATCTCACCATATCTGTGTGCCGCCCCCAGCACCCCCCACCCACCTCTGGGGGGCCCGTGAGCGTGTGTCTTCATTGCCTCTCTCCCCTTGGCGTCTGATGACCACAGCAAAGCACTGGGAATTTCTACTCTTCATGCCTCATCCTGCAGCCTCGGGTTCGCATTCTCTCTTTCTTTTCCTCTTTCCCTCTTTCCCTGGGATTGACTCTGAGTGGAATACCTTGGCACATCCACTAGGATCTACTGTCTGCACTGTTTTCTTTGCATGACTTTATACGCAGTAAGTATGTTGAAAACAAACAAAAAGAAGAAAACACTCAACAAAACCAATCTACATGTTTTGGACTAAAAAAAAAAATAGAGGTTGTATTCTCAGTGTCCGACTCGGAATTATGTTGCTGCCTCTCTGTGCTTTTGGCCTCTGTGTGGCCGTGTTTTGCCAGCATGAGATACTGTCCCCTCTGGAGGATTTTAGGGGAGGAAGAGCCACGTCCCCAGGGATTGGAGGAGGCTCCGGTACCCTCGACCCTCCTGGGTGTTGGTTGGAGCAGAACTGGTGAGGATGTTTGATCCGAGATTTTCTGAGCTCTCCCCAATCACCAGCTGTCTGCTGGGTTCTTTTCTCAAGTCCTGCTGCCCAGGCCCAGGTGAGACAGGCAACGCCAGGTCTGCAGGCCAGGAGAGATGCTGCCCAGGCCTCCTGGTTTCCAAGCTGGTCCATCACTGGCCTCTGTCCTTGGCAGAGACCTTGCTGCCCAGGCCCAGGGGCAGGCTCTTGGCCTGCCCCAGGCCCAGAGGGCTTCCCAGTAAGGCCCAGTGATCCCATTATCCCAGGGGCAAAACCACCTGTCCCCTTTTGAGCTGCCAGTTCCCTACAGCCATCCCCAGTCAAGGGTGAGGGTGTGGCCTTCACCAGGGGCTGCTGTAATTACCGAGCAAGGTCTGAGCTCTTCTTCAGCCTCAGTTCCCTCATTGGTTAAAAGGGTTCTTTGTTCCCATCCAGCCGATGAAGGAGCAAACGTCTGGCTATGTGAAGCCTAATTTACCTGCAGGAACTGGCAGGGATAGTCACTGGCTGGACTCCTGTTTACTTCTAGACCTGGTCAGGCTCCATCCCCTCCCCCACCTGCCCCTGATTCCCCTCGTCGGTGCCTGTCAACTGCTTTTCAGCAGTGGACTGCAGGGGAAAGAGCAGTGATTTGGGGTGAGTAGGCTTCAATTCCCAGCTCTGACCAGACTTGCTGTGTGACCTTGGGCAAGTTCCTTTCCCTCTTTGGAGCTTGGTTTCCCTGCCAGAGGAAACTGAGCTGGAGGAGCCTGAGGTCCTGCCTTTCATTGGCTGACACACCTCCTGTCCACTGTGTCACTCTCCAAGTGCCAGAGAAGTGGAGGCAGATCGCTACCCCAGGCTGAGATGGCCCCCACTGTGAAGGCCACGCCTGTGGGTGGGCAGCCACCTGGTGCCACCACAGGGCACCAGGGATGATCCTGATGTGGCAGGCAGGGGAGACTCACAGAAAAATCTGCCCAGAGCCTACCCTCACCAGACAAACTCTGTGCTCCTCCAAAACATCCTTTAGATGCAAAATAATAATAATAATAATAATAAATAAATAAATAAAAATCCAAACCCAAGTCAAAACCTTGGCTCCAGCATGAAAACACGTTTACAGGAAAGTGTTCTCCTGGGTTTGTGCCCACCATGGTGCGAATCCTGACCCAAGGCCTCCTGTCTCCCTTCAAAGGGAGACCCTTTTGGGGGATGAGTTTGCCAGACTCCCCGTGCTGGTTTCTTTGTTACTATTTGTTTGGGGTTTTGTTTTAGTTCTTTTTTTTTTTCTTTTCTTTTTTAAAAATATGTGGCTGTGAACTTGAATGAACACTGCTCAAACTTTCTGCTATTGGGGGGGGCGGGTGGGATGGGAAGAAGGGGCGTTTGTTTTATTCTTGGTGTTTTCAGTGCAATAAATAGCTACAAACTTCTGTGCACTCTGTGTGTCCCTGTCTTGGTCAAGCCCCTGAGCTGGGAGGTTTTTGTTAGTTTCCAGTTCCAGATCTGCCCCATGGCAAAATAAAAGTCCTGGTCTTCATTCTGATTGGACCAACTGTGGTCACATGCTCAAGGCTGAGCCAGTCACTGTGGGATTATGCCTGGACCACATGCCCCACCTGTAGAGCCAGGGATGGGGTCAGCTTTCTCCCAGGCACATGGGGGTACCCTCAACAAGAGCAAAGGGGTGGCTATGGGTTGCCTGAGCAGCCAAGAGCTAAAGCCTCTCTTGGGCCCTGGGGCAAGGTTCTTCTCCTCTGGGCCTCAGTTTCCCTGTACAATGTGGAGGTTATTCCACAAGTCCCCCACCCATTCTCTTCCCTCAGCCCAGCCTCACAGATGAGTGCTCAGGACTCACCATGCCAGAGAGTGCTTTAAAGAATGGGGAAGGGGAGGAAGGGTCTCTTTACCCATAAACATATGTCTGGACCTAGTGCCTG
This sequence comes from Homo sapiens, assembly GCF_000001405.40. NCBI lineage: Eukaryota > Metazoa > Chordata > Mammalia > Primates > Hominidae > Homo > Homo sapiens. The sequence continues at coordinate 150,218,989 of NC_000005.10, read as the reverse complement.
GGACACTTTGGTCCTTGGAGCCCGAGCTGCTGGCTTCTGGCAGGGCAGAGCCAAAGTGGTGATGCAGAGGCTTTGGCCACCTTCAGGCCACGGTAGAGTGGCCAACCTTCCCAGATACCTGTGTGAGATTTTCAGTGCTCAAAACAGGACAGCACCAGGCCAACCAGACAAGCTGGTCACCCATCCATTGCCCAGAGGCCTGGATGCCACGGGGCCAAGGAAAGGTGCCCATCGGAGCCCACAGTTCCCTCTAGACCATACTCCGGGTGCCTGGCACTCCAGAATCCCTGCACCAGCTGCCTTCCGGGTCTATCCTCACTGCTGGTGTGTGGAATGGCCAGGGGCAGTGTCTATAGGGAGTGTGCCCCTTGCACACAGGGGAGGACCTTCACAGTAAGAACACAGGCCAAGGCTGAGAAAAGCAAGAGAGGCTTGGGGGCTTCCATTTGCCACCTTTGCGGATGATGTTTTAAATTTGAATTAGATGCCAATAGTAAAAAATGAAGAGTTTTTTATTATTGCGGACATCACCGATGTCCTCAAGGGTTTAGTGGCAGGCGTCCTCCCAGCCCTGCCTTCACTTGCCCCAGTGGCTCCTGCCTGGCCCCTGCAGAAAGCTTTGAGGGCTTGGGTGGTCATTGTGTCCCTTCACCAGCAGGTGGCAGCACAGGAGCAGGTTTCAGGCAGTCCTTGGCCCTAGTACGTCTACCATGCCCTGTGAGATATCCTTTAACTCTCAAAAAGTACCGACTCCACTTAAAACACTATTATTATCTCACAGGAGAATGATGCTCTACAGTTCACAAAGTGCTTTCACAACACCTCTTGTCCTAGTTACAACAGTCCTATTTTGAAGATGAAAATGATGAGACTCAAAGGCAAAGAGACTTCTTGCAAGACTCTGACCAGTGCTCACCCCAGCCTTCTAACTCAGAGCACAGTGCTCTGTTCCCTCCAGGGGCCTCCCCTGCCCTGGTCGGTGCTGCCCTGTCCCTGGTCTCTGGACAGCCAGCGAGGAGTGACTGGGATTCTTAGGACCTCCTCCCCTTTTGACACTCTGTCCCCTTCCAGCTACTGTCTTCTCTCTCGGTTGTCTACACCCACAGTCTCCATACTCCAAAGGGCACTGCAGAGGGCCATTTCCCTTGCATTTTCCCACTGAGCGCACTGTGACACCTTCTCACCCTTCAGGACATGGCTCCAGCATCTTCTCTGGGAAGTTCCCTCACCCTCCCCAGCCTCCCCCGTCCCTGGGCTAGGTCCCTCCATGGGCTTCCACAATCTGCTCCACCTTCCTCACCACAGATCTCTGGTTTGAAGTCACCTAAGCAAGTTTCTGCAGAACTGTGTGCTCCTTGAAGGCAGGACAGCATCTTGTCCGTGCTCCGGATGTACGTGGCAGATACTGTCATTCTTGCATAGAGAAGACCCCTAGCAGATGTGCCCCTGGAATGAAGGAGGAGTGGAGGCTGTGTGGGCATGAGTATTCCACCCACCCAGAAATAACAACGGTTAACAGTGGGAACTGACTGAGTGCCAGGCACGCCCCACCTCTTTTATAGGTGCTCTCTCAATCTTCAGCATACCCCTCCACTGAGGGCACTACTATTCTCTTTATTCCGTTAATAAGAAGGTGCCCAGAGGAAAGGAACCCACCCAAGATGGCCCAGGGCACGAGGGAGGGAGGTGAGATTGAGGCTCTCAGCTGCTGTGAACACCTGCTTCCCACACCTGCTTCCCACACCTGCTTCCCTGGGGCATGCTGTGGCTGGGCTGGGCTCCAAGGAGGGCTCAGTGATAAGCTAGACCTGTCTCATGACTTCTGTCCCCCAAGAATCTCTGATGCCATTCCAGACAGTGAGAGACATGCAAAGAGCAAGAACTCAAGGAAGGCTGGGATGGGGGCTGGATCTGGAGGTGCAAAGTGTGCAGGAGCCCAGAGGAAGGAGAAGGAGAGATGGTGACTGGGCTGGATAAAACTTCGTGGGGTGCTTGATGGGATGGAGGCAGGGAGAGTGTGGAGGCCAGAGCAAAGGCTGGGAGCCCAGAACTGTGGCGGCAGGGTGAGCAGAACAGGCTTGGGAGGAGGCCATGGGGGCCGGAGGTGTCTAAGGGCTGAGTGAGCCCCGAATCTGCCATGATGTGGTGCCTTCTCAGGGCATGGGTTGTGCTAAATCTTTCAGGAAACATCCCCTGGCAGGTGCTGGGGGGTGTGCATAGGGCAGGGTGGGGCAGGTCCAGTCCCGTGGAAATGCCCTCTCCTTGTCCTTCCTCCTGGGACCAGCCCTGCCCTCCCTTCTCCACCCAGGGCCACCAAAGTCTCAGAGGCCACTTCCCTCAGGACGCCCTGGCCCAGCCATTCCTTCCCAGACCCAGGGCCTCAACTGGAGGTGGAGGGAGCTGGAGGGGGATGACTCCTTCCTTCCAGGAGAAAAGGGAGGACTGTCAGCATCCTCTCCCAAAGTGACCTTGGAGGAGTCACATCCCCTCTCTGGGCCTTCGTTTCCTCATATTACAATGACACTGAACCTGTGGGCCCCATATGTGAGAACTGAGCTGGCTGCTGCAGATTCACCAGGGAGTTTGCTAAACACACAGATGTTTTGGGCCCCACCCTCACAGAATAAGAGCCATTCTTCTGGGCAGGGGTCCAGGCAGCTGTAGTTTTAGTAAAAGCCCAGGTTTGGGAATTTGCATGGAGCATCCCTTCCCCCTCCCCGCATTGTCCCCACCCCGTTTCCACAGTCACAATGGCAGCCTGAAGATGCAGTTATCAGGGAGCCCCACCCCAGGCTTCCCACTTCCCTGTCCTCCCCTGACTCAGCTAGATCAATATTGACCATAGGCCCCTCCCCTGCCTCTAAGTCCTACCACCCTAAGCCCCAAAGCTCTCTGAGACCCTGACCTCGGATCAGCAGAATCAAGGTCAAGCCAGGCTTGGGACTGTGATGATTTTATTGCTGTGCCCACGCTCACCCTGTATCCCCCTACTCCTAGTGATTGGGCAGGGCATTTGGCTCACTGGAAAAACCTTCAGGGCTCTGAATCCTTAAACTCATTCTGCAAGAGAACTGAGACTTCCTTCCTACTAGGCAGAGCCAATCCCAATCCATCTCCGAAGAGGGGTGCTGCTCCCCTCCCTAGCTCCCGTGGCATGGTCCCCAGCAGAAGGCTGCATGGAGTGGGTGGGAGCAGAGAGCTCCCTTTTCCTCACCTCCCTCCACCAAGGCACCTCTGCAGAGCCCTCTGTCCTTGTTCAACCCACTTGTTTTATAGATGGGGACACTGAGGCTGGGTCCTCAGGGCACACAGATGGTGCTGGCAAGCCTGGGCCTCCAGTTTAGCCTGTCCCTGGCTCCAGGCACACCAACTCCCAGCCTCTTTCTCCCCAGGCTGGTTGGAGGTGGGAGCTGAGCCTCAGTTTCCTTATCTGTACAAGGGAGAGCTGGCTAATGAGATGCATCCCATCTAGAGGGTTCCTGCATGCCACATTTTGTGCTAAGCACTTTGATCACATTTTAAAAATATGTATTGAGCATCTAATTTATCTCATTTAATCCCCTGCCAAGGGAAAGCTATTCTCCCCTTTCACATCTGAGAACACCGGGGTTCAGAGAGGTGAAGCAGCAGATTCAGAGGGGCCATGGAGCCAGGGTTCCACTCTGACCAGCAGATGCCTAAAGCCTCCTTGGCTCCTACTGCCCACAGTTTTCTTTTCTTTTTAGAGAAGGTTCTTAGCCTGTCACTCAAGAGATCCTCCCAGCTGGGTAAGGTGGCTTAAACCTGTAATCCTAACACTTTGGAGGCTGAGACAGGAAGATTGCTTGAGCCCAGGAGTTCCAGACCAGCCTGGACAACAAAGTGAGACCCTGTCTCTACAGAAAAAAAAAAAAAAAATTGCTGGCGTGGTGGTGTACACCTGTGATCCTAGCTAGTAGGGAGGCTGAGGTGGGAGGATCGCTTGAGCCTGGGAGGTCAAGGCTGCAGTGAGCTGTGATTGTGCCATTGCACTCCGGCCTGGCTGATAGAAGGAGAACCTGTCTCAAAAAAACTCCACAAAACAACAACAACAAAAGCAATCCTCCCACCTCAGCCTCCTGAGTAGCTGAGACTACAGGCACAAACCACTAAGCCTGGCTTCTAAAAAATGTAGAGATGAGGTCTTGGTACATCGCCCAAGCTAGTCTCGAACTCTTGGCCTCAAGCGGTCCTATGGCCTCTGCCTCCTGAGCAGCTGGGATTACAGGCACCAGCCACTGAACCTGGCTCCCTGGCTGCAATTTTCTAGGGTTGCTGCTCACAGAGCCTATGGACTTGAGCAGGAAAAGGCTTTCTTTCCCAAAACAAAAAGTGATTCTGAATGGGGGTGCTGAGAAAAGGCCTCCCTGTGGCCAGAGGGGGCGGGCTGCTGCTCTGTCCTGGGGGAGAAGGCCAAGGCAGCAGGAAGTCAGGCGGAGACAGAGCAGGGGGGACTGTTGGCCAAGGATCCGCAGACGGGCAGCCAGCCCTGGATGCCCTTCCAGGGCAGGACCAGCTTCAGCGAGGACTCAGGCCCCAGAGGGAGTGGGCTGGAGCTCAAAGAACCAAACTTTCCATGAGCCACCAGCAAAAAATGAGTCTGGAGGAGCCTGTCTACCGCAGACCCTGGGGCTCAGCAACTAAGGGTCACGTGGGATTCTGAGGGGCCTGCAACTGTCTTAACTCTTTGCTGGATATCCCTAGAGCCACCCAAGAACTGTGTTCAGTTTGATGCTTCATGGTGCAAAGCTGTGAACCAGCCTTGTGGAGTCACTGGGGCGACTGAGAGATGAGGAGAGTCCAGTCTCTGTCCTGGAGGAGTTGGTAGTGGGACAGAGATGGTAGACACAAGTGTGTTCCTCCAATCAATAAATGTGTATCACATGCCCACCAAGCCAATGGGTGATGCTGCTACGTGGTAGGAGCTGTCATTGCCCACATTTTACAGGTAAAAGAATGAGAGCTTAGAGAGGTTAAGTGACTTCCCCAAGACCACACAGCCAGGGAGGAAATAAATCCAGATCAGTGTGGCTGAGCAGCCTGAGGCCTCTGCACCATGCCCTGCTGTGGCCCCAAAGCACTCTGGGGTCCAAGGAGAGTCTTCACTATGTGGAAACAAAATGCACTGTCTCAAAAGGATGTGAGTGCCCTGGGCAGGCAGGGCTGGGCTGTCAGGACTCACCAGATGTCGGGCTGAGTCAGACCCCCTGAAGATTCTAGGCGTCCACATCTGGTTAGGGAATTGAGGAAGGCTTACAGGGGAGGGTATATTTAGGAGGGACTTAAAGGATGGCTAGGATCCCAACGGGTGGGCGGGAAGACACTGGATCAAGGCGGAAGGCCCTGCCTAAGCCAAGGTTGGAAGGCAGGACAGCCGGGACCTGCTCAGGAGCATAAGCTGGGCTGGGGTGATGGACAGGAACACAGGGCTCAGGGCCCACTGAAGACCAAACACTCAGGTAACCAGTGTGACCCCTGGAGCCTGTTGACCCTCACTTGGCCTCGGGAATATGGCTGACCTAATGGTGTGGGTAGGAGCCCCTGCCCCTCCACTGCCTTCCCTCCTTCCCCGCCACAGAGACCACACGTTGGCAGTGGCTGTGTATAGCCAGGCTTCTCATCTCAGCATTTCCTGGTGCCCAAGGGCACCCTCTAACAAGCCCCAGAACAGGAATGAAGGGCCCCGGGGCAGCCTACCCCACACTCCAGCCAGGCACGTACGATGCCTCCCAAGGCTCCACACCAGCCTCCCAAGTTCAGGGGTCCATGGACACACAGGTCAGATGAGACCGGACATTAGAGGACTGAGTGAGGGTGGAGAGCCCTGGGGTCCGGCCTCAGCTCCAGAACATTCTCCCCATGGGACCTGGGTAAACCCTCTAGGCTGCTCATCCCTTGAGACTGCAGAACAGTCAGCCTGCAGAGAGGCTGACAGGAGGCCCTAACTGAGCTGGGCTTACAACTTTTTTTTTTTTTTTTGAGATGGAGTCTCTCTCTGTCCCCCAGGCTGGAGTGCAGTGGCATGATCTCGGCTCACTGCAACCTCTGCCTCCTGGGTTCAAGCGATTCTCCTGCCTCAGCCTCCAGAGTAGCTGGGACTACAGGCACGAGCCACCGTGCCCAGCTAATTTTTTGTATTTTTAGTAGATGGGGTTTCACCGTGTTAGCCAGGATGGTCTCGATCTCCTGACCTCGTGATCTGCCCGCCTTGGCCTCCCAAAGTGCTGGGATTACAAGCGTGAGCCACCCCGCCCGGGCTCATGCTTACAACTTTTAAATCAGTCATCCACATTGCACATTGGGAAATTTCTCATAAAAATCCAGATTTCCAGCTGCCCTTAAAAAGCCCGGAGATCTGGCAGCCTGGGCCCACACTTCTGAGAGGTGGCCTCCCTCTTAAGATAGGCGTGCTTTCTTCTCTAGTTCACCACAGTCCCTACCACTCCCTCTTGCCTCTCCAGCACTCACGGAGGGTCAGTTGCCACATATTCTCCCGCTCATACCAACAGCTTTCCTCACCCAGGTTCCTGGCTGGCCCTGTAGGATGTGAGTTTGCTGCCGGGTAGGACATTCGAGGTTTGCAGGGTGGGATCCTACTCCAGACAGGGCTGATGTTTTCTCTGAGCTGCCTGCTATGCTGTCGTGGGTTCCCCCAGCTGGAGCTGCCTGTTCCCCAGTCAGTTCCCACTGTAATCAGGGCCAGGCTGGGGGCTGTTCTGAGCCAGGGAGACCTAAAGTCAATACAGGGATCAGGACCGGAGCAGTTGGGAGATGTTGCCGGCGACGGAGGGAGGAGAAGGTAGAGCGGCAGGAAAAGCTGTCTGAGAGTAGAGGAAATGGAAAAAGCAGGAGAAACTGGAAGACTGGGCCAGGGAGGGCAGGACAGGGACCGCAGGCCCGGTGGCAGGAGTGGGCAGGGGTTGGGGAGGCAGGAGGAAGTGAAGCTGGTGGGACCCATGGACTCCTACAACCCTCCAATCTCACACTTGGAATCTGAGGAGAAAGGAAGCCTAGACTCCCAAGATGCTCCTTTCCTGACTCCCAGGACACCTGGCTGCAGCCGAGAGGCTGGTGAGGAATATTCGAAAGTCCATGGCCCCGTGTCCAGGCAGAGAGCACCTCCTCCCCAGACAGGGCATGCTGAGAAGGCTGAGTACCAGGGCGCTGCCAGCAGGGCTGGAGCCTGCCCCGTGGGAAGAAGCACCTGAATTCTGAAGACCATTCTCACACGCTTTGCAAATTAGCAAATTCATCTCTTTCCCCTCACCCAGAGCCCCAAACAAAGAGGAGTGGGAGGGGGGCCTGGCCCTTTGTTAGGGGGAATTTATTAATATCTGAAATATGCAGCCGCCCTTCCTTTCCACCCCCAATCAAAGCCTTTGCAAACACCTGGGCCTCGCATTTGAAAGGCCCTGGGGCTCTTTTATATGACAAGGCCCTGCCAGGAGGGGGTGGGTGGAACCCAGAGATTCTTCCGGCCTGGGAAACTCTTGGCTCCTCCTAGCCCTGGTCTTCAGCTCCAGCCTTCACCTGCAGGCAGGGCTGAGGAGGAGTGGGAGAGGGAAGGAGGCAGCGGGCTCATGGGCTCCGCTTTGCTGGCCCCTGCTGCCCCAGGCTCTGCCCGGCTTGGCTGGGTAACCTTGAGCAAGTCTCTTTCCCTCCGTGGGCCTCGGTTTGTCTGTCTGTATAACAGGGAACTAAGTAGTCTGTAAGGGCCTGGAGTTGTCTTCCTTTCTGAGCCCCACCCACCACCTACTGCCACAGGGAAATGTCAGACCCAGGGCAGAAGCCAGGAGAGCCGGGGAAGGAGGGAGCAGAGCCTGTTTCCTCCCCTGTCCAGTGGGAGCTGGGGAGCCCTGTGCTGCCCACCTCACGGCTCTCAGCAGTAAGGAGACGGGGTAAGGAGCGTGACCTCATTTGATATTTATTAACAATGAACCAATAGAACACAAGGGGTTGGGGGGACGCAGCGAGAGACAGGCAGAGAGGCTGGCCACAGGGAGGCCTGTTGCATGAGGGAACCCTGCCCCACGGGAGAATGCTGTGTGCATGAGCCATGCTGAGGCATTTCTGCACCCCACTCTCCTCTTTGAGGGACCCACAGTACCAAGGGCTACCCTCTGCCCTCTGCGTCTACCCCCACACCGGGCCCGGGCCCATGTCCTGGAACAAGGTGGGTGGCCTCAGGACCAGCCAGCCATGTGTATGGGCCACCTCCTAGTCCCATGGTTGCCCTGTCACCAACAATGAAGGCCAGCTTCCCAGCAGCTCCTGGAACTGGAAGAGACACTGAAGGCCACCAGGACAAGGGAGATGGGAAGAGAGGGGCCCTGGGCCCTCACAGTGACCCTTCCTACCTCCCCAGCTTTTGCGGCTTGGGGTCCAGTGGGTGAAGGGGTGGTCTTTGTCTGAAGTGCTGGGGCCTCCTTTCCCCACCCGCAGCCCCAGCACCCTGGCTCAGGCCACCGGCAGCTCTTTCCCACTTTGCACAGGCCTCCCCGCTCCACCCTGTCCCGTCCGATCCGCTCTGCACAGATCTGGAATGATACTCCTCATCATGCAAATCCCCTGCCCACCCCATCATCCCTGGCTCCCCCTCTGTTAGTTTTCCTTCTGTCTTGAACCCTCCTGTAACCTGGTAAAACTAGTGTCTCCAACCCTCTTGGTCTCTGCCCAGGCAGCTCAGCATCCTCTGGCCCAGAGCTCCTCCCCACCCTGCCCTCTTCTTCCTCTCTCTGCAAACCTTCCCCATCCTCCAGGGCCCTCAGCTCCCACCTCCTTCAGGAGTCCTGCATACAGGAGCCCCCAGGGATCTTTCTCCCCACCTAACTCATTGACCTTTGATCCCCAGGGCCTCGGAGCCTCAAGAGCCTCTGTAGCCCTGACCTTCCCTGCCCAACTCAAGATTCTGGTTGTGCTAAGGTGTGTGGGGACAGGCTCCCCCCAAAAAGGGAGGGGTGTAGGCCCTGAATAGAGATGAGAAGGTGGTGCCGGCTGCCCCATGGGAAAGGGAGCTGGCTGGTCAGGAGGCGTGGGTTCAAGTCCCCTCTGCCATGCGACCTGGGGCAAGTCCCTCCCCTCCTGGCCTTAATATGTCCATCCGCAAAGTAGGGCTGAGTTGGATCATTCTCAGCTTTGAGTGGGTCTGAGTATGCCTGTGTGTGTGTGTAGGGGGTTGTCAGAGGTTTCAGGAGAGGCAGAGGCTGCAGAAGGGACCCCCACTGGGGGACTGGCATCCCTATGGCAGGCCCCCCCATAGCCTCTCAGAATCCCAGAGGGCACAGCTGACCTTTGCAGGCTTCTAAGAAGGGACTGTGAGGTCCCGGGCAGGGCCTTCTGCCCGCCTGCCTCCTGCCTCACATCATCGACTCCTCCTCCTCTGCAATCTCACGGTCCACCTCGATGGCCGTGTTCTCGAAGCTGGTGATGCCCCCGTACTTGCGCATGTGCACCATCAGTGGCTTTGGTGACTGGCTCCCAGCCAGCGTGGCCACATACATGCCCGTCCGGTTCTCCTCCAGCGATGGTCCCCAGTCCATGGCCGGCCGGCTGGCCTGTTGGAGCCGCTGCAGCAAAGCAACGAGAGCAGTGAAAACAGGAAACAGGCAGCGCTGGTGGAGGGTTCACTGTGGCCAGACACCCAGCAAACACCTGACCACATCACTGGGGGAGTCCTGGCCACAGCCCCCTGGCGGGGAAGTGGGGGGCACTATGACTTCCCCAGGGGAGGGATCCACCTGCCTGGGTGAGAATCCTGTTCTACCACTTGCAAGCTGGATGGCTCTTGGCAATGCCGCTCGGCTCTGGGTGCTCTGCTTCCTGGTCTGTAATTCGGGAATCCCAGTCCTGTCACAGGGTTGTTGTGAAGGCACTGAGATGACGCACTTAGCAGGGTGCTGGGAACAGGGTAAGGCCTGGGAAGTGGCGGCTGTTGCTATAATTACGCGGCGGGCCCCTCCTCAGAGTGTCTGAATGCCAATCCGGGAGCCTTCCCCTAAATGCTGAATCTTAAGGAGCTGGGGGCTTTTGGAAAAGAGCCATGAACCGGGAGAACTGCGGTGGGCTTGCAGCTGGCTTTCCCGGTTTCTTCCAGCCCCGACCTGCCTCCTTCTGCCTCTGACCTTTCCCTTGTAGAGCCCCAGTTTCCATGGACGGAGTCGGGGTGACTAAGATAATGACTAAGCCTGGAGATTCCAGAGTTCCTTCTTCCTCAACCACATTCCCAAATCCCTCTGCCTGTCATGCCAGGGAGAAGAGGGAGCCCCTGTGTCCTTAAAGAAAGGAGGCAATTAACATTTGGGCAGCCCACTGGGCAGGTTCCGAGGGAGATACCATGTGTGATGCCTTTAGCCGGGGTCTCCCACAGCTCGGTACTCACAGCACAGTGATACTTAGGAAGATGTGTTGAACGCATGCTACCCCACTGCTCAGAAGCCTGCCAATGGCTGCACATCTCACTGGAAATGAAATCCAAAGTGTGCACCAGGGCCTCCAGCTCCTGGCCCCTGCCTACCTCCCTGATATCAGCTCCACCAGTTCTCTCCACCCCCTCTGCTCCAGCCGCAGCACTGGCCTCCATGCTGTTCTTAAACATGCCAGCCCCCAGCCTCAGGGCCTTTGCACGTGTTGCCTTTCTGCCTGGAATGCTCTTACCCTAGATACCTACATGGATCACCCTGTCCGGTTAGTCAGGTGCCACCTCCTCAGAGAGGTCTTCTCTGACCATCCTGGCCAAAGTACCACTCTCCATTTATTCCTGTACTCCTTTTTTTTTTAAGTGCAGAACTTACCTTTACATATTTCTTTATTGCCTGTCCCCCACAATAAAATACAAGCTCCCTGAGAACAAGGACTTAGGTTTGTTTCCAGCTGAAAACGGGGGTGCTCAGACCAGTTTCTTAACCTGAGTGCTCCTGACATTTCGGTCTAGAGGATTCTGTGTTATGGGGGCTGTCCTGCGCATGGAAGGTTGTTTAGCAGCATCTCTGAACTCTGCCCACTAGATGACAGGAGCACCCCTCCTTGTATCCCTCTCCCCTCCACGACAACCAACAATGTCTCCAGACATTGCCAAATGTCCCCCAAGGGCAAAATCACCCCCTGTGAGAACCCCTGGCCTAAAATTGAGCACCCAGTGCACTCCAGCTCTGTGCTAAGCATTGGCTAATTTAATCTTTACAGTGTCCTAATGAGAGGGGTATTAGTACTTTTACCATCCGCCCGCACTGATATTATCTGAGTATTAAAGCTCAGAGAGATCAGTTAAGTTGGCCAAGGTCACACAGGTGGGAAGTGGTGGCGTTGGGATTTGAACCCGTCCTGACTCCATCCTGAACCTTTAAAATATTTTGCTTTTCTGCCTTTCACAATGCAGACTATATTGATAAACTTCTTTTCTTCTCATAACAGGCCTAAAAGTAGGTATCACTCTCTCCATTTTAAAGACAAAGACACTTAATCCCAGCACTTTGGGAGGCCGAAGTGCGCGGATCACTTGAGGCCAGGAGTTTAAGACCAGCCTGGTCCTGTTTCTACTAAAAATACAGAAATTAGCTGGACGTGGTGGCAGGTGCTTGTCATCCCAGCTACTTGGGAGGCTGAGGCAGGAGAATCACTTGAACCCGGGAGGCGGAGGTTGCAGTGAGCCCAGATGGCGTCACTGCACCCCAGCCTGGGTGACAAAGTGAAACTCTGTCTCAAAACACAAACAAAAAAAGACAAAAAAACCTGCCTATTGGATACTATGCTTACTGTCTCCACTGCACTGCACTCCAGCCTGGGTGACAGAGCAACACTCTGTCTCAACAAAAAAAATAAATAAAATAAAATAAAAATAAAGACAGAGAAGCTGAGGTTCAGGGAAGTGCAGTAACTTGCTTAGGGCCGCGAGGCTGGCAAATGGCAGAGGCAGGATTCTGATCCTAGGGTCAGTGCTGGAAGCCCTGGCCTCTGAAGCTGGCATTCCTGAGCTGGGGAATGCCTCTTCCGCAGTGCTCACCACAGCTCTCGAGCCCCCCAAAACATGCCCCTTCCACCTGGCTGTGGGACAGGGCAGCAGGGCAGCAGGGCAGCGGGGCGGTGGTGACTGCTGGAGAGCCCAGCACTCCTAGTGGCTCATTAGCAAGGCTTGGGGACCATGAGCTTCCTGGGAGCTGGAGCCTCCCCCCTAAGCAACTCCCCTCTCTTCCCTCCCTTTGCAGGTACCCTGGCTCTCAAGCAAGGAGCAGAGGTGGAGCTCCTGAGGTTCAGAGAAGGGAAGGAGTTTGCCCCAAGTCACACAGCAATTGGAGGCAGTGCAGAGGCTAGACTCCAGGGTGCCCCTGTGGTCTGGCAGCAGGATGGGGGAGGCATAAACCACTTCTGCCTCCTGAGCAACCCCTGCAGGTGGAGCCTTGTGGTGGGGGAGCTGAGGGGCAGGAGCTACACGGGGGAAGTGGAGGAGAGGCAGTAGTGTGCTGGTAAGCAGACTGTGGGGTGGGGTGCAAGGGAGGCCCGCTTTGTAGCCATTTTCTGTGGTGTAAATATCTCCACCATTGCCAATTCCTAGCTACCAATGGTTGAACACCTAGCTCACACATTCCTGAATATTTAAGGATGAACCAGTGCTAGCTGGCTCCAGCACACTTCTGGTGGGATGTGTATGTTGTGGGTGCCTCCAGGCTCTCTCTGGATGCCATCCATCGGGCTCACTAAAGCTGCATTCATGATGATGGTCTCTTGCCACCGGAGGACTCCACACCAGCGGCGGCAGAAGTGCTGGCCTCAGTGTTCAGAGGGTGCAATGAGGCTCAGACCACACCACTTCTGCTGGCCCACAAAGGGTCACTACTCCTCTCTTCCAAGGCCTCAGACCCTGTGGCAGAGTGCACTCTCTCTGTTTGTCTGAGTCCCTCCCCAAAACCCTAGGCGTGGGCAGGGCTCACACCATCATTCTATCCCGGGCCACCAGTGGGACACAGCAGGACTCCTGGGCACGGGAGTAGGGTGATAGCCTGCCCTCTGGGGTCCCTCACTGTCGCCATTTGACCCTGAGTTCCAGAAGCAAGCTCTGGGCTGGTGACCTGAGTTCAAGACCTGACACACCCCCAACCCACGGTGGGACCTGGGGCCAGTTCCTGGTTAACAGTGGTCTTTAGATTGTGCCACCCACTCCCCTAAGGCTTCATGTGGTACAAAGTGCCACAGGGCAGGACTCCAGCCCCTGAATCTGCCTCAGCCCAGGCAAGTCTCCTCAGGCTAAAAGAAGCTGGATAAGGGGTGGGTGCATATGTTTTCTGTTCTAGCAGGGGGACCTAGGGTCAGGCCACAGGTCAGGAAGGCTGAGAGTGGACAGGGTGGGCAGACTCACCTCCCAGAGTGAGCCCTCTTCTCGAAGCACAGCCACCAGCATGCCAGCTGGGATCATGAGGCAGGACAGCAGGCCCATCAGGATGCCCAGCAGCTCAGCCCAGGGCGGGAAGCGGTAACTGCCATACTCCGAGGGCTGGTACTTGACGATGCTATACACCATGAGGGCCTGCAGAGTGGGGACTCCCAGCATCACTGCGGGCTTTTGTCTAAACTGCTTAAGGCCCGAGGTAGCCCAGCCTAGTGCCAGCCCAAGGCCTGAGACAGTCCAGCCCAGAGCTACCCAGGATCCTAAGCTGTACCGAACCCTGAAGTGGGCCATCTTTGGAGCCTTTGAGGGTTTAGCCAGCCCATCTTGAAGCTGACCCAACACCAAGGCCTGCACAAGCCATTTCTGAGGCACCCCAGACCCTTAGCTGCTCTAACCCCAAGACAGAAATCACAGCCTAAAGGCTCCAATCCTGAGGCCCTGGGGCCTGGGAAAGACCCACGCATTTAACCAACTGAACTAGGGCCAGGCCCAGCACAGCTACAGAAGCTGGGAACATCAGGGGAGGGGATGGACTAGGATTCTGGTGGCCACCCCACAGCCCTCCACTGCGGGCCAGGGTGGCCCTACCAGACTGAACGTGCAGAGGGGACTCCCGCTTTCAATTCTGGGGCCCCAGCCAGAAACCCTCCCGCCCTCCCCAGTTACCAAGAGCGTGGCTGGGGACAGGAACAGCCAGCAGGCCCTGAAGTAGAGGCCCGGCTTGAAGCCCAGCATCATGTGGATGTCTCGGCAGAACCTCTGAATGCCTGCACAGGGGAGGGGAGGAGGAATGGCCCCACCCGCCGGCCCCACAAACGCCAGCAGCCCCTCCTCTACCCCAGCTGCCCCCACTGGAAACCCTGGCCCTTGGGACCAGGGACCCAGGTACTGGGGCTCCCCAGGGTAGACTCCCATTCTCCCACTGCGGAGAGCTCGACTCCACTTCCCACGGCTCTTCTCACCATACACCCGTGTCACGGCAAGGCACGTGGTGATAACCACCACCATCAGCCCGAAGCTGGCGCTGTAGTCATCCAGAAGGACCAGCCAGTACATGCCCCCCTAAAACACAAGCACAGTTCTGGTGTCCCCTTCCTGGGCCTCGTTCTCTGCTACAGCCCCTTCTCCTGGCAAGAAGTGAGCAGGAAGCAGCCATGCTGACAGCACAAGATGACAGGGTGACCACTGGCTGCCAGCCCAGCCCTTCTAGGCCTTGTCTTATCTGAGTCCCAAGACAGCCGTCTATTATAGAACCCTCCTTTTACTGATGAGGAAAAACAATCTCAGGGAGGGGAAATCATTTATCCTGAAGCCCCCTCAGCAAGTGCAGGAGTCAGGTTTGAACCCAGATCTTGCAGACTAAATCTCCACAGCCAGGACTCTGGATCACAAGGCCAAACTGCCTCCCTTGGGAGATAGGGCCGGGGAGGGACTGGGTTCCTTGCAAAGAGGAAGATGGAGGGGGCCCAGCAACTGCTCAGCTGGGCCAGAGATCTCGTTGCAGGCGTCTGCCCTTGTCCCGCCCACCTGCCATCCTCCCTGTAGCGCCACTCACATCAGTGGTGAGGATCAGCCCCATCAGGTACATGGCCACGCAGATGAGCCCTGAGAACACCGCCTTCTTGGGCCGCAGGTAGTATGGGAACTCATCTGTCACAGCTGTCACAATGGTCTCCAGAAAAGCAAACTGAGGAGAGAGGAGGGGCTGGGGGTCAGAATTCTATCCCCAACACACACACACACACACACACACACACACACACACACACACACCACACACACACGGGGTGCCTGCTGCCACAGACGAGACTCACCTGGCTATCTAGGCCGAGAGTCAGAAGCATGAAGAAGAAGAGAAAGGACCAGAAGGGTGACAGAGGCAGCATGGTCATGGCCTGTGGGTAGACGACAAAGGCCAGGCCAGGGCCTGGGCCAGGGGCACACGGGGTCAGCAGCTTGGGTCATGCGGTGGGCTCCCATACGCACACTCAGACACACACGGCCACTTACACTCATTTGGGCCATTTGTTTAGCCTAACCCAGAGATGCCCACTTAAATGCACCCTCTGATACTTCCTTAACTCCCAGGACCTACACCAGCACATTGTAGGTGCTCGATAAACATAGGTTGATAAACAAACACAAGACCCCAATATAAAACCTCATTGAAATATACTTATGTATACAATTATTGGTACAAATAACCCCACTAACACACACATTTACATGCATCCACTGGCAAAAGACACAGTGATTCACAAGATCATTCTCACCCTTTTCACTTGCACATAGACACCTCCACACACAATATGACTTATTTGTGCAACCAAAGCACAAAATGTGACAATCTTGCACAGAAACTCATTGGCCTCCAGACATGGGTTAATGCACACTCGTTTGCTCACCCATCCCCTTGCACATGGACCACCAGAGACCAGCTAGGACATGTTCCTTTGCACGTACATGTGTGCATATGCACACACATGACATACCCATCCACAATCTTTTTTTTTTTTTTTTGAGGCAGAGTCTTGCTCTGTTGCCCATGCTAGAGGGCAGTGACCCAATCTTGGCTCATTGCAACCTCCACCTCCCGGGTTCAAGCGATTCTCCTGCCTCAGCCTCCTGAGTACTGGGATTACAGGCATGTGCCACCACGCCCGGCTACTTTTTGTATTTTTAGTAGACACTGGGACTCACCAGGTTGACCAGGCTGGTCTCGAACTCCTGACCTCAAGCGATCCGCCCACCTTGGCCTCCCAAAGTGCTGGGATCACAGGCATGAGCCACCGCGCCTGGCCCCCATCCATAATCTTGCTGGTCCACTGGCCCAGCCCCATCTCTACCCAACACACATGCTCACCCCACTGAGGCCTGGCAGCCTGCCCACCTGCTTTGGCTACTTGGTCCACAGGCACGCCCAGCTCCTGAGACATGTAGCCCAGCACGGAGAAGATGGCAAAGCCAGCCAGGATGCTGGTGATGGCGTTGCCCAGAGTGACGATGAAAGTGTCTCTACCAGAAGAAGTCCAGGTGCGGGCCAGGGTGAGTGGGCCTTCCTTTCAGCCTCTGAGGCCCTCCCTGGCCAGCCACTCTCCTCCCTGCTTTGGACCCCAGGGTCTGGGAGGCTGTGGGACACTGACCTATAGATGTTCTGGTGAAACGTGTTGTAGGAGGCAAAGGTGAGGAGCCCCCCGAAGCCCACACCCAGGGAATAGAAGATCTGAAGAGCAGCTTCAATCCACACCTGTGCCGGGAAGGATGGAAAGGGAGGGTGTGCGGATGGTCAAGGACAGAGAAGGAAGGCAGTGAATGAAGATGGTGTGACAGCTCCAGGGATGGCGTGGTCACGAGGGATGGCGTGGTCATGAGCCTGGCTCACAAGTGACGTGGACCAGGAGCAAAGCCTCCCCCAACATTTACACGGTGGGACATGGGCAAGTCCCTTCCCCTCTGCGGGCTTCAGTTTCCCACCCAGGATCTAGAAGATGGTCTCTAAGCTTGGTCCAGTTCTGAAGGACACAGAGCCTAATGTAAAGTGTGCAGGAGATTTGTATTGGCAGTAAGCCTGCATAACCCCTTTACTTCCTTTCTGGAATCCTGGCACCTGGATTTGGACCCCAGCTTCACCATTTTCTAGCTGTGCAGCCTGAACAAGCCAGGTCACCCCTCTGGACCGCAGGATCCCTATCTGTAACGAGGGGATAGGAATAGTGCCTACTTCATGGGAGGAGGGTGGGTTAAATCACTACACACATGCATGTAAAACACTAGGGCAAGGTCAGGCACAGTCCCCAGTCAATAAATATTAACATTAGCTGTCAGTACCATTGTTATCACCATTGTCACTAATGCCCTCCTTGGGGTTTACAGTCACACAAATCTGGGCTGGGATCCCTGTTCTTCGATCCCCTAGCTGTATGACCGTAAGCTTGATAAGAACCCTTTTGAGCCTCAGTTTATTCCTCTGTAAAATGAGGATAGTGTTTCCATGATTGTTAATAATAATAAATGAAGTATAATATGCAGTTAGTGACAATATATCGTATTCTTGGAGAATGCTAAGAGAGTGGATGTTAAGTGTTCTCACTACAAAAATGATAATTATGTGAGATAATACATATGCTAATTAGCTAGATTTAACAGTTCCCCCAGGTACATATGCTTCAAAACATCATGTTGTACATGATAAATACATAAAATTTTACCTATCAATTTAAAAATAGAAAAAAATAACAATAATAATAAATAAAAAAGACGCAAGAAGGGCTGAGCAGAGTGCCTGGTACTGCGGTGTCCCAGGGAGCCCTCTTTCCACTCTCCAGCTCAGGCCTGGCCCCTCCCTCTGCACCCCGCCCTGAGGGGCTCACCTTGGAAGACAACAAGTGGTGGAACTGGGGGGTGAGATAGAACTGGATGCCCTTCCAGGCCCCTGGGAGGGTGACTCCGCGGACCAGCAGCATGAGCAGGATGAGGTAGGGGAACGTGGCCGTGAAATACACCACCTGAGAGATGATAAGTGAGGAGCTGATGGCATCGGGGACCTTGACTCAGTGCCATTCCTTGTAAACTCATCTGTGTCACTTGCCTCCCCAGCCTTTGGGTAGCCCAAGCCAGGAACCGGCCTTCATCCTTGAGGCTTCCCTCCTCCCTTCACACACCCAGCATCAGCAAAGCACCACCACCTTGCTTCCCAAGGCCATGTCCACTGCAGCCCCTGGTCCAGGCCGCCATTGTTGGTTATAAAAGCCTCCTCCTCCCCGTGTCCACTCCCTGCCCCTGCAAACTCACTCTGCATCATCCTCAGACATTCAACATTCCCAAACTCACTCCTCCCTCTTTCCTTCTTTTCCCAAACCTCCAGCCACCGCTTCAGCAAACACCATCAAGTCTCAGCGTCCTCACTGCCTTGGCTTTGACCATAACCTCTTCTCTCTTTCTATATGGTTTCTACCCTGTCTTTTTTGTCTTAAATGGCTCTGTTCCTTGTAAATGATACTTCTGGTATCGTCTGCACCTTGCAGAGGAAACAAGTTCTGATTTACCAATGATTGGGCAAGCCATCTTGAAGGTTTCTGAGTTTTTCTTTTTTCTTTTTTTTGAGACGGAGTCTCACTCAGCCTCCCAGGCTGGAGTGCAGTGGCACAATCTTGGCTCACTGCAACTACCGTCTCCCAGGTTCAAGCGATTCTCCCGTCTCAGCCTCCCGAGTAGCTGGGATTACAGGCACCTGCCATCATGCCCGGCTAATTTTTGTATTTTTAGTAGAGACAGGGTTTCACCATGTTGGCCAGGCTGGCCTTGAATTCCTGACCTCAGGTGATCCACCCACCTCGGCTTCCCAAACTGCTAGGATTACAGGCTTGAGCCACCACCTCCGGCCCCAAGTTTTTTCAAAATGGCTTTATCGTCCTTTCCACCCCTTCATCACCTAAAGTAGACATCCGTGGCTTTGTCTTCCAGTCTCTAGTTTACCTTTTTCAGATAACAGTACCTGACTTTCCCACCATGGAGCTGACTCTATTCCCAGCTCCAGGGGTGGTTACATGACCCACGCCCAGCCAAGAAAAGCATTCCATCCTCCGGGCCACAGGGATTAATTTAGGGATGGGTGCACAGCCCTGCTCATCCAATGAGACTCAATTCTAAAATAGTTGCAAACTGGGGAAAGACAACCCTTTACCAAGCTTAGATGTACGCCTAGAGCTGCTAGGGTGACCTCACGAAGAATGAAGCCTCAGAAGGAAGCCATCCTGGAAGGAAGCACTACTGACAGACCCAGAGAACCAGCTTCCTGATGACACTGATTGAACCCCTAGACCCAGCTGTGCCTGAAGCACACCCTCTGGACTTTCCAACTGAGTGTGATAACTGGGTTCTGGTCACCTGCATCTCAAAGAGCCCCCTAACTCATGCACTCACACTCTAAGTGTTCAACAAACTCTTGCTGAGCTCATTCAAAGTGCCAAGCACTGGGTCAGGATACAGCTGAATGTAGACCCTGCCTTGGTGAGCTTCCAGTCTAGTAAAGCAGCCTTGCCCCCGTGCGTCCTCACCTCCATGTCTCTCTTCAAGCAGCCCTCATCCCCCAGTCTCAAGGCTCTCTCCCTTCCCCTCTGCCCAGCTGAAGTCTCTTCATCTTCTCATGCTCAGTCCAAGCCCTGCCTTCTCCAGGAAGCCTTCACCCCATCCAGCCCCTCAGGCCTCCGGGGCCTCCCAGGCTTCACCTTGCCCGAAGACTTCACACCCTTGAGGATACAGAGGAACACGATGACCCAGGCCAGCAGCAGGCAGAGGCAGAGGTTCCAGCGGATCTCCCCAGGGCTGCCGATGCCCTGGCTGCCTTGGATGTGGAGGACGTAGCGGCTGTGGGAGACAAAGGTCTCAGTGTCCCCTGGTCACCCCACCAGGCTCCACAGACATGGAGTCAAGCCATGTCCAGCCCACAAGGCTCTACTGCTGTTCTCCACTTGACGCCCTCTTGATCCCTCTCCATCCTTCTCCGACCAACTCTGACCCAGGAGGCTGGCCTCACCAGACCTTACCCCTTCCTCAGCTTTGGGAGGCTGAGGAAGGAAGATCACTTGAGGATAGGAGTTCGAGACCACCCTTCCTCTTCTTCCTTCCTCTTCAGCTTCCGTGTGGGTTTGGCTAATGGGAGGCAACAGTGGGAGACTGTAGTGAGGGGAGGAATGAGGGGTCTGGGTATTTGCATATACATGTGTACACCACACACACACACACACACACACACACACACACACACACACACACACACACACCATCCAGGGCCTGGCCATGACTGTGTTCTTTAGGTAGCCCCTCTTCCAAGGCTCTGATTCTCTCCTGGTTCCCTCCCATTGCCTCCTAGGTTCAGGGGTGGTGATAGCTGTCCCTGTTGCTAGTCACTGATGCTTCACTTTTTGCTGTGGCTTCCATGACCCTCTGAAAAGTCCCTTCACTAAACTCCCTTCAGTGAAACCCTCTGACAATCCATCGGCCTCCTGCCTGCATCCTGACTGATGCAGTGGGCTGTGGCATGGCCATGGAGAACCACCCTGGCAGCTGCCAGTGATTGTATCAAATCCTTTGGCTTTAAGCTGCAAACTCAGGCTGATTCTTTCCCACTGGTCAGATAAACTCTTCAGCAGGTGCGGACACTTCAGATGGACTTGAAGTGGACAAATGAATGAACTATGTACTACAGGCAGGTTAAAGACCAAAACATTTCAAGACACGGAGCCTATCTGGGAGAAATCTCCTAACAGCAGTCCTTTATAGGTAAGGGATGGGGGTTATAGGGTCTGTGTTCTCTGGCCAGCCAACAGTCCCACCTAGGGACCAGGCTATTTTAGAATGTTCCAGAACAGGATCAGGACTCAGGAGTCCTTAGTGTCAATACCATCTCTGTCACTAATTACTGAGCAATACTGAGCAAGCCTCTGGGCTTTGCTTTCTTTCTTTCTTTCTTTCTTTCTCTTTCTTTCTTTCTTTCTTTCTTTCTTTCTTTCTTTCTTTCTTTCTTTCTTTCTTTCTTTCTTTCTCTTTCTTCTTTTAAAGGCAGAATGCAGTGACAAGGCTTTGTTTTATTGACCATAAAATGGGGCATTGGGATAGGCTGATGAGTGCAACGTCCTTCCGACACCCACCATTCCCAGGACCCACTGTGTGCCCAGCACCGTGATAATGGTTTCACCTGCATTATGTTGTTTAATTCTGATGACAGTCCCTTACTCTATTATAGTCCTATCTCTATTAGAGGAGTCTGAGATGGTCCTTACTATGTACGTCCTGGCCTTATGCTAAGTGCTTTACCTATGATATAGCAGTTGCTCAATAAATATTTATTAAAAGAATGAATGAGTGGGTAAATGACTAACTGGATAACACCTTATGAAGCAGGTACTGTTACCAACCCCTGTTACAGAGGAGGAAACTGAGACTCCATAATGTTACTATTACTGTTATCATCATCATCATCATTCTCAGCTAGTATTTATTGAGCACTTACTATCCACCAGACTGGACTGCACAATTTATTAATATATGCTTTCTCTCCTTTAATCTTCACAACAACCTTTCTGAGATACCTAGTATTATTGCCCTCATGCTACAGATAAAGCAACAGAAGCCAAATAAATTGTTTGAGGCCACACAGCTGGTCAGGTGAAGAGCTGGGATTAGAAGCCAGAGTCCACCTGCCATCACCACCTGAGCTCATCTTGGCGGTACATGCTGAGACTGTGGGGGATGCCCTCTGGCCACCCTCAGCAGTGCAGGGTCCCCTCAGATGCCGCGGGGCCAGCAGCTGCCTGACCTCCAGTACTCCTCGCTGGGGCTGACGGTGCAGGTGAGGTTGAGGGGCAGGGCCCCGTTGCCGTCCTTGGAGACTCTGTGCTCCAGGCAGAGTTCTGTGTTCCACCAGTTGCCACAGTGCTCCCAGGGTAGGTCGCTGGTGAGGGAGGCGAAGAGGTAGAAGAGCACGTAGGCGATGATCATGTTGTAGTAGATGGCCACCAAGCCCACGATGAGCAGCATGGCTGCGCCGGCGCCTGGTGTGGGGAGAGGCTGCTGGGCTGCCCAGGCCAAGCTCTCTGCCAGCCGGGTGGAGTGGCTTCTGGGGAGCTGGCAGCTATCTGGGCTTCACTTCCACCTCTGCCTGGAGCTGGCAGGGGTTCTGGGGGCAACCTCCCTGCCTCCCCCAGACCCTGAGCCCTTCCCTCCCTGGGGACCACTGAGGCCTCACCTTTGAAGAGAGGGCTGATTTTCCAGACAGCCAGGGGCCCTAGGCTGGAGAACTGGCCCAGGGAGAGCTCCAGGAAGAAGAGGGGGATGCCACAGATGGCCAGCATGAGGAAGTAGGGCACGAGGAAGGCGCCTGCCGGGAGCGGGGTGGTCAGCAAGGGCCTTGGGGGCAGCTCCCCCAAAAGCCCAGCTCTAGCCCCGCCCCTCCCCTGGCCTGCAGATGCCCCCTCAGACCTGATGGAACACTGTAGGTTTCTTTTCTTCTATACCAGACTGCTGAGGGCCAGAGTGGCCAGCAGGGATTTACTCACCTCTGGAGCCCCAGTGCCCAGAACAGTGCTGGGCTCAGCGCAGACGCTGAGAAACGCCTGCTGAGGGAGTGAATGAATGAATGAGGGAGAGAATGTGTGAATTTCCTGCTGAAGAAAGTGCAGACTCCTCAGTACAGAAACCAGCACCCTTCAGAATCCGGCTCCCCTCTATCTGCCTGCCCCTCCCCACCATGCCGCCTCAGACACTTGTGACTGCCACCTGTGGTTCCGTGGGCCCAATAGCCCTTCCCCTTTGGTTCTCACATTGGCAGTCACTTCTTTAGAGAACTGCCCACCACCATATGACTCTGGAAGGGCTGCCAGTCACATCAACCAACCCCCTCCTAGGCGACCTTGGGCAGAATTAGTTGGAAGTGTTTTATCATAACCTGGGGCTGGAAGGAGGGGGTTCACCGCCCTCTCCTCCTTCCCCCGTGGGCACCTATCCAAAGCCAGGCCTATCAGAGGCCTTCCCTGCAATTCTGTATAGATTCATTCAGACAGAGCAGTTCTGCAAAGCTCTTGGGTTGCTAAACCCATTGGAGGATGAAGTCATTGCAGAGTTGTCTGTGGCCACCTCCCCCCAAGGCCTGTCCCCCACCAACTGCGGGGAGGAAGCCTGTCTCAGGACAAAATGAGGTCAGCACACAGAGAGGAAGAGTAGGGACATGGGGAGAGTGCTTGCCGAGAGACACCATGGGTGTCATCAAGGTCCTAGAGCTTCAGAGGCCAGCTCCAGTCCCACACATCCTAGTCATGTAAATTTATCCTTTCTTTGCTTCATCTAGCTTTATTTGGATTTCTCTCACTTTCTCAATATATGCTTCCTTCAGAGTTTGCTAGAGACAGAAGGAGATACGAGTACTGGTGAGAGCACACTGGCTAGGGAGGAGATAGTCCTGGGTTGGAATGTTGGGTCTGCCACCCTGTGACCTTGGGCAAGGACGCTGGTGTCTTCAAGTTTCAGCTACCTCATCGTATCCATGGTGCCTACCCAATAGGGTCATCACCAGGGTTAAATGAGATGGGCACAGCAAGCACCAAGCCCAGGGCCTGACAGGTGGTAGGCGCTCAGCCCCAGCTTTTGCTAATGAGACTTGGAACCGTCACTTGATGGAGAAGCAGGGATGAAAGGAAATTTGTTTAAGATGGGAGAGACTTTGTGTTTGCAGCCTGAATGGAAGGAACCAAGAGAGGAGGAAAGATTGGAGACTCAAGAGAGGGAATGATTGATGGAGCACAGCTCAGGAGGAGGTGGAGGAAGGAGGGGGTGGGGAGAACACTGAAAGTGCAGTGATCATCGGCAGGCAGATACAGCTCCTTATCACGAAGCAGAGGCAGCTCCCTCTGCCCACCGTGCAGGGCGTGGGGTGGCCAGCCTTAGAGAGGGAACCATGTGGGTATCCTTCCTGGGGATGAGAGGGAGGAAGGAAGGGCTTGGGTGATGAGAAGGACAAGACAGGGTAAACTCCTTCCTCCCAGCCCCAAGTTACTATAAACCACTTTCAATGAGTTCTGCCCAAGGTCGCCTAGGAGACAGTGGCTGAGGCCACCTAAAAGCTCACTGTACCCCAGGGCCTTGGCCCATCACCCCAGACACCCTCCGACAGGACCTCAGGCCCATACCTCCTCCATTGGTGTACGCTCGATAGGGGAAGCGCCAGACATTCCCCAGGCCTACACAGTAGCCAATGCAGGACAGCAGGAAGTCCAGCTTGCCTGTCCAGTTCCCCCGGTGTGCAGCAAAGTCCACATCCAGGTCGACATCGCCCTGGTCACTGGGGGTCATCAGCAGGTCTGGGGTGACAGGCTGCCAATGAGAGAGACCAAAGAGGTTGGGGAGAAGACTGAGGCCAGGCCAGAAATGTGACCTCAAGACAAGACTCTGGAATTGAACAGGGCTAAATGAAAAGACATTCTCAGTCCAGATAATCAAGTGCTCTCAACTGGACTAACCTTGTCATATGCAGGAGAGCCTCAGGATTTTAGGCGACCAAAACTTACTGGGCCAGCAGGGTAGCTTAGGCACTAACAAAGCTACCCTGACCTTAGTCTGGCTAACACAGATGCCAAATCAAGGGATAGTCCTTTTTTTTTTTTTTTTTAATTGAGAAAGAGTCTCCCTCTGTTGCCCAGCCTGGAGTGCAGTGGTACAACCTCAGCACACCGCAACCTCCACCTCCCGGGTTCAAGCAATTCTCCCGTCTCAGCCTCCCGAGTAGCTGGGACTACAGGCGCCCACCACCACGCCCGGCTAATGTTTTGTATTTTTAGTAGAGACAGGGTTTCACCGTGTTAGCCAGGATGGTCTTGGTCTCCTGACCTCGTGATCCACCCGCCTCGGCCTCCCAAAGTGCTGGGATTACAGGCATGAGCCACCGTGGCCGGCTGGATGGTCCTATTTTGATGAGGATGAGGATGACGAAGATGAAGAGCATGATGATGATCTTAGTAAGTTACTGTATATTGAGCACTTACTATGTGCCCACTGCACTAGACATCTCACTCACATTACCTGATTTCATTCTCAGAACAACTTTTTGAGCTCAGTATTCATCTAAGCTCCATTTTCGTCATGAGGAAAACTGAGGCTCAAAGAGGTGTCATGACATACCCGAGGTTTCTACCAGGTTGGTGAGTGGAAGAACTAGGTCTGGAGCCCAAGGCTTCCTGATGCGAAAGCCAGGTCTCCTTCACCCACCAGTGCTGGAGTTTTGTTCCTCCGTTCCGGGCACCATATTTTAAGAAAGATGCAGACAATATGGAGCATGTCCAAAGGGCAGGTGGCCAGGCTGGAGGGTGTTCAGGAAAAGAGGTGATAGGAGGACAACAGAAAGAAGCTGGGAGCCCTCAGCATAGAAAGGAGAGGACTTGGAGGGACCTGGGGGTTCCCCTGAGGGAGGGAATCCACTGATGCTCCGTGGCTCAAATGGGGCCTACTAAGAACCAAGGAGATCTGACTCCTTGGTTAGGACTGGTACTTTTCAGTCACAAGCCAGAAAACTTCCCCAATACTCCCCCTCCCCGCATGCTGACAGCTTGGCTGGGGGGGTCAAACCCCACCAGGCAAGGTAGGGAGAGCCTGAGGGCTGGGTGAATTTTGTGAATTTTGGCTCATGAGCAGGAAGAAGGTACTTAAGCCGTGATCTGTGTCAGAAAGTCATAATCTTGCTGTCCCTGGAGAGGAGATGCATGCCCAGAGGGGAGCGGAGGCCAGCTGTTCCTAAGGTCTCCTTTCATGCTTCAAAGTGGGTGAGAGGTCCATGGGGCATTCTCCCTTAGGAGACCCTCAGTGATGGTGACCACAGTGGTGATTTTGCCAGAAACTGGCTATTGGCCACAGGGGCCGTGGTGACAGGAACAGCCAGACATTATTATGGGTGACGATGACAATGACAGAGCATGAAGAGCTGTTTTTAAAGTAACTAGGCTGCAAGGGGTGAAACAAATACATGCCTGGAAGTTCTTTAGCTGTGATCATGGACATGCTGAGGTGACAGGAGCAGCAGATCCCAGACTTAAGTGAAACCCACCCTTCCCCTCCAATGCCCCGTTCCCTGAGGCTGCCTCTCCAGCTGGGTGAGCATCAGCCTTCAGCAACCTCTCACCCCAGGTGAGCTCCGGGAGGAATGGTTGCCACTGTTCCTGGTGTTGGGTGGTGAGCAGGCCTGTTACCCTGAGACACCCCCCGCCCATCCCAGCACCATTCAGGCCAGTTAGCAGGAGGTCCCAGTAATGAGGATCCTCTGATCCCTCCAGAGAAGCTGCCCTTTCCATGCTCATGGAGCGGTCCCGGTTCTCTGTTTCCATGGTGACTAGAGTTCCAAGAGCAGGATGCTGCCAGCTCGTCCCCCTCCTCCCCCAATCAGAGGGAAGCCTGCTTCTGCTCCAGGGGCAGGAGATAGGGTCCTCCAAAGCTGAGCCAATCAGGAGCCCAACTGGAGTTCCCAACCCCACCATGGGGTGAATCCCAGGAGGCTGGCACAGTGAGGATGGGGCTGGTTGGGAGATGGAAGAAAGCAATCAAATAGCTGGGGCAGGGCTGGAAGCTGAATGAGTTGCTTCATACTTCTTCCTGGGTGTAAGCCTCCCACTCCTGAATCTCCCACTCCCTACCCCAGGGGCATGCAGGAACACACAGCTGAGTTTGTCAGACCTGCATGCTCGCCTTTAGGGACTCACAGCAGGGGCTGGGAGACTCAAGACTGCCCAAGCCAAGACTCTTCAGGACAGAGAGAGACAATAGGAATCTGGGGTCCAGCTTCATCATTGTGCAGATTAGGAAACCAAGTTTCAGGAAGAAGGGATGAGCCCAAGGTCAAACAGCAAGTTAAAGGCACAGCAAGACTTGGACCTAGATCCCCTGACTCTAAGTCCAGTGTTCATCTCTGAGCAATGCTGCTCCTTTGCGGAAATCTGGCATTTTCTCATTCCCGCCCAATTCTGCTTGAGAAAAGGGAAAGGACCCTGAGAGGAGGTAGCAACCTAGAACCAACCCTCTGCCCTGTTGGCTCTAGGTTGCCTAGCCTGCCAGCAGGTAAGCAGTGAGTCTCACCCCTCTGTGCCTCAGTTGCCTTATTTATAAAGTGGGGCTACTAAGACCTAGCCCCTGGAAGTGTTAAAGGATTAAATGAGATAAAGCTTGCTAACCCCCCAGCCCAGCACCCAGCAAGAGGGACAGGGCCTCTTGTGGGGAGGGAGGGCAGAGAGGGAAGAGAAGGAGAGTGGAAAAGAATGGAAACAGGACCCAAGAGACTCACAAATGGTCTCAAGAAGTCACTCATGTCAGTGAATAAAAAAGACATACCAGCTGGGCGCAGTGACTCACACCTGTAATCCCAGCACTTTGGGAGGCCGAGGCGGGCGGATCACGAGGTCAGAAGATCAAGACCATCCTGGCTAACACGGTGAAACCCCGTCTCTACTAAAAATACAAAACATTAGCCAGGCGTGGTGGCGGGCGCCTATAGTCCCAGCTACTCGGGAGGCTGAGGCAGGAGAATGGCGTGAACCCGGGAGGCAGAGCTTGCAGTGAGCCGAGATCACACCACTGCACTCCAACCTGGGTGACAGAGCGAGACTCCGTCTCAAAAAAAAAAAACAAGAAAAAGAAAAAAGACACACCACAGTGGTTCCAAGCCCAGCTGCCCCAGAGCAGAGAACTTGAATGAATGAGTGTGTGTGTGAGTGAGTGTGAGTGTGAATGTGTGTGTATGTAGGGAGGTTGATAACACCAGCCCCTGAGAACAGTCTTCTCACATCTACCAGCCCTTTAGCATTCTTCCCCACACCTCACACACCCAGTGGGGCCTGTTTTGGTGCCTCCAGGCTAGGGCTTAGCCAGAGGAGGTTCAGGTTAGAGAATGAACTTGTCCAAAGTCACCAGGCAAGTGGCAGCGGCAGAAATAGTATTCAGGAGATCTGACTCCTTAGTTAGGACTGGTACAAGCCAGAAAACGTCCCCCAGTATTCCCCCTCCCCATATCCTGACAGCTTGGCTGAGAGGTCCAATCCCACAAGGCAAGGTAGGGAGAGCCTGAGGTCTGGGCCCACAGCCACTCTCCCATACCAGCTTCCATCTTCATTGATCATATCCTCCTGCCTCCGATAGCCCCCTCCCTGTCTTTGCCTCCCTTCAGCCCTGCTGAGGGGCAGCCTGGGGTCTCAGCAGGCAAGCTAAGGGGGCGGGGAGGGAGCAGGCAGGAAAGAGGAGAGTCTTCCCGCAGGCTCAGGGAGCCGGCTTCAGTATGGATGACCGCCTCCCACTCCCCACCCCTCAGATGAGTCCAGCTCAACGCTCAGGTATTCCAATACCCCCCACACCCGGCAATCAGCTCCTGGCGGGGAGCAGCAGGGTGGAATTGGGGAAGAGGTGGGTGCCTGGCCCCGGCCGCCCCTACCCCGCGCCTCCGGGGACTGCAGACACCTGTTCATAGGCCTGGCCCAGTGAACCAGGACTCCCCTCATACTACATCCCGAACCCCAGATGGCAGGGGCAGAGGTGGGGGCGCAGACCGTGACCCTGACCCTCCCTGTTATCCAGCTGAGTCGGGCCTTCCCCAGAGCCCGAAGCTGGTCTGGGTGCATCCTCAGACCTTCCCCAGGGGCCTCGTTGGGGGCGGGTCTCTCCAACCCTCCTCCAGGTGCACCCCCAGCGCCCCCGCCCTCGTGCCCTACCTTGCGGAGGTGAGCTCCCTGGAGCTTCTTCATCTTGGAGAGCGGGTGGCCGGGGCTCAGCTGCCCCGGAGCGCAGAGAGCGAGGGCACGAGAGATGGTCCGCTGGCCACTGCGCCTTTGCCCCCGCGGCTCCCGCGCACCGGCTGGGGCGGGCACGGACGCAGGCGCTGCCGTCTGGCGGCTGCGGGCGTGGAGCGCGGGCAGGGCGCTGCGAATGCCTTGTCTGTCCCTGCGCAGCGCCCGAGGCTGGGGAAGGGTGCACTGCTGCGCCCGCATAGACACCCAGACAGACAGCTGACGGACGGACGGCGGGGGGATGCGCGCGCCCCCGCACGCAGAGCTGCGGATTGGAGAGCCCTGAGCGAGTGGGGAGGGGGGTTCGCGACGGAAACCCTCGGCTTTCTGCGTGACCTTGGGCAAGCGACCTGCCCTCTCTGGGACTCCCTTTCCACAGTTGGGCAAGGAACACTAACAGCCCACCCCCCTGCGTCGTCTTTGCTGTGCGACCTTAGGGGATAAGAATCTCTCCTCTCTTACAGGAGTGTGAGCAATTCAGGAAGATGGAGCATAGAAAACATCTAGCACAAAGAGCCTGACACATAGTAGGTGCTCAGTTAACATTTATTCACTGACTGTGGGTTGCCCACGCCACCATTAGTCCAATTATTCAATCTATCAGTATTTATTGAGCACCTAAAATGTGCCAGGTCCTGAACTAGGTGTCCTATTTTCTCAACCTGGAGAGACAGGTGTCGTTACTCCTATTCTACAGATGAGGAAGCTGAGGGACAGGGAAGTTAAGTTACTTACTCAAAGTCACGGGGCTAATGAGTGACACCAGGGACAGAGTCAGGCTTCATGGACCTTTAGGCTAGTAGAGTCTTCAACTCTCCTCCTTTCCTTAAGATGAAAGCAAAATGGGGAGGTTTGGGTGAGCAGAAGGGACAGGCAAGTGCCACAGTGTCACTGTGATCTGTGACTTAGATGATTAGTAACTGGTTTCCTGTCCAGCAGCAGTATGGCTTCTGGAAAGTTCTAATTTCATATCTGTAAAATGGGCCACGAGCCGCCCATGCATTGTTGCCTCAGAATGTTCTGAGGGTCCAGTGAGCCTGTGGCTAGGATGGGAAATGATGAGCTGGAGCAATGGCACACGTTGGTTTGCTGGGACTGACTGATAGACACTAGCGGATCAGTATATACATTACAAATTGTGTCCTTTTCACCCTCGCAAGTGTCCCAGTTTAGACATTAACCATACATCTGTTTGGCTCACTATCAGTTGACACGGTGGGAGGCCTTTGGGGAGAGATGAGAATAAGGTTCTGCTCTCTCCCACCTCTGGAGCTTGAAAAAAGGTTGGAGGGGTTTAAGTCAAAGCATGGACTTGGGTAAAGGCCTGGCCAGGCTCCAGTCCACCCCTTCCCCTGCCCAGGTCCTGTCAAACTTCTCTCCCCTTTGAGCCTGGCCACAAAGGGCAAACCAGGGGCTCTCCAGACCCAGGAGGAAGGTGTCTCCTCTGCCCCCTGCCTGCTGACCCATATGGGGCCAAGAGTGGCTGTGAGTGTGAAGAGAAGGAGCATTTATGGAGCCCTACTGTGTGCATTATGAAGGATTTTTGCATCCAACATCTAATTTTTAATTCTTTCCAACTGTCTGGGAAGACATGTTTGTGCATCTCATTTTACACCTGTGGAAACTGTCCCAGAGGAGTGAAGTCATGCACTGGGCGTTGGGGATGAAGCCAGGAAAGCTGTGGGTCATGGCTGGGAAAGGCAGAAGCCAAGGGCTCCTGAATCCAAGGAGGCCCAGGCAGGAAACTTCCCCATCCCTCACCCAAGGCTTGTCAATGCATCTTGTACAAAAGAGGCTCAACCTTGCTCAACCACTCCCTCCCATTGGCACTTGGGTTTCATGAGACCCTTTGGAAGGCACAGAGGGCCACAGGGACAGCGAGCAGGGATGAGGCAGTTGGCTCAGGAGCCAAGAAGACTGGCCTCTTTATGACCCTTCCTAGCAGCACCTGCTCCTCCCACTTCACGGACCCAGCCCTGGGGGAGAAGAAGGGAGTGGACCAGGGCTTTAGCTTCCCTTGAGCAGACACATCAGGGGGTGACCACTGAGCCACTGTGGCAGTCACTGGGACTGTGAGGTGCAAATGGATCTAGGCCCATGCCTTTCAGATAGGGAAACTGAGACCCAGAGGGGCAGGATTTGCAAAATCACTCAGTGATTCAGTAAAGACAGGATCATGTCTATAACCTAGGAGTCTGACCTCACCCAGGCTCTGCCCTCTAGCTCATACCTCTCTGCCACCATCACCTCCATCCCCACAGCCCTGGTGGGGAAAGTCTGCCCTTTCATAAAACAAACAAAACTCAAAGATTTTCTTTTCTTTATTTTTTTGAGAGAGATCTTGCTCTATTACCCAGGTTGATGTGCAGTGGCTCCATCTCGGCTCACCACAACCTTCGCTTCCTGAACTCAAGCTACCCTCCCACCTCAGCCTCCCAAGCAACTGGGACTACAGGTGTGTGCCACCATGACTGGCTAATTTTTGTATTTTTTTGTAGAGACAGGGTCTTGCTATATTACCCAGGCTGATCTTGAACTCTTGAGATCAAGGGATCTTTCTGCCTCTGCCTCCCAAAGTGCTGGGATTACAGGCATGAGCCACTGTGCCCAGCCAAAACTCCAAGATTTTCTAAAAGACATTATCCACATAAATCAATCTACCCACTGAAGCTCCAATTTTATGATCATACAACTGGCCAGGAGTCTGGCAACCAAGCACATTTGACAATTGCTGTCACCACCATCTCCTCTCCCCCATTCCAGAGGGGGTTTGATTCATGGCAAAATGACTGCTTAGGAATCCAAATGGTAAATATTCACTCTCCCTTTCCCCCTTCTCTCCCTGTTGTGGTCTCATATCAAACCAGAAGTGCAATGGAGATGTGTGTGTGTGATTTAAGGAAAGTGTCAGATGAACTGTACTTCCTTTTATTATATAGGGAGATATTTTTAAATGTATATAAATAAACATTTTTAATTTGCTTAAATATTCAGATTTTATCACTGTAGAGCATGTGTTTTGTCACACTAGGGAGTGACGACTGTAAAAAACAAGGTTCCAGGCTGCTAGTCCATCTGGAGTGGTTCAGAGGAAGTGATCCCAGAGCTGCCTGGTTGGAACGGGATTGCCCTCCAAAGCTGCCCTGGCGGAGGCTGGCTGTGCTCCCCAGCTCTGCATCCCTCTGGCAGATCATCTCAAACACTCAGAGCCGGGCTGATTTCCTCAGAGCTCCACAGTCCTCCTGTTCTAACCCTTGTACCCCTATCACAGCCCATTACACACACACAGACACACACACACACACACACACACACCCTTGACTGCTGGAGCCCTCCTCAGAACACTCCATTCCCCACCAAGTCCCTCCCTAGAGTAGTGCTGCAACTGTTCTGCTCGGTCCACACCAATCTCTCGGCAATCAATGATGGGATTGGCTTTTCCATAAGACAGGTTCTCAGCCCAGGGTTAGGAGTCTATGGACTCCCTGAAATTGTATGTAAACAGTGTTGACATGCACAATTCTGATTTGCTAGAAGACGTAAGCAGTCTGTGGGCCTTGGAGGGCCAGCACAAAGTCACTGTACGCAAAGCAGCATGGGCCATTCCTGATACGAGAGCTGAACACCTCTTACCCCTGGGGTGGCTGTAAGATTTGACTAGACTTGAAGGGTCTCTTTCCTAAGCCATTACAACACCCCAATCTCTGGTGGAACTCTGGGTGACAGGGAACTCACCAGGCACAAGGCAGGAAGTTGCACTGCTTGGAAGTTGTCTTAGATGAGTTTCCTTTTTCATGGGGCTAAACACCCATTGGTAGGTGAGCACCAACCCAACCTGTGGGTCGCATCCAACCTCCTGACCTCCCATGTGGGCAACTGCTGCAGCTCACCCTTTGATGTGGTAATGCGCCGCTGTGACTCTATCAGAGGAGTGGCCACTGACCTCCTGCCGGGCAGAGGTCTTCCTAATGCGGAGACAGGCTTGTCCTCCTTCAGGTGGGTAGAACATCAGCCACGCCTGCCAGCCTCTCACACTGGGATGCAGCAGCAGCCCCGTGAGCAGGTGGCTCAAAAACAGGCACTTCTTATGTGCTGGGCCCTGAGCGAAACACAATTCTAAGCTCAGTTAGACTATTTTATTTCCATTTGACACATGCGGAGGCCGAGGCTCCAAGAAGCTAAGTAACTTGCCTGAAGTCTTGCAGTTTGGAAGTAGTCACGCTGAAATCCAGGCCATTTGACGACAAAACCTGCTGCTAAATACTGAGACACAGAGAAGGTGAGGCCCTCCAGCCTGAACATCCCAGCACTGCAGAGTGTGTGGAGTTCAGTGGGATGCTCGGAGGTGTGAGTAGGGGCCTCCTAGGTAGCAAAGCACGGGGAAGGCCAGATGAAAGAAAATTCAAGGGGTTTCTTTGCTGTGGGGCTTGTCAGAGACTTTGATGTGCTAATGGCCCACTGTGACTCTATCAGAGAAGTGGCTTCAGCAGGATTTCCCAAACTTACTTGACCAGAGTTATTTCTTTCTGGTAGACAACTTCCCCAAGTTTACAGATGGGGCAATGCGGGCCCAAAGAGGGGAAGCAGTTACCCTAGGGTCACAGAGCATATTTTTTTGAAGATCAGAAAACTCTATTCAGTCCGGGCCAGCCGCCTTTTCACCAGCCCCTCCCCCTCTACTCTTGGAACCCTGGTTCTTTCCCAAGCCTCAGGTGTCCACCATTACTAATGAATGCCCGCTGTCTCCCAGGCCACTGGTAGGAGGAGAGAGAGAAGTGCCTGCTGCACTTCAGGGGCCTGTGCCAGGCCAGGATCCACCTTGTGCACTGTTATCATGGGAGCAAAGGGCGATGTCAGGCAGGCTGTGCACACTTTTTATGGCCTGGCCACCTCCCAGAACAGTAAACAGAGGGGCAGGCAGCTGGCACCAGAGCCCCCGGGGAGAGAAGGCCCCGGGTAGTAGACTCCCGAGTTCAAAAAAAATTATACTTTCAGTCCATATTGCTCAAGTTCCTTTTCTCCTTTATTCCCTTCTTGGCCTGATCCATACTCGCTAGTCCTTTTCAGTCTCAGTTCAAACATTACCTACTCCAGGAAGCCTTCCAGGATAAGCTAGGCATGTGCTCTGCTCTCGTTGGATGCCCTGGCTCCCCTGACGCTCAGATTGGCCCTTATCCTGTTATATTAGTGTCATCTGTGTGCATAGCAGTCTTCCCCACTGGACTGGGGACTTCTGCAGAGCAATTCAGGACCCCTGAAGTCAGACCCTGAGGGGGGCTTTGTGGCTTCTCTCCTGCTCCAGCTGCCCAGACCACATGGACTCTGAATGCATTCTCCCCCTCTAGATCTTGCTCTCCTACCCTGGAGATGCCCTTCTCTGTAACCTTCCCCCTCCACATCTTCCCAAGACATGATCTCGCACCCCTTCTCCAGTCTAGGGGACAAGGACTGTGTGCTTCCCAGGCCCAGCCACGCGTAGCACATGGGGTGAGCAATGAATGTCATTATTGAAAGAAAAACCTGAACTGAACATATCTGAAAAATTCAAAAGACTGATATGTTGAGTCTGATGAATCTGCTTACAAAATGGACTCACATTTTTACGTAGTCTCATAGACCTAAACGAATGGTGTTCTGTTTTGATCTTTCAAATGTATTTTAAAGGTGACCTTGTTGTGGGCCTAAACAAACGGGAAAGGAATACACAATTGCTGGGGAAGGTGAGGATGATTTGTACTTCTCAAAAATGTTTCTTTAATGCTATGTATAATGATTTTTATACATTTTTGAAAAGAGAAGAAAAATTTATTCTTGAAGCTGCATCCAAGAGATTCCACTCTATATACAACACCTGTCCAGCTGTGAGCTCTGCTTGGTCCGAATAAAGTCCTCTGGGGGCTCCCTGGGCCCTGATGGGCAGCCTGGCGGGGGTGTAGAAACCTGGTAGGGAAGACTCTGCCCCCTTCTCTCCTCCCAGGGCCTCCCTCTCAATCCAGAGCCCTCACTGAGAATGATCATGAGGGCTGTGATTCTGTAACCCAGTGGAGCAGCCATCAGAGCCCAGTGCTATGGGCTTTGTGCTTAGTATCCAGCCTGGGAAGGGCTCAGTGCCCTTATGATGGGGGCAGGTAGAAGTGAGGCTGCAGGAAGAGGCAGGTGTGAGTTGACCACGTTCCTCCCTCCTCAGGTCATGCTCTGCAAGCATTCCATCTTTTTCAGCTCCATCCCTTTTCTCCAGGATCAGTGTGGTCCCCACAGCAGCCTCCAGCTGCACCTCTGAACGTATGGAGGAGGAGGTGGGGCCTGGAGCCTTGTCTAGGCCCCTCCCCCAACCATTTGGGGCTTGAGATGCCCACGGGAGATTGAGATCATCCACCCTGGACTCCCTTATCCCCCAGAGGTCTAGAACACAGGAGCTGGAAGGTCTTTATCCAACAGGCTTACTGCACAGATGGGCCAAGGGGATGCAGAGGGTGGATAGGTGACTGTCCACCATGTCCCAGAAGGTCAGGGCTGAGACTCGGACCAGACCTCCTGGGCCCACAGGAGCCACACTCCCAGCACCCGAGTCCCCAGGTCCCCCGGCGCACAGGCTGGGCATGGGGCTATGGCAGAAACTCCTCTTTCACAGGCATTGGAGAGGAGGTGGCCAGGAGGCTGGTGTTGCTGGGACACAGGCCCCCCAGGGATGGCCCGGCTGGGGTGGCCGTGATGTCGTGGGCCATCGGCGGCTGTGGGGGCTGTTGCTGCTGCTGTTTCTTCTTGTTCACTTTGCGCTCCTTTGCCCGCCGGTTTTGGAACCAGATCTTCACCTGTGGGGTTGGAGGACAGAGATGGAGTGGGCAGCAGGGAGAGAGTGAAAGAGAGAGTGCAAGAAGGAGAGACGAGGACAGTGAGCCCCTATTTCTCCATGTGGCTTTGTGGCTTATCTCCTCTCCAGCCTCCCAGACCACATGGACCCTGAATTCATTCTCCCCCTCTAGACATTGCACCCCTACCCTGGAGATGCCCTTCTTTGTAACCTTCCCCCTCTCCATCTTCCCAGGCCACACTTCTTCCAGGAAGCCTTCCTTGTTATCCCTGTGACTGCTCCCCTAATGTAAATAGCACGTGCACCTCCTACAGCACTAATAATAGCCTGCTGTAGCCTGTGGCTAATCAGATCCCCTTACCCCTGCCTTTGGGGGCAAGGATACTGGGTTTTGTTAAGGGAGGGTGCTGGTAGCACCTCAGTTTCTGCTGTGCTGTGTGACAATGGCCTGGAGACTCAACCTCTCTGTTTTCCTTCTACTGAGCTCTGTACTCTGCCTGGCAGCCTGGAGACCAGAGTCCTCGCACTGCTCCTATGGCTGAGATAGGAAGACAGACACACCTGCCGTTCAGTGAGCCCCAGATTGGCAGCCAGCTCTGATTTCCGCCGGATTGTGATGTAACGGCTGTAATGAAACTCCTTCTCCAGCTCCAGGCGTTGGTGGTCGGTGTAGACCACGCGGTACTTGTCCTTGGTCCGAGTCTTACCTGAGAAGCAGAAGGAGCCGGGAAGGAAGGTGAGTTGAGAGGAGGAGGCTACAAAAAAGGCCCAGGCAGGACCCCCAGGAGGAAGACAATCCAGGCTCCCTGAAGTAGGACCCTGAGGTGGGGAGAGACATACACTCCAGGTTCAAGGGAAACAGTCATTTCCCAGACTCAGACCCACAGACTCACAGTCTGGGAGGCAAGTACTCCTCCCATGCCCATCAGGGAGGCAGTGAGGTAGGCAAAACAACCAGCTCAGGGTTACACAGCAGGCTGCTGACGGAGCTGCAGCTTCAGCCCAGGTCTCCTGACCCAGAGCCCTATTCTGAAGGCCAGCTCCAACAACTTTAAACCAGCAGCTTCCAGATGTGGCTGCACAGCAGCCATTCTCCAGGAGCTTGTGAAGAACACAGGTTCTGGGCATCCCTGACCAGTTAGTCAGAAAGCCTGGGGGTGGAATCTGCATTTTTAACAAACTCTCCACTCTGTGGTCAGATATCAGATAGGTTTGAATGCTGGAGACACGGAGGGGATATCGGGCAGGCAAGGGTGATCAAGACTAATGAGATGGCAGCTGCTCCTTCCTCCTGTGCAAGAGAAGAGAGAAGGGAAGAGCCACCACAGGTAGAGGTGGAAGCAGAAAGAATCTGGAACTGTCCCAGGTGTGGGCTCCCTAGTTCTTGCCGAATGCCTGGGGATGGCCTCAACATCAGACAGGGAGGACTGGGGCTGCTGCTGGACCCCTAGGACCTGCCAGTTACCTCAAAGGCTCTGGCTCACGATACCAAGCCCTGAGCTGGGCCTGCACCAGAGGCCGGAGGCTGGTCTGCCCAAGCCGTCCACACATCCCCCTGTGTCCAGGCACCGGGCAGGAGAGATGCAGCTCATCCCACAGATCCTCACTGAGCTCCTGCTGTGAGCCAAGCTCTGGGCTACAGCACTGAGCAAAATAAAACCCCTGCCCTCGTGATGCTTAGCTTCTAGGGGAGGGAGATGATGAAAAGAAAAATAAACATAAAATATTTGATACACTAGTTGATAAGTGTTTCAGAAGAAAAGGAGGCAGGGAAGGAGGACTGGGAATTTAGGGAGGAGGTGGTCTGTGATTTTAAATAGAATGGGCCGTGAAGGCCTTGCTGAAAAGGGGAATTTCAGCAAAGGTGTAAAGGAGGTACAGGAAAGAGTCATGTAGGGCCAGGCGCGGTGGCTCACACCTGTAATCCCAGCACTTTATGGGAGGCTGAGGGAGGTGGATCACGTGAGGTCAGGGGTTCAAGACCAGCCTGGCCAACATGGTGAAACCTCATCTCTACTAAAAAATACAAAAATTAGCCGGGCGTGGTGGCATACATCTGTAATCCCAGCTACCCAGGAGGCTGAGGCGGGAAAACAGGAGAATTGCTTGAACCTGGGAGGTGGAGGTTGTGGTGAGCCAGGATTACACCACTGCATTCTAGCCTGGGTGATCGAGTGAGACTCCGTCTCAAGAAAAATAAACAAAAAAAAGAGTCATGCAGACATCTGGGGAGAGGCTTCTAGGCAGAGGGAACAGCAAGTGCAAAGGCCCCGAGGTGGGGCATGCCTGCTGTCTGCCTGCTGTCTGACAGTGAGGAGCTGTGAGGAAGCTGGTGGAGCTGAGGTGCAGTGAGAAGGGGGACGGGACAGGAGACAAGGGGAGGGACTCTGGGTTTTCCTCTGTCTGGGACAGGAGCCATTGCAGGATTCTGAGCAGAGGAGACATGAAGTCTGATGTAGGTTTTAATATTACTCTGGCTACTGCATGGAGAACAGATTTGCAAGAGGAAGGGGAAGTGCAGGGAGAGCTGCCGTAACCCAGGAGAGAGGGCGGTGCCTTGGCTTCTTTATGAGGCTCAGCCTGGGGCCCAGAGCTGGATTTGAGGACCAGCTGAGGTTAATGTCAGGACTTTCTTTGGGACTGGGATCAGAGGTCTGTCTGGAGAGAATACTAAGAGTCATGCTTGGCCTGGGCTTGTGTGGGGCCTGGCTAAGCACCAGTTTCCTTTATAAGAAGCTGAGCACGTGGCTATAAATAGGAGGCGCACGCAAGCACTTCCAGACCCGCACACGCTCCCACCAGGGCATGGCGGGTCTCTGAAAGACCATCAACCCCTCCCGCCTCTCGCAAGTGTCCCCACCACAGCCCAGCCTTCATCTTCTTGGGTTTCAGCCCTGGCCCTGCCTGTCCCTCAGCACCCCTGTACTAACCACTCACCCGCCCCCATTCTGACGCCTGTCCCCCTCCACCAAGCCCACGCAGCTTGGCAGGACAGCCACTGGGCTCTCCGTGAGCCAAATGGCTTTGTGGAGAATGGGAGGCAGCAGATGTTCCTGGGCAGCTTTTCCCTGGGTTTCCTGCCAGAGCAGAGGAACCACACTGGACGCTTCCATGTCCACTGACCTCAGTCCGCTGCCCAGCATAGCACGGGATAGCCTCGGACTTCAGCCAGGTTTGGCCCCAGGAAAGGGATAAGGGAGTGGCTGCCCAGGCCTTGGCTCCAGATTGGGCCCCTCCTTGGCCTAGAAAATGCAACGCCGGCTCAAAAACAGTTCTGCCTAATGCCACCAGCACTGGAGGCCAACATGGCTCTGAATCCACAGACCCATTGGGTTCACTGGGCTAAAGCTGGAAGCGGTTGTGAGAGTTTAGTCTCCTCGCACTTTACTGAGGAAGAGATCGGGGTTCACAATGGTTGCATGGCAGCTGGAGGGCCAAAGAAGAGGCCTGGTGAGCCCTTCCAGTCCTACCTCCCTGTGTAGTCAGGGTCACTGAGGCCCAGGCAGGCACGGGCCTGCCCAAGGCCATGCCCCATGCCCTAGAGCTCTTGCTGCCTCTCCAGGGTACAATTCCGCATGCTGCCAAATTTAGGGCCCACTGAGCCTGCCATGGAGCCCCCAAAGTGTTGGTAACAGAAGCTTAAATAGCAGACCACCCCTCCATTGCTACTTCTGGGAAAGGAGAGCCCAGACCATGGTGAGGGAAGGCTACTGAGAGCCCCAGGCTGGGGGCCCTTAAAATGCCCAGAGGACTCACAGCCACCCCCAGGAGGACAGGCCTGAGGTAGGGCATGAGGCTCCCTGCCCACCCAGACCTTCGCCTAGGGATGACAGGCAGTGGTCCTGAAGGTGCTTTTTCCTTAGAGTCCTAGCACCCACTCCTGCCTCTTCTGACGAGCAAGCCCAGACCCATGAGAGCCATTTCATAGGTGGGGGGAAATGGGCTCAGAAAGGGCACTTGCAGAGGGCTGTCCTGACTGGTCATGGTATGAACCAGGACTCAGGTTTCTGACCTCAGGCCCAGCTCTTCCACAAGGGAGGGGGTCAGGAGTGAGACCAGATGGAGATAGGGTTTAGCTGCACAATTACTCCTCTCTCTCCTGGCAAGGCTGCCAGTGAAGACCTGGCCCACAGGCCTTGTCACTCCTCTCTGGGCTCTGGAGAGGAGCTGGTGGGCTCAGGAACCCATTGGCCAACTTCTCTCTGGTGGAGCTGCTTGAAACACACAATTTTCGTGCAAGAAAATGGCTCTGCCAAAGAACAAAATGTTTGCTATCACACCGTGTGGCTCAGAAACCAGGGAATCCCATATGCTGTTCCAGGAGTGAGAACTGAAACATCCTCCTTAGCGCCCAACTTGGCGATATCTAGCCTCATTTAACAGGCACATACCCTTTGACCGAAGAATCCCACTTCCAGTAACTGATCCGACCAAGAGCTGCCCAAAGCTCCATCTGTTTCTGATAACACAAGACAAAAAACAATGTACACGTGTACAAGCAGGGAGCTGGTGAGAGAAGGGATGGTGCATTCGTGGAGAGGAGCATTATGCAGTCATTAAAAAGAAATTTCAAAACCCCATATATCCCAGTATGGAACAATTTCTAAGACGTGTGAAAAAAAAAGCAAGACAGAATAGTGTAAATAGTATGTTACCATTTGTGTATAAAAATGGGGGAGACACACACATACCCAAACATAGTTCTTTCTGAAAGAATATACAAGAAGCCAGTAATAGGGGCTGCCTCTGGAGAGGGCACTGGAGGTTGGAAAGCCACAGGTAGGAGGGAGACTTTGGGTTTTTTAAATCTTTATCAAGTGTATGTGTTAATTTGTATTTTTAATGACAGCCCCAGGAGCCCTGGGCTCCAGTCCCAGCTCTGGGCTGGAACTCCCAACTGCCCCAAGATACCTCTGGAGCCTGGGAAGGAGCGGGCAGGGAGGTGTGTGAGAGCAGTGGGGTGGGGAGAGGGCTGGGGATGAATTATTTACAGGCCCCTGGGACGCTGGAGCTAAGGGGGAAGTCCAGGCTCCTATAACAGGTGTCTGCTGAGGGGCGGGCCACTCCCAGCCACCTAATAAGTAATCCTCTGGGCCAGATGCCAGTGTGAATGGGTGGGAGGGAGAATGGGGAGCCCCCTCAGCTCTTCAGGGGTGAGCACAGAGGGGAAGAGCCTTGGGTAACTCACCGAAATGGGAGGCTTTCTCTCTCCAGTTTTGGGATGCGCAGAATGTCCCATCCATGTGGATTAGGCCACCATGAGAGGTAGCAAACTCCCGTCCCCTAATGCATGCACGGTACAGGCCAATGGCTCCCAGTGCCTGACCAGCAGCCTTGGAACTGCCTGGGAAGCTTTTTCACAGTGCAGATTCTGGCCCCAGAAATTCAAATTTAGTGGCGCTAGAATGGGTCTCAAAATTTGGTACTTGAATAGTTTTCCAGGTGACCCTAACGTGTGGTTGGTTGGGCTTTAGCTCCATAATTACTCCTCTCTGTCCTGGCAAGGCTGCCGGTGAAGACCTGGCCCACAGACCTTGTCACCCTTCTCTGGGCTCTGGAGAGGGGCTGTGGAGCCCAACAGAGGTACACTCTGTGACTCCAGAGGTGTCTCGGGGCAGTCAGGAGTTCCAGCCCAGAGCTCCTGGATGTCATTAAAACTAAACCTCTGGGGTTGTGGAGTGCAGCTGCTCACTGGCTGGGTAACCTAGGACAGTCTCCCCACCTCTCTGAGCCTCATTTTCTGTATTTGTAAAATGGGGAAAATTAATATTCTAATAATAGCCAACACATCCATGTGCTGGGCCCTTTGTATACATCTCTCAATGACCCGTGGAGTTGGGCAACTATCACTCTATTTTACAGATGAGAAAACTCAGGGTCAGAGAGGACCACGCATCAGGCAGGTGGGATTCAAAACCAGGTCTATCTGGCCTCAGAAACAGCAGTAGAACCTATCAATCAAATGGTACAAGGTTTCTTGTAGTTCTCTCCAACCCTGCGGCATACAGGGGCTCACTTGAGATAGATGGACAATGTCTAGCATGCAGGAGGTGCATGGGGAAGGGCAGATCTTACTCATTTCCAACAGTTGTGGGATGACCATCTGGCAGGAATGCCAGGGAATGGATCTGTGCAATGGGCGGTCTGCTAGAAATGACCGTTTACTTATAAGGTCCCTTCCAACTTGGAAACGTGAACCTCCCAATGTTTGTTGATTCTCTGATTGTGTTTGTTATTGTAGCTGAAAGAATTCTAAGACCAATTTCAGTCTGAGAGTCTAGACACTGGGCCTGCCCGGGGGGAGGATGGGGACAGGAGCCACAGTGGCCTGCAGTGGGGGCTCCCCATCCAGCCTGGGCCAGGCAAGGACAGAGTGTGGCCTCTGCTCCAGCACAATCAAATGGCCCCTAGGTCAGCACTTCCTTTGCCCTCTTCCTGCCGGGTGTGTGGCCCTGGTGGATGACCAGCTTTGGCCCCCCAAGGCCTGGACCACAAATCCAGCTCTGAAAACCTTTGTGACTCCTCCCTGGGTGGTCCAGCCCCAGCTGGCTGTGCTTCAAGATCCTAACCCCAACACACACATGCAAACAGGCATGCACGTCTGTACACACAAGGGCTTGCTGAAAATGCAGATTCCCAGGCCCCACTCCAGATCTACCACATCCTAATTTCTCTGTCATCTTTAACGAGGCCCCTGTGGATTCTAAACCACCAGCTAAAGTCAGTGGGTCCTGGTCCCAGTTCCATGCCATCTGTGTGGCCTAGAATTAGTTCCTCCTCTCCTCTGGGCATTGGTTTAGCCTGTGCACCAGTCCAAGTGCCCTCGAGACTCTGCAGTTTTGAGCCCTTTGTGCAGCTTTGAGCCTTCCCTTAAAGATCAGACCTCCTGGCCCCCCCTGCCACCTTGCTGCCTGCCACCCCAGGCAACCCCCACAGGGAGCACCTGCCCCACACGCCCTCCAGCCAAGTCCCTCAGAGACCCACACTGCATGCAGCAACAGGCGATGGGGAGCTCACCCGTGTCTGTGATGCCAGCCTAGGAATGACAAACGAAGGGCATAGGGCTTTTGGCAGGAGGGGGCTCAGGGGAGGTGGGAATAGGGTAGCCATAGAATGCTACTGCAAAGAGCCCCCTTTTCCAAGATAAGGAAGCAAGTCCAGAGAGCTTATAGGTCACTTGCTGTGGATGACTGCAAGGCCAATAGGCAAAGGAAAGGGTGGGAAAGAGGGGCTCAGGAGGACTGATCTCACCCCAGATAATACTTGTAGGAGCGCTGCAAGGGTGGCAGGCTGTGGGCCAGCTCAGAGGTGGTGGCACTTCTGGTGAGGGGCCTAAATTGTAGCAGCGTCACACTCTACTGAGGTTTGGGAAAGGCTGGGTGTTTGGGGCGAGCTTCTAGACCTTGCCTGGTGGCAGAGACCTGGACTGTGGTCCAGCCTGGTCATCTTAGTTGAAGGACTTGACAAGTGACTGAATTTCCCTGGGCTTTCCTTCCCCTGCCTGGGGAACAGAATGGCTGTGAGAGCAGTCTGGAAAGGGTAAAAAGCTATGGAGACAAAAAGGAGAAAACAGCTATTTGCAGAAGTGAGCATGTTGGTGGAGTCCCTCGTGAGAGAGAGGAATGTCGCCTAATGGGGAGCCATAGGGCCAAGAACACACTGACCTGGGAGTGGGGAG
This sequence comes from Homo sapiens, assembly GCF_000001405.40. NCBI lineage: Eukaryota > Metazoa > Chordata > Mammalia > Primates > Hominidae > Homo > Homo sapiens. The sequence goes on along the minus strand of NC_000005.10, from coordinate 150,175,796 downwards.
ATCTGGCCGGCCCACCAGCTGGACATGTGATCCCTTATTTGGGCCTGTTTCCCCATCTGTACCACCAGGGGGAGGGCTCTCCACTGTGCCCTAACCTCACCAGCTCTACAATGGATGGATACCCTTCCTGGGACATCAGGCTTTCTGCCTGACCCACAGTTGGGTCCTTGTCTTGGCTGATCTGGCAGTCCCCGGCTGCTAATATCATGGTTCCTCACTCAAGCCCTGAGCAGGGATGAAGCTGGCATGGGAGCGGGGAAAGGGGGACAATGGCCAGGCCAGCCATTTTGGGAGTCCTACAGCCTTAGCCAGATTCTCCTCCCCACTGTCACCCTCCTTCCTAGTTAGAGTTCTTCATCATCTCTGCACCCTCCTCCTCCAGGGCCACCTTTGCATCATCTGCTGCCCTATCTTCTTCATCAAGGTCCACAATCTGACCCAGCTTTGGGAGGTAACAAAGAGGAAGGGACTTTAGAGTCAGACAGAGACCGGTGGCTCTCCCCCAGTCTGGCCATGTGCCAGTGGTATGTCCCCAGGCAAGTTGCTGGACCTCTTTGAGTTTCAGTTTATTTATCTTTAAAATGAAGACATGAATACTTTCTTTATATGGTAGTTATGGAGACCAAAGTAATAACCTACTTAACAAAGTACTTATTAATAAAAACTATGATGATGATGATGATACTACAGAGACAAAGAAGCTGAAAGAGGCAGGAGAGAGGCCAGGCGAGGTGGCTCATGCCTGTAATCCCAGCACTTTGGGAGGCTGAGGTGGGTGGATCACCTGAGGTCAGGAGTTCGAGACCAGCCTGACCAACATGATGAAACTCTGTCTCTACTAAAAATACAATAATTAGCTGGGCGTGGTGGCGTGTGCCTGTAATCCCAGCTACTCTGGAGGCTGAGGCAGGAGAATCGCTTGAATCCAGGAGGCGGACGTTGCAGTGAGCCGAGATTGCGCCATTGCAGTCCAGCCTGGGCGACAAGAGCAAAACTCCATCTCAGGAAAAAAAAAAAAAAGGCAGGAGAGATTCCTCAATGCAAGAACAAGGAGCTTATGCAGAATGGATTTCCATTCTGGGAACTCTTGAGAGAGATTTTTCTGCACTGTCCAATATGACAGCAACTAGCCACATTAATTAAATAAAATATAAAATTCTGTTTCTCAGTCACACTAGCTGTATTTCAAGTGTTCAACAGCCATGTGCAGCTGGTGGCTGCCTACTGGACAGCACAGATACAGAGCATTTCCATCCTGGCGGAAAGTCCTACTGGACAAACGCTGCTAGATCAAACTCCTACCAGGGTCCGGACGCCCACACTGCAGCACACGCCTACTAGCTGCAAAGCAGCCAGTTCTTGCATCTGCCACCCATTTATATCCTTCCTGAGTTTTTCCACAGGGGCACCCTGAGCCCAAGACAGCCATTTAAGATTTACAAACAGCAACTGCATCCCTTCAGGTCTTCTCTGAGGCCGAAGAACTTGAGGCCTCTCTGAACTGTTTCCTGGTGGAGTTTCCAGGCCACTGCCCCCCTGGCCATCTTCCACTAGACTAGTCTGAGAGTGAAGCCCTTGCTACTCCACTGTAGGTGTGGCTCCCGAAGTCTCACGTTCGAGGTGGGGCTGCAGTGAGGGGCTCTGCCTCCAGCCCCTTCCTACCCCTAGCTGGCTGTGTGACCTTGGTGAAGACCCTCCCCTTAGGCCTTGGCTCCCTGAATGCTCTTTGAGGGTAGGGCCATGCCATTTAGCTCACCAGCACCTATCACGTGCCTGACACACACAGTGAGTACTTGATGAATCCTTGGTGAATACATAAAACAAACCTGCTACTTCCTCTGCTTCTTTAACTCAATAAACAGCACCTCCATCCTCCAGCCATTCAGATCAAAAGCCAAGGTGGCACCTCTCAGTCCTGTCTCCCTTGCTCCCCAAGTCCACTCCAGCAGCTGGTGGCTCAGCCTCCAAAGCACAGCCTTCTGTCCATCTCCATTGCTCCTAAAGCTTAGTCCAGCCACTCATTTGATGGAGAAGAAATGTGCTGTTCCGGGGACAGAAATCTTGCATTTGAAAAAATGCTGAACACACTGAGCACCCAATAGATGCTGGTTCGCATTATGATTACCATAATAACTGCTTAGTACTTATTTGATAAATAGTTCATTATCTCCTTCATGGCAGGGGAGGTAGATTAAAAACAAACAAATGAAATAATGACAAACTGGGATTAGCAGCAGGAAGGAAAGTGAGCAATGAGCTAAACCGACTGGTGAGGTGAGGGGAAGAACGCTACTTTACTTAGCTGGGGGAGGTCTCCAGGAACAGGCCACATTTAAGCCAAGACCTGAGGTTGAGAAGGAGGCTTCCATGTCATGAACAGGGAAAGACATTCCAGGGAGAGTGAGCAGTAGGTACAAAGGCCCCCAGGCAGGGAGGAGCAGAGTGAGGGCAGAGAGGGCAGCTCTCTGCATGCAGGTGGACCCGTCTGCCTTGTTCAGGCCATCATCTCCAATGCCTAGGAGCAAGTTCAGGACAGAAGACACTCACTCAGAGAATATTACTGCTTGCCTGCTTGAATGAATGAATGAATGAGAGAGGCACAAGATGGGGCTGGAGAGGCCAGCAGATTCTGTAGGAGAGGGATATGGATTTGGTTTCAAGAACAAAAGGAAGCCATGGGAGGGTGTGGAGCCTAGCTTGCTCCCTCTTTCTGTTGATGGGGGGGATCCATGTGGGGTGCCCCCACAAGCCTGAGGGGTGAGCGTGGCATGGGGAGGGTCTGGCATGCTAACATGGTGACGGCCTTGACTCCAGATGTGAATGTTGTTTCCATATCCCAGGAGCTCCAACACAAAAACCTGAGAGGCCGGCCCATTAAGATAACTTCCTATGGACACACCAGACCCTGCTGCTAACAAACCATTTTGGACCTTCACAATGATTCCCCAAGCTCTGAGCAGCAATATCTGCCAAAGCAGCAGGGAGAAAACACCCAACCAAAAAAAAGCCTTCTGCCACCTTCTAACTGGGTCATTCCCTTTCCCAGCTATATCTGAGCGATGAGGTGTCAAATGTAGCTTCTGCCTGGAGAATCGGTTCTAAACAGCCAGGCCCCTGCTGGGCCCCCTCCTCCCCCAGCCTCTTACAGTACATCCCCTGCCTGGCCTCCTTTCCCCCCAACCTGGCTGGGATGCCCATGGGGAAGGGGGGGTCTCAGGCTCCCCTTCGTGAGTGTGTCTTTATTTCACAGACGATTGCTGGGCTGTAGACTGGGTGTAAACACTGTGCTGCCATGTCCTAGCTGTATGAGCTTGGGCAGGCCACCTTACCCTCTCTGAGCCTCATTATCCTGATCTATAAAATGAGTATACTAGATCCTTACACCACTCAGGGCTATCATGAGACTTAAGTGAGATCACCCATGCAAAGTTATTGGCACAGTGCCTGGCACACAGTAAAGATTTAGCCAATGCCACAGTTATTTGCTTTATCACGAGCTCTTACTATGTGCAAGACAGGGTGAGGATGGGACTGATTAGGACTGGTCCTTGAGGGACTACAGATGGTCAGTGGCAGGGATAAACAAGACAATGAAAGTAGACAGGCAGTGGTAAGTGTCATGAAAACAAGGGCCTGATACAGTGCTTGGGAGGAGGAATCAGGGAGGGCTTCCTACAGGAGACAGCCTCGGAGAAGGAGCAGCATTTGAGCTGGTGAAGATGCAGGAGAGGGAAGGGAGGGCAATGCAGGCCGAGGGACCAGACTAGAGAGGCTGGGAGTGTGAGGTGTGTGCTCCAGTGCACCTGCTGAGGACTGGTAGAGGTGGTCACAGGCACCGATGCCCTAAGCACCTACTGTGTGCCAGCGGCAGGGCGGTGCTTTACAGGCATCTCTTCTGAGATGCAATCCTATTATTATCCTGTTACAGCAGAAGCAGCCCAGGCTCCGAGAAATGATCCAAATTAACTTGTCCGAAGCTATACAGCTTCTTATGGAAATGCAATCCCAGCTCTGAGACTCCCAAGCCCTGGCTCTTAACTTGCCTTATCTAGGCAAAGTAGCAGGAGAATGGCTTCAATAGATGGTTGAGGCCAGTTCTCAAGAAGGCTCTGATTGCCATAGAAATGGAGCTGGATTTTACAACAAAGAAATGGCATAAAAGGCCGGACACGGTGGCTCACGCCTGTAATCCCAGCACTTGGGGAGGCCGAGGCGGGCGGATCACGAGGTCAGGAGATCGAGACCATCCTGGCTAACACGGTGAAACCCCGTCTCTACTAAAAATACAAAAAAATTAGCCGGGCATGACAGCGTGCGCTTGTAGTCCCAGCTGCTGGGGAAGCTGAGGCAGCAGAATGGCGTGAACCTGGGAGGCGGAGCTTGCAGTGAGCCGAGATCGCACCACTGTACTCCAGCGTGGGTGACATAGCAAGATTCTGTCTCAAAAAAAAGAAAAAAGAAATGGCATAAAATGAAATGGCAATTCCATGTCAGTAGGGAGCCACAGAATGCTCTTGAGCAGGGCATGTGCCTTGAGAAGGTAAATATGGCAATGGTTTTAGAAGATAGCTGGAGCAGTACAGAAAGGCTGAAGGTGAGACAGCAGGTTGGTGGCTGTGGCAATGGGCCAAGGGAGAGGACCTGCAATGTGGGGGGAGGGGAGGATTCATATCCTTCATGGGCCTCAGTTTCCCCATCTGAAAGTTGACAGGGTTGGACCAAGATCTAAACCTTGCTCCCACAGTCTCATCCACGTGAACATCTCCCCAGTCCTGAGACCTCAGCCACCCCAATGGGCCATTAACCTGTGGAGCAGCTTTATTCAAAGGAATTGGAGGCTGAGCCTTCCACGGAAGGATGATGCGTAACCATCCTAATGAAAATGATGATATTTAAAACCCTCCTCATGAAAATGCAAAGAGAAAAGGAAAAAAAAAGAACGTCTTGTAGTCATTTCCTATCCTGGCCTCAGTCAAATGATGCTGATCACTCATAACTGATTAATATTGTCTTTTGGAATCGGAGACTGATTGAAGCCCAACAGCCTCTCTCTCATCTTTCCCATTGTCACTGCCCCCTCCTTAGAAGAAACTGAAGTCTTAGTCCCAGCCTCAGCAACCCCACTTCCCCAGGTGAGTTGGGGTACCATCCAAGTGGAGAGACAGAGGCAGCCAGGTTTCCATTGACCTGAACTGCTTGGCTTGACAGTCACAGGTCCCAATCCTAGGGCTGGGACCTCAGAAACCTGTGTGAAAGCCAAGATCTCACCCACTCCCCTGTTCCCCAGAGATGCCTTTTGTCCCTCACACTTGCCCTGTTCATTCACTCAACAAAATATATTGAGCACCTACTAAATGCCATGCACTGAGCTGGGTGCCAGGATGCAGTAGTGGGTTAAGCAGACATAGTTCTGGACCTCACGGGAATGGACAACATACAAACAAGTGTAAGGAAGTGAGTAGATTGGAATTAGTGCTCTGAAGGAAACACAGCAAAGATTCGTGATGGGTGTAGTGGGGAGTCCACTTTGGGAAATGATGGAGGGCTTCACAGAGGAGGTGATGATGAAACTAAGATCTGAAGGGTAAGAAGGTTCCACTCTTGCAAAGAATCAGGGGAAAGAGCTTTCCTGGAAGAGAGAACAGCATGTGCACAAGATCTGCAGTAGGACTTGGCAGGTCTGAGGAACTAAAAGAAGTCTGGAATGGCTAGAGCTTGGAAGCCAAGGTGAGAGCAGCCGGGGATGAGGTCAGGGAGGCAGGCAGGTGCAAATGCTGTAGTCTTGTAGACCTCAGGAAGGAATGTGGGGTTTATCCTACATATGATGGGAAACCATAGGAAAATTCTAAACCAATTCTTCTGACATCTAGCCCAGCTCAGCCCCGCTTGTGTGAAACTGGAACATTCTTCACAGTCTCTGTACCTTGGTTCCCTCGTCTACATGTGTGGTCTCTAACTGTCCAGTTTGTCCACTCTCGAATGCTGGAGGCTCAGAAGTGGGGCAAAAGGGGGCTAGCCAGGATTGGTGGCAGGCTGAAGACCTGGTGGCCAGTGCCAGTGGGGATTAGGAGGGCAGTGGCATGCACTGATCCTCCTTCAGCTGTCCTGGACAGCAGCATTGCACAGGAAGCACCCCTGGAAACCCTATGCCTTCATTGCCCAGAAGGAGAAACTGAGGCCAAAGACAGGAGGGGCTTGGCCTCTCTCTCAGGGAGAGTCAACAGTGCCAACCCAATTCTGCCCCCACTTCAGGAGCACTGAATAGACAGTCAGATGCCCTGGGAAGACAGGCAGCACCTTCTGGCTTCAAGAAGGTCAGGGTTCCTGCATCCTCTGCGGAAGAGGGCTAACCTGGCTCCAGGGAAGTCCCTTTCCTGGAGCCTTGGGAACCCCCAGACCTCCTTCTGCCTTTCCCTCTACTCTCGGAGAGCAAGGAGGGGGAAATGCTTTTTTGCCTGGGGTAGACTCATCTGCCTGCAGACAACAGTTTTCAAGCGACTTTTGAGACCAGAGGATGAGCCAGGTTCAGCAGCTCTCGTGCCCAGAGACACGAGGTGATTTGTATGGAAGCTCCTGGAAACTCCTCCAGGATACCCAGTCCCCTGACCCCCACTGACACACTCCTTTTCCCTTACACAGTGATGGCCTCTCTCCAAGTCCCTACCCATAGGGAACCTCCCCATTCATCTCCAAAGTCACCCCATGAGCAGGAAGCAGAAAGTGGAACACAGGAGCAGGAAACACAGGCTTCCTTCTCCAGAGCCTCACAGACTGGGAACTGCAGGATCCTGAGCACTGGTGCTGCCACCACCTCCTCTCATAGAACACAGGGTTCTTAACCCCGGATTTATGGATAAAGCTTCTGGTAGCCTCCAGAACCCCTGAAATTGCCCAATGATGCAACATTTGTACCTTTCAGCAGATTTTTCAAAGGAGTCCTTTTGTAACTTAAACAAGGGTACAAACCACTGCATAATCTCCCTTCTCTCTAATTTCACAGACAGTAGAACTGAAACCCAGAAAAGATGACTGATTTAAGAGGAGCTGTTGTGTAGAGAATTAGAGCACAGACTTAGTGGTTAGTCCACCTGGGTTCAAATCCCAGCCCCACTAGTTACAGGTTATATGGCCTTGGGCAAGTACTTAAACTCTCTATGCCATAGTTTCTTCATCTTAAAATGGGGGTGATAATAGTACCTACGATGATGTTTTAAGAGTTAAAGGAGTTAATGCATGCAAGATCTTACTTAGGTCATGCCTGGTCCGTTAGTTAAGTGTTCCAAAACATTAGCTGTTATTTAATCAAGGCCACAGAAGCAAGTGGCAGAGTCTGGTTCCCTGCATCTCCCTGGAGGCAGATAGGAGGTTATGTATCCCCGGGACTTCCAAAAAGGGGATATGATTATGGCCAGAACCCGTAGCTCCTGATCAAGGCCAACCCAGCATCTGCCCCGAGGCAAGCTGGGTGTGTGTGGGGAGATGGGGGTGAAGAGTGCGAGGAGGTGGGAGAAGTCCCAGGATTATTCGCAGCTGGGGTAAGGGGAGGAGGGGCTGGACATCAAAGGGTGGGCAGGCCAGCTTCCCGCCCCCAAGGCTAGGTGGCCTTTGTCAGGACAGGCCGGACACAGTCCGGACAATGGAACGTCGTGTTCACTTTCCGGCCAACAGGAGTCACTACCGAGCCAAGGCAGAGCCAGTTGCATGACAAAGGGGGGACCCATAACGGAGGTCAAGCCGCCCCTCATTAAAGTTGGGCCCTTTGTCCTGCCCCCTACCCTGCCTTTGAAGAGGGCGGATCAGAGAGGCCTGCCTGGGGGCAGGAGGTTCACAGGCTCAGGAGCCAAACAGTAGCCCCCCTTCCCACTGCTCCCGCTTCCCCTCCCCCGGGGTCAAGAGTTCAGGGAGGACCCTGAGAAGGTAAGGTACAGACCCCTTGCCCCAGTCTGGCCAAAGAGGGCTCTTTTTCAGCCTGAAGGATATGACCCAGCAATGTCTTGACTGTGTGATGGGGAGACCCAGCCCTGGCCAGGAAAGTCACCTGCCCTGTTCACACAGTTAGTTAATCGTCCCTTCTGGGGCGAACCTGCCGCCTTTGCCTAGGGCTGGGTTAGGAGTGGAAGAAGCAGATGAAGAGCACGGAGTCGGTGTTGCTAAATGAGTGTGGGACACGAGTCTGGGAGCCTGCGTTCTAGTTCGGGTCTTGCTCCGCGGCCGCAGGCGCATTTCCGCACTTCGCAGGGGGTCTCGGTTTCCCTATCTGTACAGAGAGAGGGTTAGGCTGTGCTGCTGAAGGCTCCGATAGCCTGAGACTGAGGAGAGGGAGCCAAAGAGCAGCCCCCCAGGGCGAGAGTGGACAGGAGGGCCACACTCCCGGGAACCCGAGCAGGGCCGGAGCAGAGGTCAGACAGGGGGCGGCCTGGGCCGCGCCCGAGCACCTGCAGGTCCAGAGGCGCAGGGCGAGGGAAGGGTCCTTACCGCTGCCACCGCCGCCTCCGGCCGCCACGCTGCGCCGCATCCACTCGTAGGGCGTCGGCCTCTGCGCTCCGGGCGAGGACGGTGTGCCCGGGCCCCCGAGGGGCTGCGCCAGGAGGCCCGGGCCGGGCCCAGGGGGCGCCGGCACCGGGCTAAAGTCTGGAGGGGGCCCGAATGCCAGCGAAGCTGGGCTGGCGGCAGGGGCCGCGGGGCCCGGGCCGTAGGCGGCGGCCCAGTCGTCCTTGGGCGCAGGGAAGGGCGCCCCCCAGGCCGTCGGGGGCGCGGGGGCCGGCTCCACGTGAGAGTAGCTGGAGAAGTCGGGGTACTGCGGGGGCGCCGGGGGCGGGGCCGGGGGGCCGTAGGCTTGCGGGCCCAGGCCGAGGCTGGCTGGCCTGGCTGGGCCGGGGTACACGGGCGAATCCTTGTCCAGCACATAGCCCACATACATGGTGGCCGCGGGGTCCCCCGCGCATGCTGGGCCCTGGAGCCGCCGCTGCCGGCCGCCCCGACGACGAGCAACCGCTCACCTGAACTCGGCTGTCCTGCCGCCGCGCCCGCCCCACCCAGGCCTTTTATAGCTCCGGGCCGCCCGCGGCCCCAGCCGAGGCGGGTTTGCATTTCAAAGCGGGGGGAAGCCTCCGGGCCGCGAATCAAAGGGGGAAACCCGTCGGGGGCGGGGGGTTCAAAAGGAGACAAATTGCCGCCCCAAGCGGGAGGTGGACTGGCCAGGGCCTGGAGGGGGTGGGGGCGCGGAGGGCGCGTCTTGGGCGAGGGTCGAGGCCGCGCTGCGAGTGGGAATCGCTTGCCAGGGAGCGGCCTAGCGGCCTGAACACCTTGTCCTTCCGGTGGCCGCGTGGACGGCCCTGCAGCCCCATTTTACAGGCGGAGGAACAAGCTCCCAGGGGCCGGGGGATTCTAGGCCAACTTCACACAGTGACCAGCTTGAGGTGAGGGGCAACGCAGACTTCAAACAGGGCTCCGGTCTGTAGGATCGCAGGTCCTTAATCTTTTGGCGGGGAGGGGTCACGACCCCTCTCGTCATGGAAGCTGTGGATGTTTTTCCCTGGGGAAATGCACATATGCACATACATACACGAGTCTTCCTTACAGTTGGGGGACTGCCTGGGTTGGCCTTCTAGAGAAAGTTCTCAAAAGGCAGTGTGTGTGTGGGTGTGTGTGTGTGTGAGTTAGGGGGGTCTTCTGGGGACATTACAGGAAACTTTTAGTAAATTATCTTGATGACTCTCTACCCTCTTTTTTTAATTGAGAGGTTTCAAGCATACACAAAAGTAGAATTGTATAATGAACTGCTGTGTACCCATCACCCCGCTTCAACAACTATTAAGGTTTTGTCACACTTATTTCACCTACTCCCCGCTTTTCTGAAGTATTTTAAAACAAATTCCAGACATCATGTCATTTTACCCCTACATACTTCAGCACGCATCTCTAAAACACATGGACATTTTCTTACATAATATGCCATTATCACATCTAGCAAAATTAACACAAATTCCTGGGTATTACCTAACACACAGTTCGTATTCAAAGTACTCCAATTGATTCAAAAATGTCTTTTTAGCAGTCTGTTTGTGTGAATCGGGATCCAAAAGCCCTGATCCATTTATTATGGCTGGAGCCCCCTTGGGATTTTAAATGCATCACGTGTTCCTCCACTCCATATGAAGGACTGGCAAACATTTCATAGCTACCTAAGGGGGAGTGGGGGCTGGGAACACTTGAGGGGGTGTCAGTGAACTGGGAGTGGGGACAAGGCTGAGGGATTTGGGGAAGGGTGCATGAAGGACAGGGCTCTGGGTCAGGAAGTCAGATGGGGTCCCTCCGCACAAGGGCTTTGTGCCAGGGAGCTGTGCAGAAGCACCCTGTGGGATTGGATGGGCCCACATTTCCTGGGTTCCTCTCATTGTGCAGGGATGTGTGGTCCCCAGAAGAAGGTCAGAATCAGGGTCTTATCTGTTCAACCCGTCTCTCTCTTGGGTCACCATATTAGCCGGGGGCTGGTCAGTATCATCTCAGGGCTGGGCAGATGTTTCGGGATCAGGACATAATTTGCAGGGCCGGGAGCAAAATAAAAAATATAAGGTCCCTTGTTCAAAAATGATTAAGGATTTCAGGATGGTGGCAGCAGAGCATTCACCTGAGCCCGGGGCCCTTCCACACACTGGGCTCTGTGTGACTGCAATGGTGACCCGCCTGGGAAGCTGGCCCTGGTGAGACTCTTGCTCTTCTGGGGCTCTGATATGTGATAGAGCCAGAGACTCAGCCAGCACAGGGCTCCCTCCGCTTCCTGCTCAGAGGAACCCTTTCCATTGCACAGGTAGAAGCATTGAGGCTCAGAAAGGAAAGGAGTAATGCCCAGTGTTTGCTGCAACATGAAGGCTGCTTGTAGGAGAGGGGAAGGGAAATCCTGGCTGTTGCTGACCGGGCGGAGCCCTTGGCTACCTTGCAGGAGCACATGGCTGTCCACATGTGTGTGGATCAGCACATGACACAGATGAGCACATGGCTGCCTCAGCAGGGAAGATCCCACTTTCCCAGGTCAGGAAGTGGATGCGGTGCTGAAATGTTTCTCTGGAGCTCTGGGCTCTGCTTAGGACTCAAGTTTTCAAGGGATTGGTGGGAAACTGGCAAGTACACAGAGGAGGGAGAAGAGGCCCAAGAGGACTGAACTCCACTTTCTGAGCTGAGAGAACTGGGACTGCTTGGACTGAAGGAAGAGAAAACCTGGAGTGGGGTCTGAGTCTGGGGAGGAAGACAGGGCAGACTTGGGACCTCAGGGAGGAAACTGCAGGCTACAGATGTGGATTTCAGCCCACCCATACGTAAGAAAGTGCTCTGTAAGGGGCCATCTGTCAGGAAATGGGCTGTCATGAGAGAGAGTGAGCTCATGATCACAGGAGGTATGTAAGTGAGTGCTGGAGGTCAGTCTCACGTTAGGGATGCTGGGGGAAAGGATGCCTATCCCGGGGGAAGGGTGCTCTCTAAGTGCCCTCTAGTTTCAAGAGTATGCTCTGTCAGGCCTAAATGGTAGGCTTAAAGGTTGGAAATAGGCATACAAATTCATTTCTTTATGTATGTATTTATTTGAAAAATATATATTATTAACACACCTCCTTTGTGCTGACACTATGTTAGGTACTGAGTGAGGCCCTGCCCTTGCAGTAATTACAGTTGGGGTCTGGCGGGGGTGGACAGGTATGAATCAAATAATCACAAATAAAGGTAAAGTTACATCTTGGCAAGGGCCAGGAATAGGGAGATTTGACCCAGAGGGAGGAGTCAGGGAAGACTTGCAGGAGGAAGTGACACGTGAGTCAAGGCCCTGGGGAGTGGGGAAGGGCGGCAGGGGTCAAGGGTCAGTATGAACAGAGGCCCTGAGGCCCGAGGGGACACTTGTTCCCTTAGCACTTAAAGGCCAGTCTGGAGTGGTAGGGGCAAGAGAGGAGTCCGGCAAGGGGCAGAGCAGGCCCTGGTGGGACAAGCCTGATGAGGGTGTGGAAGGGTATTATCTAGGGGTAGAGTGGCGGAGGGCAGTGGCGGGAAGACAGCTGTGGCTGGTGTGTGGAGAATGAGCCAGAGGAGAGGCGGGGCGCCAGAGAGCAGCAGGAAGCCGGGAAGGGGTCCAGGAGTGGTGGAGATGGTGGCCAGAACTAGGTGGTGGCTGAGAGATGGGGGCCAAAGCGGCAGTCCCTTCCCAGCGGAGCAAAGTCTGTTGTCCTGATCAGGCAGAGGGCAGAGCCAGGGACCCGCACGACCTGGGGAGCCCCTCCAGCTGCTCTGTGGTCCCCTTAGTAGTGTGCCCTCCCAGGGTGGATGTCCCTCCCACTCCACGGACACATCCTGGATTGGGCCCCCACACTTCTGTGGATTCCCCTGTACTAGGCTTTCTGACTCCTAGCTCAGTTCTCTCTGAGATTTCAGGGTTTGGCCCTTGACATTTTGCTGGAGTAATAATAACAACAACAATAGCACTGCTGTGTATTAAGCATTTACTAAGTGCCAGGCATCATCCCAAGCCCTTTGCATGTGTTATCTCAGTTCCTCCTCACAGCAGCACAACGAGGTGGGGTTGATTGTTAGCCCCATTTTGCAGGGAGGAAGCTGGAGCTCAGAGAAGCAAAGTCATCTGCCTGAAGTCACACAGAAGTCAATATCCTAGCTGGAAGGTTTTTTTTATCTTTCTTTTTTTTTTTTTTTGAGACAGAGTTTTGCTATTGTTGCCCAGGCTGGAGTGCAGTGGAGCAATCTCGGCTCACTGCAGCCTCCGCTTCCCGGGTTCAAGCGATTGTCCTGCCTCAGCCTCCTGAGTAGGTGGGATTACAGGTGCCCGCCACCACGCCCGGCTAATTTTGTATTTTTAGTAGAGATGGGGTTTCTCCATGTTGGTCAGGCTGGTCTCGAACTCCTGACCTCAGGTGATCCACCCGCCTTGGCCTCCCAAAGTGCTGGGATTACAGGCGTGAGCCACCGTGCCGGGCCAAAGTTTCTCTTTCTTCTACATCTGGCCCCCGCTGCCAGGATAGCGAGCTGTGTGTGCCTCCCTGCCCCCTAGTTTGTTAGTTGGGATTTTGCTTAAACAAATAGCTGGTTCCTCTTCCTCCTCTGATTTCTTCATGCAAAAAAGCCTCTGCTCTCCCTTTGCCCTCAACCCTAGGTGGACCCCCTGTAGAAGTCCTGAGCCAGCCCCGATGTGGCATCCCCAGTTTCCCCCCAACCAGGACACTGTAACCTTGTTTAAATGACCCAGGCTGGGAGTCTGAAATTGCAGGTCTTCCCACCTTGGCTTCTGACTCGCCTTGTGACCCTGAGCCCCTGGGCCTCAGTCTCCCCCTGTGCTCTCTGGGACTGGGATAGCAGTCCAGCATGGCTCTGTGCGTGGAGAAGGCCCTGTCTACCCTGTCCTGTGGGCAGCCTCTTCCTCTCTGATATCGCCTGCCCCTAGGAGTGGCTGTTTATTGGACCCCTCCTTCCTCTGGCTCCTGGGTAGGCCCCTCTTCCCCCTGGAAGCCCTCCCTCCAGGCTGCTCTCACACACCCAGCCAGGGCCTCCTGGGGTGGGGCACAGAGCTGATGGCCTCATAAAGATCTTAGTGATAACTTGGTTTTTCAATCAGGTTTATGGCCCTAGAAGAGAAAAGTTTCTGGGCTCAGCTTTCTGTTGCAAATAGTTTGCCTAAGAGAAGCTGGTGGGCACCAGGGCCAGTGTTAGGCCCACTGCACTGCACTGCCAGCCTCTTGAAGCTCTCTCTGGACTGTAGTCCAAGGGCTTTGGATGGGGGGCCCATCCCAGCCAAGCCTTAGTCTCGCTCTGTGACCTTGGACACATTAACTCCCCTCTCTGAGTCCCTGCTTCCACCTCAGAATCGGGGATCTTAATTCCTGCCCTGCCCACCTCCAGGTAGGGACAGATGCGGGGGACTCCTGTGAGGCATCTTTGCCTTCCAGAGGCCTCTCTCCTCCCAACACCTTTCTTCTCCTCCTACCCCTCCAGGGGCTGGGGCCGCCACCTGCTGGCACTCCTGGGTACTGCTGGAGGACTCGCCGTACTGTTGCCTTGTCTCAGTAATGCCCGGATGCCACTGATTATCCTAGGGAAACAGAGGGGTAGGGAAGGGTGGCAGTCCCCAGGACACAGACACTTAGGTAGTAGAGGGGATGCTAGAACCAGAGGCCCAGGGCATAGATGTCCTTATCAGAGAAGCACTGTGTCTGACCCACCGTGCTGAGGAGGGTACAGAGGCCAGGGAAGGAAAAAGGCCATACTGTGAGTCAAGTGGCCAGGCACAGGCTGGGACACAGAAGCCCAAACTCCCTGTTGAGATGCATTCCTGCAGCCTCTCAGGTGGATAAAGAGTTGGGGGCAGCACGGAGTACGGGTGTGTGTGTGTGCAGTGTTCAGTCCATGATCGGCCACTGCAGCCTCCACACTCGTCCCATGCCTCCCTCCTGCCCCCTTTCGTCCATCCTCCACAGTGCACTTGGGTGACCTGGTCTCATCAGTCCCCTGTTTAAAATCCTGCAGTGGCCCCTACTGACCCTCAGGATAAAAGTCAGACTCCCTCGAGCCCACAAAGCCCTGATGCCTGGCCACTGACCACCTCTCCAATCTTCCATCCCACTGCCGGCTCTCTGCCTCAACCATTCTTTTCTCTTTGTTCGAACCCATCAAGATCTCTCTGGCCTCCAAGCTTTTGCAGATGCTTTTCCCCCTGCCTCGAACACTGTTCCTACTCCTGAATGTGTGTGGCCTCACAGGCCTGCTTCCTCCCCACAGAAGCCCTATTGTACCTGAACAAGAACTCCCATCCACCCAGCTCATTATTCTCTTTGTCTCTTTCATCACACTCATCACAATTTGATATTATTAATTTGTGGTTTCCTCGGTGTTTGCTTGTGAACTCTGTGAGGACAGGAGGACAGGGCACATAGTAGGTCCTCAATTAACTTCTATCGCATGGATGGATGGTTGGAGGAACAGTTATCTTAGTGATAACTGGGTGTTAGATGGAGAGGCCCCACCCTAGGCCTGCTGTGTGCCCTCAAAAAAGTTCTGGTGCTCTCCAGACCTTAGGAGCCAGTGTATTCAGTGAGGGTGAGGGCCCTGCTCTTCTGGGGATCTATGAGCCATCTGCGTGTACCAGATGGACACACTCAAGTTGCCCACGGTCCTGGGGCTGAGAGGGAGGCCAGCAAGGGGGCAAGGAGAGGCTGAATGGGCAGTGTCTTGAAGCCTTTATCTCCTGGGACCCTGGCAGACCTCGGTGGCTACAGTCTGGCTCAGTAAGACAGTCCTAAGAATCTAGGGAGGGAATGTGGCCCAAGGCCCCTGCTGGTCTTTTGCCCACTCAGAAAGCCACTACACTGAGTGTCCAGGAGGTAGGGGGACAGTTCCCACTCTGTGCCTCTCTGGCTCCCCAGCCACAGGCACAAGGATCTACGTGCTCTGCTCAGGGCATGCATGGGTGGAAGGACACTGAGCTGGGGATCAGGAGTCCTGTATTCTAGCTTCCCTCAGCCCCACCGTGAACCTCAGACAAGTCCCCTCCACTCTCTGGGCCTCAGTGTCCATGCCAGCAGAAGGGACATATCTTAGGGTCCTGACGTCTAAGATGACTGTGTGAGCGCCTGGGGTATGTGTGCTGCTTCCTCATCACCCCCCACCCCCACCCCACAACTCTGCCTGGGGAGCCTGGGAGTGGGGGCAGAGCCAGGAGCGTGGGAGAGCCAGATGTGGTGGCCGCTGCCCTGCCTGAGTGAGGGCTGAGCGGCCTCCTGGGAATTCTCCCACTCAGGCTCCCTTTCCGGTTCCCTCCCCCTGCCCCACTGAGAGCAGCAACTTCCGGCTCTGACAAGCGTGGGTGGGGGAGGGGGGTCTTAGCACGGGGGTCTGTTCAGCCTGGTTCCCTCCTCTGGGGAAGAGCATGGGCTTATGAGTCTAGACAGAAAGCCTCGGTTCCAGTCCCAGTCTGTGGCTGACACATCACAAGGCCTTGCACAAGTTCCTTTCCATCACTGGCCTCAGTCATACCGGCTGTGTAATGAGCATGTTGGTGAGCTTCCCTCCAGCCCTGATGGTGGACTTCTATGACAGCAGCTCTTGGTAACACCTGAGGATCAGTCACCTTTTTTTTTTTTTTTGAGATGGAGTTTCACTCTTGTTGCCCAGACTGGAGTGCAATGGCGCCATCTCAGCTCACCACAACGTCTGCCTCCCGGGTTCAAGCAATTCTCTGGCCTCAGCCTCCCGAGTAGCTGGGATTACAGGCATGCACCACCACACCCAGCTAATTTTGTATTTTTAGTGGAGACTGGGTTTCTCCATGTTGGCCAGGCTGGTCTCAAACTCCTGACCTCAGGTGATCCACCCACCTTGGCCTCCCAAAGTGCTGGGATTATAGACGTGAGCCACCGCGCCCAGCTGGATCAGTCACCTTTTGTGGCACTTTCTTGTTTTGCTCGAGGCTTGACAAAATGCCTGTGGGCATGGCTTATTCAGGTCTCTCCACAACCCTGTGAGGTAGGCACATGTGTCCCCATTTCACAGTTGAAGGTACTGAGGCTCAGAGAGCTCAGGTCATATCATCTCCCAGCGTCACATGGCTGGGAAGTGGTGGAGCTGGGTTGGAGCTGCCAACATCAGAGTCCAGACATTTAACTCTTGAGTGTGCCACCGTGCTGTGGGGGAAGGCAGTGTGGAACCCTAAGGCCCAGAGCCCCCCTCTCCCACTGTACCCCATCCCAGTCCACTTCAGGCAGGGCTCCCCACATTCCATGCTCTGCCCACCTACTCTCAGCCCAGGCTTCCCCAAGACAGCATTGTCCAAGGCTGGACTGGGTTCCCAGTATCTGTGTAGGTGTGAGGATGTTCATAGCTTGTCCTGTCCACAGTGGGGCTGGGGGCCATGCTGACCACCCCAGGGTGATGGTGCTGCACTGCCCATGTGCCCCGTCCATTGCCGCTGAAGGCAGAGTGCACAAGGGGAATCCAAGACCCAGAAAAGGGAGGCTCCGCCCAGGAAGACACAGTGATGGAATGCTGCTCGAATGAGGAAACTCACTATTTCAGTAATAGTGTACACTTAGTACACTTCGAGGCAATGTACTAAGTCCTTTGTACAAACCGAAGAGTCTTATGAATCAGTCTTTGACTTGTCTCCATTTTCCAGAGGAGGAAACCAAGGCCAGGAGTTTAAGTGACTTGCCTAAGCTCATGTAGCTTGAAACTGGAGCAGCTGGGATTCGAACCCAGCTCTATCTCTAGCTCTCCAACCTCCTCTGTCAATCATGACAATTTTGCCCCTTGGTGAGTGCCCTGGGTTGCTCCCTGTAGCTCTGCACCTCCCACCCATATCTCAGTTGAGAGGAGGAGTGACAGTCCTGGTGCCCACCAAGGGTTAATGGCAGTAGGGGCTAAGTAATTCCAGATGGGCCTCAGGACGGCTGGGCTGGCCGGAAACTGGAGGCCGCCAGCTTCCCAGGGGAGCCACCGCCAACTGCCCCTCCCCTTTGTGCTGCATCTCTGGCCCCAGCTGTACCCCTGCCCTAGGGCCCACCAGCCTCCTCTCCCTTGCTAGAGTCCAGCTCTAAGGGAAATTGCAGACGGACCATCCCAAGGGCCTTGTAGCACAGTGAGTCCACAACTGTTATGTACAAATAGGGAAACCGAGGCTCAGGCAGGGCAAGGGACTTATTCAAGTTCTCCTGATAAGTCTGTGGCTGGGTCTTCTGACTCCCAGACTAGCTTCTTTGGGGACTAGGGGGTTGGTGTGTCTCGTGGCCTCCCCCAGGCTGGCCTGGCTGCAGAGGGTCAGCCAAGGATTCAGAGGTGAATGGCCCAGGCAGATGCTAGGAGGGGAGTCGTAAATTTCTGACGGAATCTTTGGGCACAAGAAATCCCTGTGCAAGCCTGACCTTGTGGCCTGTGGGATCTTTTCACATTCCCCTATTTCCCTGTTGCCACAAAGACCTGGCCAGGCCCCCTCTCTCGGGGTACTCTTATGGTCCCCAACCCGTGGCTGGGAACCAGTCTGAGAACACTTCTCCTTCTATGTGGTCCAGCCCAGATGCTCTGCTGGGCAATCCCGATTGGGACTAGACCAAGAAATGCAAGATAGTTGACTGTGGTGGGCATGGAATCCCAGCTCACGCAAATCCTCTGCTCTGTGAACAGGGGTCTGGGGGAAGCTGAGGAGGAAAGACTTAGCGGCGCAGAGGGAAGGAGGGCAGAGCCAGCCTCTACCTGTGTCACCTGGGACAGCTTTCTTCACCCTCTGGAATTCAGTTGCCCTGTGGGTGCAGTAGTGGGAGCAGGGGTGGTAAGCCCACTCTATATGCCCTTCTAAAATAATGCCCTTTGCCATCTGAGGGCTAGGAGTCTGTAACTGGAGATGTCTTCTGATCTGAGAAGCTGAGGGTGGAAGAAGAGACCCAGCTGGGGGAACTGGAGGAGTCTTGGCAGACCCTGGTAGGAAAGGAGAGCCAGAGAATGGAAATGGAACAAAACGGATACTTGAAAGTATCTTGTTGAGGCTGGGTGCGGTGGCTCAAGCCTGTAATCCCAGCACTTTGGGAGGCTGAGGTGGGTGGATCATGAAGTCAGGGGTTTGAGACCAGCCTGGCCAACATAGTGAAACCCGGTCTCTACAAAAAATACAAAAATAGCCAGGTGTGGTGGTGTGCGCCTGTAATCCCAGCTACTTGGGAGTCTGAGGCAGGAGAGTCACTTGAACCTGGGAGGCGGAGGTTGCAGTGAGCCTAGACTGCGCCATTGCACTCCAGCCTGGGAGACAGAGCAAGACTCCATCTCAAAAAAAAAAAAAAAAAAAAAAAGAAAGTATCTTGTTGAGTGACTGAATGAAAGAGCCACAGGGGGAACCTAGGAAGAAAGCAGGGCAGGGGGTTCATCTACACTGGAATAGGGGTCTCGGGTGGGGGTCAGATGACTTGTGTCTCTTCCATCATGTGTCTCATGAGACCTAGTTCTGCCCCAGCTCTGCCATTGCTGCGTAAGCTTGGGAAGCTTATTTTGCTCCTCTGGGCCTCAGTGTCCCCATCTATAAAATGGGGCAAATAATCCTCTCCTTGCACCCCAGGGGCTTTGAGACGTGAAAAGGAATGTATCTGTCAATATCCAGAGATATCCAATCTGTGCTGGATGACCTTGACCAAATCACATTCCCTCTCTGTGCCAATTCACCCCTGGGCCTTGGTTTGTCCTTCTGAAAAACGGCTGATCATCTTGGAGGATCTTTCCATCTCCTCCATGTCACCTCTTCTCAGCAGTGCTCTCTGATTCTCTCAGGCTTCCGTTAGGGGTCCTTCTAAATGCACTCTCAGCCTCCTGTCTGCCGACCGGGCACCTGCTTGCCCAATGAATATCTTGCTCACTAGCCTGGTGCTTCTGAGGTCAGGACCACGTCTTGCTACTGTCCCCTGCACCCAGTACAGTGTTAGAATGTAGTAAATGCTCAGTATGCTTGTTCAATGAATGAAGGTTGACTGAATCAACCACAGAGATGATCAGAGTCTCCTTTACAGATGGGGAAACTGAGGCACTGAGAAATGATCTCCCTGGGTGCCATGGCAAGGGGAGGCCGCCACCCGACATGGGCATCGGGAAAGTGGGGCCGAGGCCACTCTTTGACAAAAGTGACTCAGCAGCTGGCGGCTGGCGTGGGCTGTGGAATTTCTAAGCATCCCCTCACATCCTGAGCGAACGGGCGATGGGAGGGAGTAAGCAGAGTGAAAAGAAGAAAAACAAGAAACTTGGGGGAAAAGAAAGAGAGAGGGGGAAAAAAACTGAAATTGAAAACAGACGCACGCGTCCACCCTCCCTGCCCCGCCGCCCCCCCTTCTCCCAGCTGGGCCAATCAGAAGCCACCCTGCAGCCTTTCCCCCAAAGTGGCGGGGGAAGTGGGGGGGCATGGAAGCCCATAGTGGTGTGAGCTCCTGAGGCTGCCAGCAGCCAGCAGTGACTGCCCGCCCTATCTGGGACCCAGGATCGCTCTGTGAGCAACTTGGAGCCAGAGAGGAGATCAACAAGGAGGAGGAGAGAGCCGGCCCCTCAGCCCTGCTGCCCAGCAGCAGCCTGTGCTCGCCCTGCCCAACGCAGACAGCCAGACCCAGGGCGGCCCCTCTGGCGGCTCTGCTCCTCCCGAAGGATGCTTGGGGAGTGAGGCGAAGCTGGGCCGCTCCTCTCCCCTACAGCAGCCCCCTTCCTCCATCCCTCTGTTCTCCTGAGCCTTCAGGAGCCTGCACCAGTCCTGCCTGTCCTTCTACTCAGCTGTTACCCACTCTGGGACCAGCAGTCTTTCTGATAACTGGGAGAGGGCAGTAAGGAGGACTTCCTGGAGGGGGTGACTGTCCAGAGCCTGGAACTGTGCCCACACCAGAAGCCATCAGCAGCAAGGTAAGTGCTGGAAAAAGTGGGAACCCCAGCCCCATGCCCTGTCCCTTTGCCCTAACCTGCATCTCTTCGAGTAGGTAAAAAAAAAAAAAAAAAAAAAAAGGGAAGATATTTTTAACAAAACAAGATGAGAGGAGGCTGGGAGACTGTGGGTGATGTCAGGGATGGAGGAGCCAGTTTTCTCCTTTCCCCTGCTCTGGGGTGAGTGGCCTCCACCTCATCATCCCTGCTGCTCCTGCCTTCATCAAACAATCCTCAGGGGTTTCTGGGTGCTGACTGGGGGCCTCCAAAGCACAGCACAGTCAATGGGGAGTGGGGAGAGCTGGGAAGAGCGGGAGAGGGGAATTGGGAGAAGGTAGGCAGGGTACACAGAAAGCAGGGGACTGGGGACCTCAGGACCATAGCCGCTGTTCCTTGGCCCAAGCCTTGTTTCTAAGAATCAGTCTGGCTTTAGGCCAGTCAGCCGCCAGGCAACCTCTGGGGATTTAAATGGATTTGCAAATTTTCTAGATTCTTAAGATATCCTTCTAAACCCCCAGCAGCTAGAAAAGTTTGAGGGCTAGGAAAGTTCGAGGGTGATGGGCGGCCATGGCAACCCCCTAGCGGTCATGCTGCTGGGTCTGGGGGCTGGGACCTGGCTGTCAGATCTGGGGGCTCCTCTGTGAAGAAGGGGTCAGCCACTGGGCCATTTCCTTTGGTCCCAGGCAGCTGCTCAGGCCTCCTCGTTGTCTCCCTCCTTCTGGACTCTACCCCTTCTCCATGCCATTCTAAAGCATAAATCCAATCACACCACCTCCCTGCCCAGGATCCGCCTATGGCTCCCCAGTGCCTGGAGAAAGTCCCAGCTCCTAACAGAGGCTGCCACTGCTTGACACTTACTGCACGCCGCAACTGTGCTGAGTGCTTTATGAGACTGATCTCATGTAATGCTCACCAGCAACCCCAGAGGCAGTGACTGTTTTTACCTCCGTTTTATACATGAGGAACTTGAGGCTCACGCAGCCACATAACTGTAGCCACACAGCTAGTAAGTGGCACAGCCTGGAGAGGTTGGAATCTCCCCGTGCCCCATTACTCCAAACTTGGGCCTTTTGTTCCCGCCAGTCAGATCCCAGAATTCCCAGAAGGAATGCGCACCATCCTGCTTGTGGGCATTTGCCCTCCCTCTTCCCCCTTTCTGGAATGCCCTTCCTCATCACTTTTCTTTCAGGGATATTCCATACACCACCTCTTCCAGGCAGCCTTCCTAGGTTCTTCCTGTCTTCCAAGTGCTAGCCATGCACTTTGTGCTGAAGCCATGTTACTTGGCCCTCCCCTGTTGGTGATCTGTTTATGTTCTGTTTGTTCATCAGAGATTGTTCAGGCCCCAGCAGTCAGAACTGAGGCCGCACTTTCTGCTGGGGAAAGGTTTAAGGTTTCCCCATCCTGTGCTCTTCCCCCAGTGCCCAGCCCTGGATAGGCAGTGCGGCTGAAAAAATGTCCTGGTGAAAGGGAGGAGGAGCTCACTGAAGACCTTCTGCTCCCAAGTGTGAGACTAGAACCCAGGCCTCCAGCCTTCTCACAGGTGCCCTTCCAGGACATCGTGTGGCTACTCCAGGCAGCATTCCTCCATTGCAAGCAGGGAGGAGTATCTCTGCTTCCCTCTGTGACCTCCCAATTGCACAGAGGCCTCTAGTGACAAGTTCTGAAGTCATGCAGTCCTCCCCTGTCTCCAAGCAGGAGACCCTGAATCCACAGCCTTCAGGGACATACAGTCCCTGAACACCTACCTCATGCAGGCATAGAGCCTGGTACTTCACACACCTTGGAGTCCTCATGGCAAGTTTTTGAAATCAGTGTTATTACCTACTTTTTGTAGATGAGGAAGCTGAGATCTGGAGAGGCTAAGTGACTTTCCCAGGGCCATACGGTGAGTTAAGGTGGTGTTTAGGCTGAAGTCTGCCTGACTCTAAAGGCTTACCTCGTGCTCCCCGGGAAGCTCCCAGTCAGAGGGAAGAATCTCCATCCTCCTGCAGAGCCTGCTCCTGGCTTCAGCACCTTCCCCAGCAGAAAGTGCAGCCTCAGGTCTGACTGCTCCAAGGTCTGCCCGGGCCCTGGCTTGGTCTTGAGAGAGGAAAGAGACCATCTGGTCAGCACCCTCCTCCCAGACAGCAGTTATCAGCAGCCCCCCTCCTCTGCGGGAAGAAGAGCTGGGACTTATAATTGCCCACACATGTGGGGCAGGCAGTGGAAAGCACCGTGGATCCAGAGTCAGGAGACCCAGTGCTTGCCCTGGCTTGATTTAAATCCACCGTGTGGCCAACCTCAGACCCCCCACATCCCATCTCTGGGCTCCTTCCGCAGCTGGGAGGCAGTGAGCGCTGTGGGTAACCAGCACCAGGCTTGGGCATCAGATGACTATGCATTGACCCCGAGTCAGTTTCTGGCTGACTGTGTGACCCCGGGGCAGCACCTTGCCTCTCTGGGCCTCAATCTCCTTCTCTGTGAGCAGCAGGACCGTGTGTGGGCTCCATGAGACAACAGCATTGGCAAGGTGCTTACCACAGTTCCTGCACTTCACAGCTGGACCTCTGGCCACTGGCTGAGAGAACCACTGCTCTCCTGGCCTCCTGCATTGGAACACTTGGCTGTGAAATTAATCTGCAACCTGCAAAAGGCTCTGCCCACAGAAGGGACCTGGACACCATGTATGTTCCAAAGATCCGTGTCCATCCTCCAGGCACAGGCCACAGTCTGACTCTGAGACCAGCTGCCTTCTAGGCTAAAGGAGGGTGCTCTGGGCATTGGCTCAGAACAGGCTGCTGCTGAATGCAGTGGGAAGGGAGAAAGGGATGAAAAGGTCTTCTGAAATGCCCACCCATTTCTTGCATTTGATTCAGAACCCAGTGGGCAGTGGGTTCTTGGAATGGGAATCTTTTTGGTGCCCCCTGTCTTCTGACCCAGAGCGTTAGGAGGGAAGGGAAGGGGTGTTGGGCCCCTTCCCAGGGTCAGGGCTTGTAGCACCTCAGCTGGGAAGCAGTGTGAGCATGATGATATAACAGGAACCAACTCGTTCTTAGCACTTTCTGTGTCTACTTCAATTGTGCTTTACATCTGTTACCTCAAAGTTGCTGCTGTATTCCTCAGCACTTGGAACATGCTGGGCATTCAGGACATTCTTAGTAAATATTTACTGGATTAATTTAACCATCGAGGCTGGGCACGGTGGCTCACACATGTAATCCCAGCACTTTGGGAGGCCGAGGCGGGTGGATCACCCGAGGTCTGGAGTTTGAGACCAGCCTGGCCAACATGGTGAAACCCTGTCTCTACTAAAAATACAAAAATTAGCCAGACGTGGTGGTGCGCACCTGTATCCCAGCTACTCAGGAGGCTGAGGCACTAGAATTGCTTGAATCCAGGAGGCGGAGATTGCAGTGAGCCTAAGCGACAGGGCAAGACTGTCTCAAAAAAAATAAATAAATAAATAAATAAACCGTCACAGCAACCTCAAAATTAGATATATAAACTCTCCCCACTTTTTTTTTTTTTTTTTTTTGAGATGGAGTCTCACTCTGTTGCCCAGGCTGGAGTGCAATGGTATGATCTTGGCTCACCGCAACCTCCGCTTCCCAAGCTCAAGTGATTCTCCTGCCTCAGCCTCCCAAGTAGCTGGGATTACAGGCGTGTGCGCCACCATGCCCAGCTAATTTTTATATTTTTAGTACAGATGGGGTTTCACCGTGTTGGCCAGGCTGGTCTCGAACTACCTGACCTCAAGTGATCCGCCTGCCTCAGACTCCCAAAGTGCTGGGATTACAGGCGTGAGCCACCGCACCCAGCTAAACTCTCCCCATTTTACAGGTGAGAAAGTGCGCAGAGTCAGTTGCCTAAAGTCCCACAGCTCGGAAGTGGCGGAGCTGGGATTTGCACCTGGGTGTTTCTGACTCCAGATCCCCTTGATGAGAGGCTGGATGGGGCCTGGGATGCCCCTGGGGATCCAGTGTAAACCCTGAGAATGTGCCTCAGCTGTGGGGGCCCTCAGCATTCCAGAGGTAGTCATCAGACCCTAGAACCCTATGGGACTGTGCACAGATCGTTCCCTTCTGGGGCCTCAGTTTTCCCATCAGTCAAACGAGGAGGTTGACCCAGATGATGGTAAATCTTTCTTCCAGCCCTAAAACAATTTCAGGATTCCAAGCCATGCCAGCCCAGATTGGCAGCTGCACAAGCCTTGCTGTGTACTCAGGGATCATGCATATTTAATTTCACAATGAAAGGGTTTTTTTCTTACCCTTTTTCTACACATTACAGAAAGAGGTCAGGATCGATGACCACTAATGGAAAACTTTAACCTGCAATAACAATGAGGAACTTTCTGACAATTAGTGTGGCCCCTTAACGTGCTCAGTTTCTTGAGGAGCTCAGAGGGCTCCTACAGTTCCCACATGCCCATTTTCCTGAGATACTGAGCAGGGAGGGTCGGGGAGGAAGGCCCACTAGGGGCTGTGTGTGGATGCTGTAACCCTTTAGGTCTCTTCCAGTGCTGCGTTTTCAAACCTCATATGCTCTAATTTCAAGAGGAAGCAAGGCTTTGGCCCAGATGAGTGATGGGATCCAGAGGTGAGGGGGGGAATGGACACAGGGACCTACCTCTGGTGGGAGTGGGTGTGAAATTCCCATGCTTGTTGCTTCCAGTGTGGAAGCCCACTTCACATCCCTCCTGAGCCCTCAGGCCCAGATCCTCAGGATAAAGTCTTCCTGAACCTCCAAGCCTTAGCCCCAGAGCCCACCCTGCCCCCGCCCCCTACATCCACCAGATGCTTCCTGGGGTAGCCCACCCCCAGCCTGGTGCAGGAGGCTGAAAATCAAAGTGTACTGCTTTAACCGCATTAAAATCCCCTCCTCTCCTCAATTCAGATCAGGGCTATTTGATGTCTCAGGTGCCTGAAACCTTTTATCTGCCAGAGGTACCAGCTTCTCCGCCCTGTGATGGAGAGGGCTGTCCCTTGGGAGGGTCAGGGGGTCTGAAAGTTCCTGAATGTCAGAGATGAAAAGGACTTTTGGGGGTCACCTGATCCAACTGCTTTATTGTATGGATGGGAACTAAGGTCCAGAGAGGGGAAGGGTTGCACCTAAGGTCCGTACAGATCATTGGTGATGACGCTGAGCCTGGGACCTGGGCTCGCCTTTGTTCCACCACAGGTGCTGGGTCTTTACCATCTCTCTGAAGGCCTGGAGAGACCCAGCTCCACCTCTGTGGTTCAGGGCTCAGCCTCCAGGTCTGTCTGGGCTATGGGCTGAAAAGGAGCAAAGCCGTCCCAACAAGAAATGGGAATCTTCCTGGGTGGTTTGCTGGACCCCCGAGCTTTTGGCCATACCACTTCTTCATTCTAATCATAGTTTCCTCTTATAATAAAGTGGGGAGAAGCCAAGGGAGAAGTTTAGTGGCCCCCAGAGGTCCATCCAGCTCTGCCCTTAGCCCCTGAGAGTTCCTACCATGCTTCTTGTGACTGTTTTGCCACATCCTCATTGCTGCTGCTCTGTTACCTTCCCTTCTGAGAAGTGGAAACCCAAGGGCAGTGACACCACCAGCTTCTTCACTTCTGAGGCTGAGCCTCAGTGGTTATAGGGTGGGGCAGGGTTTCCAGTTAGCCTTAGAGGGGTAGGGCTCAGCTTTCTAAACATGTCACAGAAGCCCTGGCCCCTCCTGGCCCAGAGCATTGAAGGTAAAGGTGCAGGTTTGACCTGGTGGACTGTGGGTGGCTCCCATCTCACCTGTATTTGTGTCCTTATCAGTGTCCAACCCAGGGCCTATCTGCTGAATGGATAGTGAAATAATCACTAGATAAATAAATGCATGTAGAGATGCATAAATGGATTGGTGGGTGGGTGGATGGATGGATGGATGGATGGATAAATCGATGGAGACAGACAGATGGCCTCCCCTTTAGTCCAGGGCACAGAGATGGCTTCATGAGTACTCATCCTCCTGAGGGCCCCATGCTTAGAAGGGCCTATGTTTGGTTTAATGCTCTGCAGTCATCATTTTGAAATTGTTAATAATTTTTAACAAAGAGCCCTGCATTTCCATTTTGTGCTTGCCCCACAAATTATGTAGCTTGTCCTGCCAGGGAGTTCAGGCTGAGTTTGGGACGGCTTCATCCCCAACACTGGCCTTGCAGCCTCCACTGTCCCCATCCTAATCCACAGCCTCCCACTAAATGCCAGCCTGCTGGTGTCATCCTCCTGCATGGAGGCCCCCTCCCCACAGTGCCTGGAGTTACAGCATTGCCCTGCCAAGCCAGCAGCTACTACCCGCCATCACTATCAACACCTTGAAAAGTTGGTGGTCCAGAGAAAATCCTCACACAGCACCGCAGACCTTTCCTGAAGTCTCCCTGCCTCCTTCCCTGGCCTCCTGCTGCCTCCTTCCCAGGCCATCACCTACCTGTTTGCTGAAGAGCCCCAGTTTCTAGCCCAACAGATCTCTCCCTGCCATTTCTCCCAGATGCCTTTCATCTCTCACAGAGCCCTGGCCATACCTTTCCCTGGCATCATCTGCCAAAAAACTCAAGAAACCCTGGAGGCCTAGCTCAAGGCCACCTCCCTCAGGAAGCCATACCCGCTCTCCCCACTGGAGTAATCATATACTGTTGTTAGTCACCATTTACTGGGCACCTATGATGTGCCAAGTGCTGTGCGTCATCATCTCTGGCCCTCCCAGAAATGGAAAAGGAGGTCTCCCATGCCATTTCCCAGGAAATTGGGACTCAGATAAGTTAAACTCAGAGAACTGGGGCTTGGACCCAGGAATAAGTGGCTTCCAGCTGGAACCACTGCTCCCAGCCTGGCGGGGCTCCCATCCCTGCCCTGGATGGCATCAGGCGCAGCCTGTTGGCTTCAGAGTGCCATATGTCTGTTCTGCCCTCACCAGCTCATCTCCATCACCTCCCTGGAAGGAAAGAGTCACCATTGCCTATCCATGCCAGTTCCCTAGCCTAGTGAATCCTGTGTTATTAGGAGGCAGCCGAGGGCCCAGGACTGAAGAGCTGACCCTACAGAGCCATTTAATCTCTCATATCGTGTAAGCGTTTACTGAGCACCTACTGTAGGCCTAATTCCATATTAGGAAGTTGAAGAGAGTCCAGATCGTTGTTAGGTAGGTATCCTGATTTGTGGGAAGTCATATTAAAGGACTAAGACAAAAGTTCAGGAAAGAAGTAATTGACAGACAGTGGTGATTAGATGGGTCTGGCCTTAGGTTGGCCACCGAATCGCCGAGTGTGCTAGGATGAGACACTCCTCACTGAGCCTCAGGACACTGAAAAGGGCTGTTGCTACTGATTGTACCAATAATCAGCAGCTACCTCTTCCTGAGGAGCGTCTTTTGGGAGAGGCCTTCTTGCACCGTCTCATTTATCACATGCATCACTTTGCTGAGAAGCCTAGTCCCGTGGAGTCTTGGCTGTGCGCGCAAGGCCGAGTGAGTGAGTGACTTCTTCTCCCTTGAGTGAATGAATAATAATAATGTGGCCACCAACTTTGCAGAGGGCTGTGTGCCAGGCCCTATTCTAAGCATTTTGCTTGTGTTAACTCCTTCAATAGCCCTGACAACCCAGTGATGAGCCCCAATCTACAGATGAGAAAACTGAGGCACAGAGGGGTGGTTAAGTGAATGACCGAAGACAGGGGTGGGAGGACAGATGCTGAGACAGTGAGAGGGTCAGTGAAACATGGGGGTTCTCTGCCCTCCTGCTCTGCCGCCCAGGAGGGCTCTGAGGGGAATCTCAATGTTTGGTAATTGGCACTGATAAGTGAAGGGTTTACTCATTAGCTAGCTACCCCTCCCCTATTTGCAGGCCCTGGGCCTGTGGGGGAAGGCTGTGTGCTGGTGGGTCAGTGTGAATGGCCCAAGGCCTGCCTGTCCCCTGCCCACTTGGCTCTGAGAACCCATTCTATTTGCGGCCCCCACCCCAGCCCATGGCTGCTCCGGGCTGGCAGCAGCCCGGGGAACAGAAGGTTTGCTTGTCTGCGCCTGCCGCACCCCCCTCCTCAGTCTCAGCCTGGGACCCCTCTCAGGGGCTCCTTTGGCTGCCAAGGGCCTGGCACTCCCTGTTGCCATGGCACCGGCCGGAGATGAGGCTCTGGGGGGTGGGGATGGGGAGGGCAGCAGCAGGATGGTGGAGGCCTGGAACTCTGCAGCTACAGAGGCCCTGGCCCTCTGCAAACAGTGGAAGGGGGTGCTGGGGCCCCCACAGGGGCAGGCCTGGACCCTGTGCACAGCAGGCCTGTGGCAGAGCCGGCCACACACCTGGGCTGATTGCCTGGATGCTGTATCCCGCAGGAGCACTGCCCCTGCCAGACCCTGGCTTTCCTAAGCAAAAACTCTCTCCTCAGCCTTGTGTGCTCACCCTCAGCCTCTGCAGCGAAATTGTGGAGTTCTATCCCTAGTCCTGGGTTCTATCCCTAGCTCGACTTTAAAATTATTGGTGACCCGGGGCAGGCCTCCCGCATACACTGCCCCTCAGTCAGAGCAGAGGCGGGACCCAGATCCCTGAGGATCTTCTCATCCCTGAGATCCTGGATTCCGTATGGACGCCATTAGAGGGAGAACGTTTCTCTGTGGACAGATGGACAGAACTGTTTCTGGTCAGGAGACAGACAGTCTGGCATGACGGGCAAGAATTCAGGTTTTGGCAGTTGTGGTGATGCGCACCTGTAGTCCCAGCTACTCAGGAGGCTGAGGCGGGAGGATCACTTGAGCCCAGGAGTTTGAGGCTATAGTGAGCTGTGAGCTATGATCATGCCACCACACCACTGTACTCCAGCGTGGGCAACAGAGCGAGACCCTGTCTCTAAAAAAAAGAAAGAATATAGGCTTTGGAGTCAGGCCGGCCTGAGTTTGCATTCCCGTTCCTTTGCATCTTACTTATTGTGTGACCTTGGGAAAGTTACCAAAAGTCTCTGAGACTCATCATTCTCCTCTGTAAAATGGGAATAATGAGTGTACCCCCCTCACAGGGTGGTCGTGAGGATGAAACAAAATCTCCAGATCATCTCATTTAGCAGAGTGCCTGGCTCTAAATTAGTAGGGACTTTTGTTTGTTTCCAGATTGGGGGGGATCAGAACAATAACTAGAAAGATGTCCTGTATTTGGGGAGAGGGTGGTTGGTGGATAGAAGCAAGACCAATAAGCAGAGAATACAGTGAGATAAACTGTACTCAGTGTAATTAACAATTCTCAATAGTCTGCCCTCTGAAGATTCTAAGCTGGCTAAGAATGAAATGGGCCACAGGTGAGGTGGTGAGAGCCCTGTCATGGGAGGTGTGCAATTGCAGAGAAGGTGGGGGAGATGTGAATAGAGGGAATGTACTAAGACTGTAGGGCTCTGTGAAAAATGGAGTGACTGTTTCCCACTCAAACTGTCAGCTTCAGCTTTACCCAGCTCAAAAGACAGCGTGAAAGAGTGAAAGGAGAAGTTGGGACAAAGAAGGCGAAAAGATAAGGCTGACGACTTTATTTTTTAATTTATTTTTTTGAGACGGAGTTTCACTCTTGTTGCCCAGGCTGGAGTGCAGTGGCGCGATCTCGGGTTCAAGCAATTCTCCTGACTCAGCCTCCCGAGAAGCTGGGATTACAGGCTCCCTCCACCACGCCTGGCTAATTAACTTTTATTTTTTTTTATTTGAGCTTGTTCTGTGCCAGGTACTGGGCTGTCCTTTTTGCGGGGCTCCTTATCTTTGCCTCCTGCCACAGAGGGGCTGTCTCATGGGCATTGGGCTGTGTGCTCTGGAGCCTGTCTGCCCAGTATTAAACACTGGAGACACCACTGGCAAGCTTTTGGGCAAACAATGTAAACAGTCTGTGCCTCAGTTTCCACATCTGTAAAATGAGGAAGCAGTACTGATGTCATGGGATTGTTCTGAGGACTTGGTGAGATCATTCATATAAGGAGCTTAGCATAGATAGTGGGTGATAAGTACAGCAGACCCTTGAACAATGAGGGGGCTGGGGACAGCCACCAACTGCAAAGTTGAAAATTCATGTATAGCTTTTGACTCCCCAAAAACTTAACTGCTAATAGCCAGCCTACTGTGGGCCTTACTGATAATGTAAAGTCAATTAACACATATTTTGTCTGTTATGTATATTATATACTATGTTCTTACAATAAAGTAAGCTAGATGAAAGAAAATCACAAGGAAGAGAAAATACATTCAGTTTATATTAAGTGGAAGTAGATCACTGAAAAAGTCTTCACCCTTGTCTGCACGTTAAGTAGACTGGGAAGGAGGAGGAAGAGGAAGGGTTGGCCTTGCTTTCAGGGGTGGCAGAGGCGGAAGAGGTGGAGGAGTGGAAGGGTGGGAAGGAGGTGGATGTTTCACATGTGTGGAACATTCACGTGTTAGTGGACCTGCACAGTTCAAACCTGTGTAGTTCAAGGGTCAACTGTACTAAATCAGAGGTAGCTATTATTATTATTGTTATTTTTAAGGCTGTTGGAGGCCCAGATGGGGCCGGGGTGGGTGGGGGGACTCAGGGCCAGGAATCCACAGGGCCCTGGGGGTAACCCTCAAGGCACCGCAGGAGGCAGGAAGTGCTTGCTCTGCAGCCGGTGGGCAGGGGTGTGCAGCAGGCCTCCCTCCCTCACTGACCTCCTTCTCAGGCTGCTTCCCAGCCTTCCTGGGGACCCAGGCCCCCTCCCTTGGGCCCCCAGCAGCCGTGAGGCACACACTGAGCGCTTTCCCACGCACTGTTCCAAGTAGCCAGCCGCATCGCTGCCCCCACCCCCAAGCACAGGCACTCTGACGGGTGAGGGGGTGTTTGCTGCAGGAGAGCGGGGCTCGGGCTGGGGAGATCAGCCCGTTCTTTATCAGCCTGGCCCCATTCCAGACAGATGTTTCATCTTATTTTGGACTTCCAGAAAATAGGTCATTTCTTTCCATTGTGTTCCCTGGGGAGGCCTCATGGGGAGAGGAGCATGCAGTGAGTGACGAGTGTGAGGGCCTGGCTTGGGCCCTGGGGAGCTGGAGGGGCAGCCGCCTTCCTCCCTCAGTTGTGAGGGAGCTGTCAGGGCCGGGCCGGAAGATTCTGAAAGGCTGGGCAGAGAAGCCAGCCTTTGCCTGAGGGGGATGGAGAGCAGAGGAGGGCCGGAGAGGTCACATAGGTATTTCAGAAAGGTCCCTCTGGCTGGGGTGTGAGAACAGGTGGAGGGGACAGATTGGAGGTGAGGAGATTGGCGGTGGGATAGCCAGAGGCAGCCGAGCCTGTGCTGGAGGAGGGGGTGCAGGGGGCTTAGCAGCCTTCCAGGGAACCAGCGCTATTCTTCCATCCAGTTTGGACTTCCAGAGCAGCGGGAGCACACGCCAGGCCCCATCTTAGTCGATTTCTGCTGCTTTGTTCAGGGGACTTTGTAGGTACCTGGAGAAACATAAAGAGGACCCCGGGCCTAGAAGCAGCGTGGCACAGAGAATGGCTCCAACACCGAGTGGGCTGCGCCGGGCTGCTCTCTTTCTGTAGCCCTTAGAGTGATCCCGAGGCTGGTGGGGAGGTTCGTGGTGCAGGGGTGGAGCACTGAGCCTTCTCCAACAACTGGAAGTGGAGCGAGCATAGGATTGAAGGGGGCGGGTGGGAGCCTCGGCCACTTCCCCAGTTTCTCCCCTCCACCTGTAACTGTCTCCTCACCCTCCGATCCTGCTCTCTTCTCTGGCTCCCAGGATGGGGCTCCCTGATCACATGACCCAATCACACCCACATCTCAGCCTGCTTGGGGACAGCCACATGGACCAGACTTGCCGCCAGGCCCAGGCTGTGCTGCTATCCCTTTCCTACTCTTTAGCTGCTGGCGGGAGGACTTCATCCCTGGCTCCAGATGCCTCTTGCCCCCACAGACTCCCAGGCCTGGAACTGGCAGCCTTCTCTGAGCTGAGTCATGACATGGGTCCCTCCCCAGCACCCCCACCCCGAGCCCAGCATTCCAGCTCAGCACAGCTGCCTTCCCAGAGTGGAGCCCTGAGGGCCACAGCATGTCAGCCCTGAAAGTGCTCCCAAGACACTCTTGCCCACCCTTTTGCACAGATAAGGAAACTGAGGCTCAGAGAGGGTCAGGACTGTACAGTAGTCACCCTTAGCTGCAGTTTCACTTTCTGAAGTTTCAGTTACCCCAGATCAACTGTGGTCCAAAAACATTAAATGGAAAATTCCAGAAATAAACAACTTACAAGCTTTAAATTTTGTGCTGTTCTGAGTAGTGTGATGAAATCTTGCACTGTCCTGTCTGTCCCGCCCAGGAGTGAATCATCCCTTTGTCCATATACGCTACCCACCTGTTAGTCATCAACAAAGTCCACTACTGACATCCAGCCATCAACACCATCATGGCTCGGTGGTCCAGGATCACTTGGAGCAGATGACCTGATCCTTCTGATAATGTCTGGAGGTCAGTAGTAGCCTAACGCTACTTCACAATTCTTACGCCATCACCTCACTTCCTCTTATCACGTAGGCACCGTGTCATTCCACGTCTTCACAAGAAGAGTGAACGATACAGTAAGATATTTTAAGAGAGAGAACACAGTCACATGACTTTTATTACAGTATATTTTTATCATTGTTCTATTTTATTATTATTGTTGTTCATCTCTTACTGTGCCTTATTTATAAATAAAACTTTATAATAGGTATGTATTTGCAGGGAAAAGAACATAGTATGTATGGGGTTTGGTTTTATCCAAAGTTTCAGGCATCTACTGGGGCCTTGGAATGTATTCCCTGCAGATAGGGGGGACCACTATCCTATAAGTGGGTGTCACAGCCGGGACTAGAGCCAGGTCTTCTTACTTCCCACCCCAACCCCCCTCCAAAGTCTGTCCCAGGCCTGTAAAGTGCCCCGGTACGGAGAACAGAAGACTGGACTGGGTCAGGAGACTGGAGTCTGTGGCTCACTTCTCCCAACAACTTAGCAAATTACCTCCTCTGAGTCTCAGTCGCCAATCCCTGCCTGGCTGGGCTCGTGCAGAGAATGTGACTTTGAAACAAAGGTCAATGTGTGGCAGGACAGAGGTGTGCTGTGGAGAGGGCAGGGGCAGCTATAGCCTGAAGCCTGGGGCCTTGAGCCACCAGCCTCACATCTTAGCAGGGGCTGGAGGCGGGGAGCTGCGCAGCCAGGTGAGCTTCAGCCCCACCGATCACCCGAGCCCATCTTGTCTAGGCCAAAACAATGGGCCCTCTTGCTTTCCTTCCCTAAGCCTCAGTTTCCCCACGAGCACAATGGAGCACAGGAAGGCAGTTAGATCAGATAGATGATCCCTGAGGGCTCTGGCGTGCTGACATTCCAAGACTCTGACCCCATAACCCCATGGCCAGGCCTCCTCCTCCCTCAGGCATTTGGTTTATTCAGAGCATCCCAGGCCTGAGACTGCCTGCCCCCAGCACCCCCCTCTCCCTGCAGCATGGCCCTCTCTCTCTCATCTCACTGCTGTTTCTACCCGGCCTGTTCCTGGCCTCCAGACTGAACATCCCACTGTCCCCTCAGTGCCCACAGACCCTCCCTATCCTAAACCTGCTCAGTTGCAGCTCTCACTCCTGCTCTTTGACCTCATTCTCATCTCAGAAAATGGCATCGTCCCCTCAGCACGTGCGCGTGTACACACACACACACATACACTTCTGCCTCCCAGTATTCCAAGCCAGATACAGAGGTGCATACCTCCCTCTCCAGCCCCTCAATATTAAGTCACCCAGTCCTGTTGATTCTCAGCTAAGTAACTCTCAAATCCATCTGTTTTTTTCAGTCCCCACTGCCTTCTCCCCAGACCCAACCAAACATGCACGTTGGTCAGAGAAGCGGTGGAGCTGGTGGCATAGAACACAGAGTCACACCACTTCACTTTAATCTCTGCTCTACCCCTTCTGGCTCTGTGTTCCTAGCCCAGTTATTAAATGCTCTCTGCCTCAGTTTCCCCACTGTAAAATGGAAATGATCACTGTATCTACCTCATAGAGTTGATGGAGAATCAAGTGAGCCAATACGTGCCAAATGCTCAGAATGGTTCCTGGTGCAGTAACACGGGCTTTCTGGCTTGTCTGTTCATGCATATGGCTGTGTGTTCAGGTGAATTTGGGGTTCTATGTGCACATGTTCTGTGCATGTTGTATGTGCTGCATACACATGTGAACTGTTGCACACGGGTGCATCTCCACGGGTGCTGGGCACAGTGGGAGCTGCGCACATGTGTTTTGTGTGGGTGTGTACATGTTTAGTACCTGCATGAGGGCTTGGCACCCACATGGCCTCTTGCATACGTATGTGTTTCAGAGGAGTGTGCGAGGAAGTGCGTAGGCAGGCATCTGTGCATCTGTGCTGTGTGTATGTGCTGACCATGTGCAGGCTCCCCCCATCAACCCCCGCAGCAATGCAGGGCCCCCTCCCTGGCCTGCCTGTGTCGTGGGAGCCTCAGGACCCTGAGGGAGGGAAGCTGTTGCTGGCGGATGTGGCCAAGATGGGCTGGATTTATTTAGATTAAGGCGGTGGGAAAGGAGTGGAGAATTGTACGTGCTGGGAGGAGGGAAGTCTGGGGCTCTGAGAATGACTCCCCAAGCATGCTTGCTCTCCTGGACTTGGGGCACCCACTCCTCTCCCCTGGACTTGGGGTCCTTACTCTGCTCCTTTGACTTGGGGTCCCCACTCTGCTTCCTTTTGACTTGGAGTTCCCAGTCTGCTCCCCTGGACTTGGGGTCCTTACTCCGCTCCCCTAGACTTGGGGCCCCCCACTCCTCTCCCCTGAACTTGGGGTTCCACTCTGTGCCCCGGACTTGGGGTCCTCACTCTGCTCCCCTAAGGGGTCCCTCTGAGTCACGTGAGGAGCTGGGCATGATC
Organism: Homo sapiens; assembly: GCF_000001405.40. NCBI lineage: Eukaryota > Metazoa > Chordata > Mammalia > Primates > Hominidae > Homo > Homo sapiens. The sequence continues at coordinate 150,140,537 of NC_000005.10, read as the reverse complement.
TCCACTTTGGGCCTCTGAGCCTACAACCTGGCCAGAATAGGAGGAATCAGGAGGGGTTCCTGGCACATAGCACTCTCTTCATGGGCAAAAGGGGGACACCTAGGGGTGCCCTCCCTCTCTCTGCTCTAGAGGCCTCCCTGGGCAGGAGAGTACAGCAGATAGGGGGAGTGCCTGCTCTCTGACTGTGACATCCAGCTTGTCCTAGGTGGCCCTTCCCTAGAGTACAGTCCTCCTAAAGAGGGGAAGTTGTCACAGGCAAGCCCACTACCACCAAGTCAGCTGCCTGGGCCTCCCTGGGATTGGCTGGAACCAGAACAGCCTCTGGGAAGCACAAAGAGGCCTAACACATTTGGTGGAAAATGTGGGGTATCAGGGAGTCATCCAGGATGGCCTGGGAAGTCATGTCTGGGTGCCCTAAGCCCTTCTCTGCCCTCCCTGGCCCTCCAGCCTCTTGTCCCTACCACTCTTTCCTTGCCACCTCCTGGGGTTCCACGTCACCAGCGGAAAGTCCCCTGAAACACTGTTGAAACACTGTTGTCTAACTTTTTTTTTTTTTTTTGAGACAGAGTCTCACTCTGTCACCAGGCTGGAGTGTAGTGGCGTGATCTCAGCTCACTGCAACCTCCGCCTCCTGGGTTCAAGCGATTCTCCTGCCTCGGCCTCCTGAGTAGCTGGGACTACAGGCACTTGCCACCATGTCCAGCTAATTTTTGTATTTTTAGTAGAGACGGGGTTTCACCATGTTGGCTAGGTTGGTCTCGATCTCTCAACCTCGTGATCCGCCTGGCTCGGCCTCCCAAAGTGCTGGGATTACAGGCATGAGCCACCATGCCCAGCCTTGGTCTAACTCTTAATTGTATAGATGGGGAAACTGAGGCCCAGAGAGGGAAACAACTTGTCAAAGCCCGCACAGCAAGTCTGTGGCTGAATAGTCATGGAAATTCCTTTCGTGGAATGAGATGGCTGGTGGATTCTTATGTGACTCTAGCCTCAGGAATGTAGCCCCCTCCTGCTTACTAGCCCCCACCTCCTCAAAACACCCCGGTAAGATTCGTGGTGACTAGAATCTTCTCTTTGGCCTGTCAGAAAGGCAGAGCTTCACCATAGGGACAGCTCTTTGAGATGACACCTGCCAACCTCTCTATATGGATGGGGACGCAGAGTTCAGAGAGGCTGGAGACTCGCTCAGTCTCACAGTGGGTCCCAGGGTGCTTATGAGGGGAGCTGATTGCTCTATTCATAGTAAAGCCAGTCCGAGATCCCTGGGGTGCCTACAACCTCCCTACGGCATCCACACTGCCTGCCTGTCCTCTCCCCACAGCTTGAATCTGCCTTTTTGCTGTGTGACTGGGGCATGCTTCTGTCCTTCTCTGGGCCTCTGCTGCCCATTCAAAAAGCATACCTCCTAGCTCAGAGTCTCTAAGCCACCCCCAGCCCCAGGCCCAGCAGAAGAGAGCCTGAAGGGGAGAGGATGGAGTGCCACATGGGAGGAGGGTCGGGGGCTGCATGCCATGAAGGCCCAGCCCACATAGCCAGCCCAGCCTTCCAGAGCCAGGCCAGCCCCGCTGCAGTGACCTCCCTTCTCCTGGCCAGCCGGCCAAATTCCTCCTTTAGAATAATAAACAGTGTGGCCAGCCAGGGAGACTGGGAGAGGAGGGGCAGGGAAGCTGAAGTGACCCCCTCCCCCAGCCTCTGCTAATGATTTTCTTTGGCTGAGATCTCTAGCAGGAAGGGGGCAGCCAGAGGGGCACCGACGGAGGGGCAGATGGGCCTCTGTGGGGGCTGCTGGCTCCGCCTTGGCGCTGCTCCCTCCTGACCAAGGAGGCCTGGCATCCAGCTGGAGGGGCTGGGGCAGAGGAATGGTGGGGAGCAGAGGCTGGAGGGGGCGTCAGAAGGGCTGGGCTTTGAGTCAGGAGCAGTTCAGAGAGGGGAGAGGAAGAAACGAGGAGACCTTCAGGCAGGCAGTCTGAAAGGGAGGAGGGAGGAGAAGAGCTGATTTGCTCAGACTGTTTCTTGGGGTGTTGGGAAGAGCTAAGATTGGGGGTCCATAGGCGGGAGGAGCCTTGCCTATGTCCCACCCCTGACATGTGAATGCAGCCCTGGTAGGTGAGGTACTCACCATCATCCACTTCCAGAGCTGGGGACTTAGGCCACAGGGAGAGCGATGGCACAAGAGGTGGCATGCTGGGGCCTGAACCCGGTCTGCAGACCTAAACTGAAAACTAAAAGGGGTGAGATGGGGAGGTAGGGGCAAGCTGGGCATGGCCTTCAGAGGCAGGCCAGGCTGGGCAGCCCCACAGCCAGAGGAGGCTCCTTGTTGCCTCATCATGCCGTCACCTCCCAAAGCTCATGCTCTGCGACCCCTGTCCTCTGGCGTCCTTCCTGCCAATGCTGCAGGCAGACTCTTGGCATACTTGGCTCCTGGTGGTCTCTTGGGACCTGAGGTGTGTCTTCCAAGATAGAGGAGAGCAAGGGCCACCCCATTCAGTCTGTCTCTGTCTTTGTCCTTGCTTCTGTCTCTGTCTTTGTCCTTGCTTCTGTCTCTGTCTTTGTCCTTGCTTCTGTCTCTGTCTTTGTCCTTGCTTCTGTCTCTTAGTGCCTCTGGTGCTGTCTCTCTGGGCACCTCCTCTCTGTCTCTGTGTCTTTGTCTCTTTCTACTTCTATCATTCCAGGTCTCTTTCTCTCTGTCTCCCTCTCAGACAGGCTCTGCTGTGGAATCTTGGGTAAACTTCTCACCTTCTCAGAGCCTCAGTTTCCCCATCTGCACCCTGGGGGTGGGGGTGGGGGGAGCCTGGCTTCACTGGTCTCCAAGGACCTGTGAGGCCTGGCTGCTCGATGGGACCTCTCCTGGGCCCAGCCCCTAGCCGCTGTCCCCTGGGCCTCCCTGTATGCTCTGGGCTGAGTAAAGGTGTCCAGGCCCACCTCCCACATTCCACAGCCCCGGCTCCCCGGCTTCCCTTCCCACAGCCCACAGCCTCCTCCATTTCCTGTTGTGCTTGTGGAGCTGCGGGAGTTCTCTGGGTTCTGGCCTCCCCCCTCCTCCTCCCATCCCTTTCATCACACTTTCCCAAATATTTGTCCTGGCAGATAAGAGCCTGGTATTGGAACTGTCACCCGGAGGACAGGCTGTCAGAGCTGGTAGGCTACTGGATACCATCCAGCCCAACTTCCCCTCCCTCACTGTACAGACAGGGAAACTAAGGCACAGAGAGAGTCTGGGGACGCAGCCGAGGCCACGTGAGAGTCACAAGCAGAGCCAAAGCAAAGGCCAGGACCCCAAGGCTAAGTCCGGGATGGAGAGGAGACAGCCTGTGGTCATGAGTGCCCTTTCAGGCTTGGGACGTGGTGGCTTTTGACTTCAGCCCCTCGGACATGAAGGCTGGGTGGCCCAAGCTGGGGCTCATTCTGCAGGAGCCAGGTGGTGAGATAGCCCCTGTCGCTGCCTCCACCTGCCCTGGGCCCTGACTCCTGTTTAACTCTGCAGGACACCATGCGGCTTCCGGGTGCGATGCCAGCTCTGGCCCTCAAAGGTGGGTAGATGGGAGATAAGGTAGGGGACCCGGGGGGCTGCGGAGTGGAACCCTGGAGCTGGCAGGGGTGATGTGTGCTGGTGGCAGGGCGTGAAGCACCAGGCACACTGCCCTGCCCTTCAGCTTTAGTTTTCAGGATTTCCAGTGGGCTCTGTGGAGGCCTCCAGCTGCCAGCCCTTCAGCTCAGAAAGCGTCAGTGGGCCCCTGCTTGTCCAGAACCATCAGCTCAAATCCTTTGATTGGCCCTCCAGACCCCATCCCACCTTCTGGCCCACACCCCTGGCCTCCTATCCTCGGTCTGGTGGATCTGTGGCACTCGGCTTGGACCCCTCATTGGCTGGGAGCTTCCAGGTCCCTGCTGGGCTTCTCAGCACACCCCACCCCTCACTCCTGCCCGTTAACATGTCTTCAGCTCTGCAGGGGCTGAGCGACTGACCCAGCAATTAATGACCAGCCAGCAGCCTGCCCGGCAGCTGGCCATAAGATGGACTGGCTGCCTGACCGCCCACCTCCCCTCCTGATCTGTATCACCAGGGGGCATGGAGGGCGTGGCCTGAAAAATCCTTCTCCAGGGGATGTCGTGGAGGGGGACCAATCACTTGACACACACACACCCCCAACCCCAGTTCCCTCCAGCCCAAAAGGGCCTCAGCATCTTTTCTGGCCCCCCTCTGAGCTACCTAAGCCCCTCCCTCCCATCTCTCTCCCACCCAGAGCCACCTCTGGGCCTTGGGCAGAACCTGGGCAGTCGGGGGAGGGGGCAGAGAGCTGTAGGGAAGAGGCTCAGAAAGTGACCTGGGAAGCAATGCAGGAACTGGAGGCCAGGGAATTGCTTCCCGAGGATTTCCTGGCCCCTTCTGGTGCCTACTGCCTACACATGGCACTGCTGAAGGACTCAGAGGCTGGGGTCTAACGGGACTGACAGAGGCAGTCCAGAGGAATCCCTGGGGCCTTGGAGCTGGGCGAGCGGTCCTCAGAGCCATGGCTGGAGAGCCCCAGTCTGTCGGATAAAGGAGCTGTGCTCCTCAAGGACCTGAGGGCTGTGCATACGTGGCCTCCTCGCAGGCTCAGCCTTGGGAGAGGTGCTGAAGCCCCTGTTTCCTGATGTCTGATACCTCCTCTCCCAAAGGCGAGCTGCTGTTGCTGTCTCTCCTGTTACTTCTGGAACCACAGATCTCTCAGGGCCTGGTCGTCACACCCCCGGGGCCAGAGCTTGTCCTCAATGTCTCCAGCACCTTCGTTCTGACCTGCTCGGGTTCAGCTCCGGTGGTGTGGGAACGGATGTCCCAGGAGCCCCCACAGGAAATGGCCAAGGCCCAGGATGGCACCTTCTCCAGCGTGCTCACACTGACCAACCTCACTGGGCTAGACACGGGAGAATACTTTTGCACCCACAATGACTCCCGTGGACTGGAGACCGATGAGCGGAAACGGCTCTACATCTTTGTGCCAGGTAAGGGCTCCCAGCCTGTGTGCCCACTCCTTACCCCTCTTGTCAACTGGAGGCATCAGGGGAAGTCCAGAGAGTGCTTTAGTTTATTGTGAAATGCAGCCATCCTAGAAAAGCAGACAATCATGGAACCAGCCTGGCTCAGTCGGGGAGTGTGTTCGCACCCACTCCTTGGTCTGGGTGATCTGCCTGCTCCCTGCCAGTCACCCTATTCCTGCCTCCCAAGAACTCTATATTCTCAGCTGCTTCCAATCTGCTCCCTCTTGACCCCACATCCCTTCTTCCCCATTCTCCAAGCTCCAGATATCAGCTGCATTTCAACTTGTGACTTGCCTTCTTTCTTACCCTGGCACTGTCAATATCAAACATTAGAGCTGGAAGGGACCAGCTCTAACATTTGATTTATGCTCTTCTGGGAGCATCCCTATTCTGTAACGGGGAGACAGAGGGCCAGAGATGGCAAATGACTTGCCACACAGCAATTCAGGGGATGGCCAGAAACCCAGTTCCCCTGATTTATTCACGGCTCCACTCCTGGCAGATCCCACCGTGGGCTTCCTCCCTAATGATGCCGAGGAACTATTCATCTTTCTCACGGAAATAACTGAGATCACCATTCCATGCCGAGTAACAGACCCACAGCTGGTGGTGACACTGCACGAGAAGAAAGGGGACGTTGCACTGCCTGTCCCCTATGATCACCAACGTGGCTTTTCTGGTATCTTTGAGGACAGAAGCTACATCTGCAAAACCACCATTGGGGACAGGGAGGTGGATTCTGATGCCTACTATGTCTACAGACTCCAGGGTGAGCCCCCTTTCTGGCCTGATGCTCAGCAGAGGCAAGTATAACCCTCCACAGAGGAATAGCCCTTTACAGTTTACAAAGTGTGGGACTCCACTTCCCAGTGGATTCTCACCACAGCCTTCGAAGGAAGATAGTGTTTTCCCCATGTTACAGAAGAGGGAAACTCAGGCGCAGAGAGAGGATGGAGCTTGTCCCCTGTCGCAGAATTCGATAGTGGCAGAGCTGGCCTGTGCAACATGGTCGGTGAGGGCACAAGCTTCAGAGCCAGCTGGGTCGAAATCCCAGCTTTGCTATTTCCTGTCTGAGTGACTTTACACAAAGCACATAATCTCTCTGAGCCTGCTTCCCCTCTTGTAACGTGGGGATAACAATGGCTGCCTACCTCATAGGATCAATTGTGAAGATTAAATAAAAGATGGAGAGTACCTGGCACATGTTATGTGCTCAATACATTTCTCCTGTACATAGATCTCCAGAGGGTACTTTGATTTCCAGACTGTTATCCCTTCTAGAACGTCAGCTCCATAAGAACAGAGATTTTGTCCACTTTGTTCACTACTGTTGCTCCAGTGTCCAGAATAGTACTTGGCATGTAGTAGGTATTCAGTAAATATTTGTTGAATGAATGAATCTTCTACATCAGTCATCCTTTCCCTCTCTAGCCCCCTACCCTATCCCCAAGCTGAAGTGCTAGTGGCTGGTGGTGACTTCCCCAGACCTAAGCCAATCTCTCTCTACCAGTGTCATCCATCAACGTCTCTGTGAACGCAGTGCAGACTGTGGTCCGCCAGGGTGAGAACATCACCCTCATGTGCATTGTGATCGGGAATGAGGTGGTCAACTTCGAGTGGACATACCCCCGCAAAGAAGTAATGTGGGGCCAGGCAGGGGTCGGAGGAGGGGCCAGGAACGGGTGGATATCTGGCTTGCAGGCTGATTTCTCCCCGGCCCCTCCTGATTTGGGGGGCCTGCCCAACCTGTTGCTGCAGAGTGGGCGGCTGGTGGAGCCGGTGACTGACTTCCTCTTGGATATGCCTTACCACATCCGCTCCATCCTGCACATCCCCAGTGCCGAGTTAGAAGACTCGGGGACCTACACCTGCAATGTGACGGAGAGTGTGAATGACCATCAGGATGAAAAGGCCATCAACATCACCGTGGTTGGTGTGTGCCTTGGGCTCAGCCCAATCCCCAATTCCTTCAACGCTCCCCACCCTCACCCACTTTGCTGGGTGCAGAGTGATGGTGAGAGTTGCATTTTTGATACAGTGATCAGGGCTGAGCTGGACCCAGTGCCTGTCACAGCCCCGGGGTATAGTCAGCCACACTCCAGTGCAGCCCTAGCTAGCCTCTGTGCCAACCAAAACCCCAATTCCAGGATAAACCCCAAACCAAAATGTAGTGTCAGCCCCAAATCCAACCCTATCTCAACCTAGACTTTCTGACTAGCCAGAGCCCCAGCCCCAACCTGACTTCCAAGCCCAACTGCCATCCCAGGTCCGGGAAGCCCCATCCCCAAATTCAACCTTATCACTAGTCCCAGCATCAGCCACAGTACTGACCCAGAACAGAGAACTGTTAGTACAACTCTGTTCCCAACCTGGGAGCTGGCCCCAGCATCCATATTAGCCCCAAATTCGGCCCCTTCTCCAGGCCCTGTCCCCAGCCCAATTTCAACCTCAGCTCCGGAAACTCCATGGCTGGCACGGTCCCCAGGCCTGAAGCCCCACCCCACAGGCTGGCCTCCTTTGGGATTCAGTTGGTGCCCTGCCCCCAGGGCCCCGCCCCTGACGGTCACCCCTTGCAGAGAGCGGCTACGTGCGGCTCCTGGGAGAGGTGGGCACACTACAATTTGCTGAGCTGCATCGGAGCCGGACACTGCAGGTAGTGTTCGAGGCCTACCCACCGCCCACTGTCCTGTGGTTCAAAGACAACCGCACCCTGGGCGACTCCAGCGCTGGCGAAATCGCCCTGTCCACGCGCAACGTGTCGGAGACCCGGTGAGCAGCTCGCTCTCCCATCCCATTCTTGAAGTTATTTTTCTTTGCAGCCGCCAGGCAGCCCTCGGCTTTCAGCCACAAACCTAGGCCCAGCTTTCTGAGAGCATATTAGGTGCCAGGTGCTGGGGATGCTGCAGCGACCAGAGCTGACAGTTCATCCCTCCTAGAGTTTCTAGTCTAGTGGAGGAAACAGTCGCCGGTCAGATGATCACCCAGATGTTTAGTTGTCCTTGTGATGGGTGGGGCCAGCAGTAGCAGCCAAGAAGTAAACGGGCAGATGACTGGGGAAGAGGGTGCCAGGCAGGCCACTCATGGCCTGTGGTATCCCTGAGGCTGGAGATTTGCTGGCTGACAGAGACTGTGGTAGGTTAGGATGGAGCAGTGTCCACCTTTCTGAAGGGGAGAGAAATAGGACTTTCCTTCAATGCTCCCCACCCCCACCCACAGTTCATCTCAACCCTCCCTCTTGGCCTAGGGGAACTGCCTGTGGGTGAGGATTTACGAGACCTGGTTTGAGTCCCGGCTCTGCTACCAATGCCGAGATGACCTTGGCAAGCCCTTCCCCTCCCTGGGCCTTGTTCCTCTTTATACCAGGAGGGTGGGGAGAACTGTAAGAGTCCTTCCGACTCTGACAGCTGCCTTTCCTGCTCCCCAGGTATGTGTCAGAGCTGACACTGGTTCGCGTGAAGGTGGCAGAGGCTGGCCACTACACCATGCGGGCCTTCCATGAGGATGCTGAGGTCCAGCTCTCCTTCCAGCTACAGATCAATGGTGATGAGCACGCCCCTCGCCATGTCCCTGCTCCTTCCCCTCCCTGCCCCCGTTCCCTCTCCCTTCCTGCACTGTCCACCCACCCATGGGAGGAGTGGGAGAGGGAGCCTGGAACTCAGGAGATGGATTCTAGGCCACTGACCCACTGCCGTGTGAACCTGGCCTCTGGGCCTCAGTTTCCCCAGCTGTATAAGGAGGCCATCTGGCTAGATTGGTGTTTCCAAAACTTCAGGCACTTAGGTACCAAGGCCATGATTTTCCCTTCTCACATTCCACTTATACTGTACTATTAACTCGATAGGTATTTATTGAGCAACTACCATATGCCTGTCTCTTCAAGGTTCTTGAACTTCCCTCCCTGCCTTTGTGCAGCTTGCATCCAAGTAGGGGAAGACAAACACTAACAGTAGGGAGGAAAACCCCAGCAAATTACATAGGTTAGAAGGTAACTAACACTGCGGGAGAGGAAAAACAGGGGCCGGGTAGGGAAGGTTGAGAGTGCTGGGCACAGAGTGATGGTGTGAGTTGCATTTTTGATACAGTGATCAGGGCTGAGGAAGTGACATTTGCATGAAGACCTGAAGAAGGTGAGGACATTAGCTTAGTGGATATTTGGGGAAAGGGTACCTCGGGCAGTGCAAAGGCCAGAGCAATCACTGAAAGGCTTGTGTGGTTGGAACAGGGCTGTTGGGGAGAGTGGTGGGAGATGAAGTCAGAACGGGGATAGGGCAGTGGGGGCTGGGAGAAGGGCAAATCGCATAGGTCTTTGTGGGCCTGGTGCAGACTTTGGCTTTTACTATGACCGAAATGAAGAGCCATGGCAGGGTTTTGAGCAGAGAAATGACATGATAATGACTTAATGTTTTGTTAATTGACTTTCTAAAAACAAATTTATTTTGAAAGACAAAATGTAACCTCTCTATTGTAGGTGGAAAATCGGCATCACATGTCATAAATATAAAGCAACCACTAAAATAAACTCAGAGAAGACCAAACAATGCTATTAAATGCTGGCTTCATGAGCTTGGTGGCCCAGGGTTCTGAGCTTGAGGCCTAGCCTCCCTTTGTTAAAAGGGAAGATTAGCAAGTCTCAGAGAGGTGTTAAAGACAGACTAGCACCCTGCTGAGGCGTTCCCTTTGAAGTACCCAGAAGGGAACCCATCGGTTTTCACACTGATTCCTGGTATTTAATGTTCACCTGCAGTCTACAGCCCTCCTCCCCCAAGAGAGTCTCTGGGCCAGGTCCTCCCCTGAGGACCTGTCCTGTTAACTGTCCTGACCCTCCCGCCTCCTAACTCAGTGCTCTCTCCATGCAGTCCCTGTCCGAGTGCTGGAGCTAAGTGAGAGCCACCCTGACAGTGGGGAACAGACAGTCCGCTGTCGTGGCCGGGGCATGCCCCAGCCGAACATCATCTGGTCTGCCTGCAGAGACCTCAAAAGGTGAGCAGACCTGGGCCTCAGTCTCCCAGTGTCCCCAGCTGGCTAGAAAAAGCTCGTGAAGGTTATCTAGTCCCGCCCGTTCTTCTTGGCATATTGTTCCGGGCATAGAGTTGCATCCTAGGAGGCCAGGTCACCACCTCCTTGGTCCTACTCTGTATGACCTAAATGGTCCCTTTTCCTTACCTTTACCCCTGGGCAGTTTGGCCTAGCAAAGTGCAGGGTCTGAGCCCCAGAGACCTCACCCGCCCTGTAGATCAGTTCTGCACTCCTGGCCAGGTCGATTCTAATGCAGTGGACAGAGGCAGGATTCAGTGCAGGTTCTGCCTCTACCCCATACGCCGTGTGACCCCGTGGGTCAAATAAGAATGGATTTTGCAATCCACGTTGTCAGTTCTGGGATGGGAGCACCCCCTGCTGACCAGTAGAGGGAGCACAGGAGGAGCCCGCTCGGAAACAGGCAGTGGGACATAGGAACTGGACACGTCCTGCCTCCTTCCACCAGTTTCTCCTCAGTTTCCCTGTCTGCAAGGGGAAGGGGCTGGCAGCCAACCCTACCGGCTCTCCTGGCAGGTGTCCACGTGAGCTGCCGCCCACGCTGCTGGGGAACAGTTCCGAAGAGGAGAGCCAGCTGGAGACTAACGTGACGTACTGGGAGGAGGAGCAGGAGTTTGAGGTGGTGAGCACACTGCGTCTGCAGCACGTGGATCGGCCACTGTCGGTGCGCTGCACGCTGCGCAACGCTGTGGGCCAGGACACGCAGGAGGTCATCGTGGTGCCACACTGTGAGTCCCCAGCCTCAGTGGCCCCTGACGATCCCAATCCCTACCTTAATCCTGCCTAATTGGTAATGTGCCCATGTACCCACAGCAGGCCAAAGGAGTTAGCATGCCCAGGGGCAAACAGGAGCATTGTGAAACCCTGTTGTGTACATGCATAGGAACACATTCTGGCAAACACAATATGGGTACACACGTGTACAAACACAAGTCTGTAAGCCATGGATATGAATATCCTTCAGTGTGGTGTACATATACTATATGTATGTCGTAAGCCATGTACATGAGCATGCCTGTTCCTTGAACATAGGTGCAAATCCTCTGTGTGTAGATATGTAAATCGTCTACTGAAGAATGCCCAATCTCCAGTCACTCCTGTAAAGCTAGAGTGTATGTGTATAAGCATACACCTGTGCACTATGCCTGTCCATGTATGTAAACCCACCACGTGTTTGTAAGCCATGTACATGAGCATGCCTAATTCCCAGACATCTGTTTAAACCCCACAGTGTATGTCTGTATGCATGTACCGGTGGGTACACAATTCCTGTACATGTGTACAAGCAATGCATGTACAATTCCTTTGCATGCATGCAAACTGGCATAGTGCATGTCTGTAAGCATATAATTGGAGCACACCTTTCTAGAAAAGTGTACAAGCATAATTCCCGTACACATGTGCCTGCTGTACAATGTACATCTGTTAGCAGGTACACATACACGTGTAATTTCTGTGCGTATGAACAATGCCTACCAGTGTCTTGATGCTTTTGTGTATCTAGCTGCCCGTCCTTATGCATACATGCACCTGTATGAGTGTGCTTCATTTATTCACCTTTCTTCTTCATTCGATAAATATGAGGACCCAACTTCTCATTGAAGTATAAAGGTCAAAGGGCTCAGCCCTGCCTGGACCTCCTAGTACCCATAGTCCAGAGAGAGAAGGCAGACAAGGAACTTGGCAATTCCCTCCGGGATCACCACATTAGGGGCAAAGCCTGGAGGGAGAAGGGGTCCCATGCCCAGCTATGGGATTCAGGAAAGTATTCTAGAAAAGGAACCTTTAGGTGAAAACCTGAAAAATGACTAGAAGTTAGCCTGGTAAGGAATGGTGTCCCACTCAGAGGGAATGGCCTGTGTAAAAGCCCAGAGGCAAAATGAGTTCCTAGAAATGAAAAGAGTTCAACTCAATCTGGCTGGAGGATCGAGTGTGTGGATACTTAGGGGCTGGAAGGGTGGCAGATAAAGGGGAAGGAAGTGCTATGGGATGGAGCTACAGGGGTCGGCAGATCTAGAGCAGGCAGGGCTCCAAAGGCCATGTGAGGCATCTTGGTCTCTGTGTATGCAGGTCCCTGGGCATGTTCAGGCACGTGCCTGTCTAGAGCTGCCTCCTGTCCCCTGCCCTGTGGTGGATGGGTGGGCTTCTTTCATCCCCTCATTTCACCCATGCTCCCACACATGCATACACATTCTCTGAGCAAGTGGGTATCTGGGCAGACAGTGTGGACAGCCTGAGTGGAAGACCAGCTCTGAGCCAAGGCAGATGTGACACTTTTGTGTGACTAAAGCCTGAGCGGGAAGCTGAGCACCAGCACACAGGGCCTAGGATGGCTGCAAGAGGGCTCCTTCATGCCTCCAGCGATGGCTGCCTAGAAGATGCAGGCTTCCTTCCCAGGACCGAGATGTGTGATGAGCGGGAGGAGGGAGGAGAAGAGGGATGTTGGTCTGGGACCCTGAGGAGGAAGGCATGGCGAGGATAGGTAAGGGTAAGGGAGAATGGATAAGGGGTGAGAGACGAAGTTGGAGAGGGAAGCAGAGGTAGAGTCATGAAGCCTCTGCCTTATGTGCCATTTTAGGAGTTTGGCCTTTTTCCTTTACTGATAACATGGGGAAGCATCCAAAGTTTTTTTTTTTTTTTTTTTTTTTTTTAAGATGGAGTCTGGCTCTGTTGCCCAGGCTGGAGTGCAGTGGTGTGATCTCGGCTCACTGCAAGCTCTGCCTCCCGGGTTCAAACAATTCTCCTGCCTCAGCCTCCCAAATAGCTGGGATGACAGCAGTCCACCACCACGCCCAGCTATTTTTTGTATTTTTAGTAGAAATGGGATTTCACCATATTGGCCAGGCCGGTCTTGAACTCCTGACCTCGTGATCCGCCCACCTTGGCCTCCCAAAGTGCTGGGATTACAGGCATGAGCCACTGCACCCAGCCTCCATCCAAAGATTTTAAGCATAACAATGGCATTCACTTAGTAATTCAACAAATAGTACCAGCTACCTACCATGTGCCAGGTGTGGTTTTAGGGACTGAGGTTATAGCAATGGATGGGGAGGAGGAGGTGGGACAGGACTCCCTAGGGAGCAAAGAAGCATAGATTGGGGACAGAAGAGGAGGGAATGAGTTCCATAGGACCTCATGGGTGGCCAGCAGGGCAGGGCAGGGGAGAGGCAGGTCTGGCGGGGCTGGATGAGGAGAGTGGGAAGCTGTACAGCGAAGAGGCTGAGGCCTTGAGGGTGGAGGAGACTCGAGGCTTGTAAGGGCCAGTGTGAGCCCCACTTTGTTAACTACCGTCACCACTCCAACCCCAACTGGGCCCTTTGGGTGAAGTGGGGAGAAGTGGCCTCCGTGCTGAGGTCTGGATTCATCAGGCTGGGGGTCTCAGCCATTGCTCCCTCAGTGGCCACTCACTCAGTCCACCGGCCACTCGGTCAGGCATGGAGCTTGGAGTCTGACCGAGCTGTGGCAGCCCCAGCAAGGGTGTGGACTCAGAGGAGAGGTAAGCCACAACCCAGCCCTCAGGGGCTCCAGGGCTAATGGGAGGTCCAGGCAATGGACAGGAACTCAGAACAGGATTTGCACCCCGTCCAGAGCTCTGGCAGCAAGGCCAGACTGACTGGCAGGGCTGAAGGGACGTGGAGGCCAGCAGTGATCTGAGTGGGGGTAGTTACTGAGGGGATGGAGTATTTACAGGACAGTCTGAACGTGTGGCCTAGAGCGAGATGCTGAGGGTCTGACACTGCAGGCTGATGGGGAGGTGGGCGCTTCTATTCTGGACAGGATGTGTACGGAGGGATCTATGATGCCAAAGATGGGGTGAGGGGAGGGTAGCTGCCCAGTTTGCTCATGGCCTGCTCTCATCTCTGCCTCCAGCCTTGCCCTTTAAGGTGGTGGTGATCTCAGCCATCCTGGCCCTGGTGGTGCTCACCATCATCTCCCTTATCATCCTCATCATGCTTTGGCAGAAGGTAAGCCCCTCCCTGGCCCAGTGGGTGAAGACTGGCACATCATTATTTTGCATAAATTCCACCCCTCTGCCCTCCTTGAATGCTGCGTGATCTGGCCACATGCAGGGCTCAGCATGGAACTCAGGTGGGGACTTGTGACGCTGGCTGTCTCAGCTTCCTCCACCCCCAGCAGTCTGGGCCAACCTGAGCCTGGCCCGAGCTATCCAGGATTCCCTTCCCCTACTGTGTCATTAAGTCCCCGGGTCCTGCTGAGACACCATTCCTCTCATCCTAGCCATGGAGCATGGGACCTTTGAGGTGGACTGCATGGGCTCCAGGATTCTTCCAGGTCTCACCCATGGAGAACCTGTGATTCTACTGAAATGCATTCTGATCCTATTAGTCTGTAATTTCAGTGTTCTGCTTTGAGATTTTACCATTCTGTGATTCCAACATTTTAAGCTTCCTGAATCAGGATTACAGCACCTCATGATCCCATCTTTCTAAAATTCCAGTCCTGTGGTTCCAACACCTTAAGATGTCAACATTCTAAGCTTACATCTTTCTGACTTGCCCAGCACTGGGGAGGGCCATCCGCATCCAGCCGAGTACCCTACCTGGTGTCACTTTCTGGGGTCACCTGCTCTACTACTTCCATCTGAGGAGCAGCGAAGGCTGGGAGAGAAGCTAGAGAGGAGGTTCTCATGAGCCAGGCCCTCAGCTGCCAGTTGCTCCTCAGTCTGCCAAGTCCTGAAGCCTCCTCTGGGGCCCCTTGGTCCCTGTTCCCTCCGAGCCCACGAAGACCTTGGCTCAGTTGAGCACTTGCTGTGTGACTTCAAATATGCCCCTGCCCCTCTCTGGGCCTCAGGGTCTCCTGCCCCATGTGTCCTAGACGGACGAACCTAATGGGGCTCAGGGCCTGAGACTCCCTCTGATAACTAATTCCTGGGGTTGGTCCTCCAGAAGCCACGTTACGAGATCCGATGGAAGGTGATTGAGTCTGTGAGCTCTGACGGCCATGAGTACATCTACGTGGACCCCATGCAGCTGCCCTATGACTCCACGTGGGAGCTGCCGCGGGACCAGCTTGTGCTGGGTCAGTCCTGAGAGGCCTCATGTGGCAGTGTGGGGACTCAAGTTGGGTGGGAAGACTCTCTGAGGTCTGGTCCCAGCCTTGCCATGACTAGCTATGAGACCTAGGGCTGGTGTCTTGCCTTCTCTGGCCCTCCATCTCCTACTATGTACAATGAGAGCAAGACCATCCCCCAGGAACTGCCTAGCATTGAGGTTCTATGATCCTGTGACCCTGTGAGACGGGATCCCTATGTGGCAAAAGTGGAAGGATTGAGGACAGGCTGAGTAGCAGGCCTGGTCTGGCTGGGGAAGCTGAGGAGGTACAGAGAAGCGTGCTCCCTTGGGAGGGAAGAAACTTTCCAGAGATTAAAGATGGGGCAGAAAGCAGGCAGGACTTAGATGAGATACCAGGAAAGACAGGGAGGTATTGTGGTTGCAGGAGTGTGTTTAGGGAATATCCTGAGTCCAAGGTGGTTTAAGTAATGTCTAGGTTGACCTAAGAGAGTGGCTCTTTCCCCTCACTGGGCAGGAAGGGTGATAGCGGCCGGGGGTAGGGGAGTGGGGGGAGGGGGGCAGCTGGGGGAGCGGTGCAGCTTCCTGGTAGGCCAGGAGCTAATGGATCATCTCTGCACCAGGACGCACCCTCGGCTCTGGGGCCTTTGGGCAGGTGGTGGAGGCCACGGCTCATGGCCTGAGCCATTCTCAGGCCACGATGAAAGTGGCCGTCAAGATGCTTAAATGTGAGTAGTCCTTGGAGCCCTCCACATCTGGGCCTTCACCTCTCCCTGCCCCTCCCCACACACTTAGCCTCTCCCAGGGTGGCCTGATGCTGATTTGCAGGCACTAGAGGGGCCATCACACTGCAGCAGGCACTGCTCCCGAGTCTGGGTCTGGTTTGGGAAAGAGCGTTCCTCTCCCTGGCCTCCTCGGCCTGCTTCCCCCTACCCTGGCCTCTTCCCCTCCTCAGAGTGTGGGTGCTCACCCCCGCCAGGCTGCCTGGGTCTTGCAGCACAGGGCGGGGCAGAAGAGTCAGAATAGGCTCCTGTGGTGGGGCCTCCATGGAGCCTCCATGACTGGGCCTGGCCTGGGGCCCCCATTTTCCTCAGCCACAGCCCGCAGCAGTGAGAAGCAAGCCCTTATGTCGGAGCTGAAGATCATGAGTCACCTTGGGCCCCACCTGAACGTGGTCAACCTGTTGGGGGCCTGCACCAAAGGAGGTACCGAGCCCACTGCCCCAGAGGCCTCAGGGAAAGTGCCCACCACCAAGGCCAGGCCCCGCCTACCCCCCCCTCAGGCCTTGCACAACAGCACACTCCTGCTGGAGGGTCCGTGCCCACCCGCTCCAGCGCCCTCACTGCGCGGTCCCAGAGGGCGGTGGGGTTTAGAAACTCACAAAATCACAACACCTTCAAGGCTGAAGGATTAGTCAGGTCACCAGTCCCAGCAGCTTCCAGACCATGGTGTTGGCTGACACTTTTTTATTTTCCCAATACATTTTGAAAACCAATAAATAACAGCTCACATGACATTAAGATGAGTTATATGCCCACCATTGGAGACCACCAGCTTGCTACTTGGGAGCTACCTTCATTTGATCATAGAAGAAAGTCTCTGTGGCCAACTGGGTCTATTTGAAGCTCTGATTGCCAGTTAGGCTGAAAAAAAATGTTATCACCATTTGCAGCTGCTTATTGTGAGATTTGGGATTTTCCTCAGCATTATGCAACCAAAATAAAATACAGAAGTATGTTGGGTACATAGACTTATTCACGTTTGCAATGATCGCTCATTTCAACATTTTCGTTTGTGTAGATATCTTCAAGTTCTCACTGATTGACTTTAAGTAAATGCATTGTAGTTGAATTTAACTACTAAAGTGATCGTTGTAAACAGTGGCCTTTATCTGCTTTCTATACTGGGCTCCAAAGTAAGCTTTAGTTTGAAAACATATCAATAAGAGCCAACACTGCGAGCTCGCCACGTGCCCAGCCAATAAAGACATCATCTCATTAATCCTCATGACAGTGCTTTGTGGTGGGTTTAATTAGCCCCACTTAACAGCTGGGGAAGGTAAGGCTCAGGGAGACTAAGTACCTTGCTCTCCACCACAGAGGCAGGAAAAGAATCCAGATTTGCAAGGCACTAAAGCCTCCTAGCCGTCATGCCAAAGTGTCTCTCCCACATCCAGCCCCTGATTAGCCTCATGGCCTTGAAGGGACGCCTGAGGCCTCCATAGGGACTGTCCCTGAGCCTGTCCCTCTGCAGGACCCATCTATATCATCACTGAGTACTGCCGCTACGGAGACCTGGTGGACTACCTGCACCGCAACAAACACACCTTCCTGCAGCACCACTCCGACAAGCGCCGCCCGCCCAGCGCGGAGCTCTACAGCAATGCTCTGCCCGTTGGGCTCCCCCTGCCCAGGTACCAGGAGGGAGGCCAGGGACTGAATCTTTGGGATACCTGAGGAGCACCGCTCCTTCCCCTCCTTTTGTCCAGGAGGGGAAGCTGAGGCTGTGACAGGGCAGGGGACAGAATCACTCCTGGAGCTAGGGCTGTTCCACAAGATGGTCCACCCCAGATGAGGGAATAACACTAATGCCAGGCCCTGTGCTGCTAAGCCCTCTACAGATGTGACATGCCATCCCTGTGTCGTGGGTGTTTGCCCTTCAGTCCAGGGCAGGCAGTGATGGAGGAAGGGGCAGAGGCTGTGGTGAGATGAGAGCCAAGCCTCCCAATTTGCACAGTGGTGCTCCAGGCTGTGTTCCTCTCTGCAGCCTCTACACATCAGCCTCCACACTGCCTCTCAGGGAGCTCAACTCCAGTCTTTGTCTTTTCCAAAAAGAACACTTCTTAGTTCTGTTGCTGATTACAAAAACAAAGACAAGAGTAGCTTCAGAAAAGCGTAAAAGACCTTAAAACCCACTCATGTCCTCTCCAATGTTTTGACATTCAGTCTCCCAGGAGCCAAAGGGCTTCTCCCATCTTTTTCCTGCCTATAGAGACAGATGTGTGTAGAGCCCCACAGCTCTTTGGGGAGCTGATGCTACAGGCATAGGTAGCGGGGTGAATCCTGGCTGCCTATGCTGGGTTGCAGTCAGGCACTCCCATGGCCAGGTGGCGCTGGGGAGGCCACAGGAAGGCGCCTCTGAACACACCCGTCTTGTGACCTTTGCCCTGGGGTGCTGTAATCGCCTCTGGGTGTGAGCTCTCTGGGTTCTAACTGTCATTTTGGTAGCCTCAGTGCCCAGCTTGGCCCAGCAGGTTGGTTGAAAAGTCTTGATCCACAGGCTTTCCTACTGGGATAGACTGAAGGAAGATGAGTGAGTGTGTGAGTGAGAGAAGAAATTCATGAGTGGCAAGGGGCAGGAGGGGAGGGGAAGGCAAAGCCTGCAGGCTCTCCTGTGATGCTCCTTTACCCCCAGCCATGTGTCCTTGACCGGGGAGAGCGACGGTGGCTACATGGACATGAGCAAGGACGAGTCGGTGGACTATGTGCCCATGCTGGACATGAAAGGAGACGTCAAATATGCAGACATCGAGTCCTCCAACTACATGGCCCCTTACGATAACTACGTTCCCTCTGGTGGGTGGACATAGTGACATAGTACCCCACATCCAAACAGGCTGATGCTCTTCACATGCCCAGCCTTGCCAAAAACCCTGAGAAGAAGGGAGCCTCGTGCCCATTTCATAGATGTAGAAATTGAGGCTAGCCACCTGGCCAAAACTGATCTGTAGTGGACCCCTAAACGGAAGCCCTGTTTATGGATCCGGAAACATGCGTAGAACCCTCAGGGAGGGAGAGAGCAGGGATATGGGAGGACCTGGCCTTTTGTCGTGGTAGGGAAAGTGATCTACTCAGCTTCAGCCCCAGGCTGGTCTAGTGTCCCTGAGAGGCAGGCAGGCAGGCCAGGCTGGGCAAAAGTGGCCCAAGGGCTAATGCCAAAAGGCCAATGAGGGCACTGATAAAGCAGGAGAACTTTGAGTTTGATATTAAGAAATCATTCTCCTTTTAGGGGAGACCTAGACGATCAGTAGCCACCTGTCTTGGACATTCAGTCTCCCAGGAGCCAAAGGGCAGGGGTCCTGTGGGCCAGAAGGAGATATAAGATAGCAGGTGACCCTCTGCTTCTCCTCTAGCCCCTGAGAGGACCTGCCGAGCAACTTTGATCAACGAGTCTCCAGTGCTAAGCTACATGGACCTCGTGGGCTTCAGCTACCAGGTGGCCAATGGCATGGAGTTTCTGGCCTCCAAGAACGTACGTGTGGTGTTGGTGGGGCAGAGTGGGGGCTGTGGGGAGGTGGGTCACCCAGCCAGCCAGCATCCTCCAAGAGCACACCAGGGTGGCCTCTCGCACATGGGCAGTGTTGTATTTTCCCAAAGCCCTTGACATGAAGGGTCTTTCCCCACAATTGTCCCCAAGGCCTCAGCTCCCCTCTCCCCAAACCCAGTGCGTCCACAGAGACCTGGCGGCTAGGAACGTGCTCATCTGTGAAGGCAAGCTGGTCAAGATCTGTGACTTTGGCCTGGCTCGAGACATCATGCGGGACTCGAATTACATCTCCAAAGGCAGCGTGAGTACCTTCCCTGGCCCCTGCAGGGCAGTCACAGTGCCTGTGACCGCAGGAACAGATTCCCTCCTGACCAGTGTGGCTGCAGCTCATAGGAAATCTGTGTGGGGCTCCTTGTGGCCTGCCCTGACAGCAGTGATGGGCTGTGCCTGCCCAGCTATGTGTGCAGGGACAGGATGGGGAGCCGCCCAGGAGTGCATGGAGCAAGTATAGCGGCGGGGAGGGCTGGCTATAATGGGTCCAGGGTGGGGGAAGGGGGAACAGGCCGAATGTGTTGTTCCAGTGGTGGTGGGCAGAGGAAGAAGCCCAGGTGACAGGGCAAGAAAGATGAGCAGGTCACATGCAGTAGCAGGGATTGGTCTGGTTAAAACGTGATCATCCTGCCTGTCTCTCATCTCCCCACTTTTCCGCAAACCCCAGATGGAGGGACGCTAGGCCCAGAGATCAAAGGCAGCCAGGATAAGAGCTTGGGGGGTGCCTTGACAAGTCCCTGGCTCCCACACTTCACTACTCAGACCCTGGGGCTTTTCCCCAGGGACAGGGGCTGCCTTGTCCCCAGCTAGTGAGAAAGGAAACAGCCTCTGGTCCTCTGACCAGCCCTGGGATGGACATGGGAACTGTGCTGCGCAGAGACCAGGGCCCTCACAGGGAATGGGACGGAGAAGTGGTTGTGGGTGGGAGCTGCCAGATACCCTCCTCCCATCCCAGGTGCAGAGTGGGGCTGAGGTCCTTCCTTGCACTCAGCACCTGTCCTGACCTCCCTACAGACCTTTTTGCCTTTAAAGTGGATGGCTCCGGAGAGCATCTTCAACAGCCTCTACACCACCCTGAGCGACGTGTGGTCCTTCGGGATCCTGCTCTGGGAGATCTTCACCTTGGGTATGCTTGCTTCCTCCTCCAGCCCTCAGCATCCTGGCCTGGTGTCTACCTCGACCACTCATGCCTCTGGCCTGGTGGGGCTATGGGACGAGCCCTGATACAGGGATCCTGGTTCAGGTCCCAGCTCTGCTACCTTCTCCCTGCTGTGTGATGTTAGCAAATTCTTTGCCCTCTCTGGGTCTCTTTATCTCCCTGTCTGAGCATTGACAGGTTTGAACAGTGACATCAGAAAGCCTGCTTGGCTCTCACATTCTGGCTGTCTATCCTGGGGAGGGTTGTGGTCTCTGTTCAGAGCCCATGAAGGAGCCCACAGTTCCAAATGCCAGGGGCACTGCCCCCTTACCCATACCAGGGCCAGCATGGCTCTCCTTGTCCTGTAGAAGAGGGTGCCCTGCCACTTTTCCACCCCTGAGCCTGTGTATCTCTTGTCTCTGCTCCCCAACAGGTGGCACCCCTTACCCAGAGCTGCCCATGAACGAGCAGTTCTACAATGCCATCAAACGGGGTTACCGCATGGCCCAGCCTGCCCATGCCTCCGACGAGATGTGAGTGGAGTCTCATGCATTTGGGAGGATTTTGTGCTGCAAACAATAGATATCCAACTCTACTGGCTTAAACCAAAGATGAGAGATTTGTTAGCTCAGAGATCTAGAAAGCCTTGGTGTAACTGGATCCAGCCATTCAAAGGATGGCATCAGGAACCTCTTGTTCTAGCCCTGAGCTCTGCTTTGCTCTGTGTGGCCTCATTTTCAGGCCAGCATTGCCCAAATGGCTACCAGCAGTGCCAGTCTCATGTCCTACTGCTTGCTCCATAGTGCCAGCAAAAGTCCCAGAGCTGACCTTCAAGGGCTCAGGTGGGGTCACATGCCATCAAGAACCAACCGTGGAAGCTGCAGGGCTGAAAACTGTTGGCGAAGGTTGGCTCCTGTGCTCACCCAGGCGTAGTCAACCTGTGGAACCATGTGGAATGGGGGCTCTGCGAGGGCCTCCCAAGGGAATATCCAGAGACAGGACCTCTGGATACACCCAGCCACCACTTCCCTCCAGCTCCTTTCCATGGCTCACCTTGTTCTGAGAGGCAGCAGCCTCCTGCTCCCCCAGCCCTGCCTTGTCCCCTGAACCCTGGGCCAGAGGCCCTGACCCTTCTCCCTATCCCCAGCTATGAGATCATGCAGAAGTGCTGGGAAGAGAAGTTTGAGATTCGGCCCCCCTTCTCCCAGCTGGTGCTGCTTCTCGAGAGACTGTTGGGCGAAGGTTACAAAAAGGTATGTTGAGGCAGGGTAGGGGTGGAGCACGGAGAGCTCTGGTGCAGAAGTCAGACACCGAGTACAAGGCTCTGCGTGATGGGCTGGCATTTAGGGGACCACCCTTTGTCCTCTCTGGGCCTCAGTTTCCCTGCTGGTTCTAGGAGGGGATGGGCTGGCGCTGTGAGTTTATTTTAGCAGCAGAGAGCTTTATGAAATGGAATCCTACATGGAAGCTGATCGATTAGATGCAGGGAGGGGGCCTAGAGCACTGTCTGTCCTGCTGCCTCCCTCAGGCCTTTACCTCCATACCGAACCGTGGGGCTCCTTCAGAAGTGTGAATAACCCCAGGTTACATGACCATGAACCGCCTGACCACTTGGATCCTGTCACAGGATTGTCCAAGGCCCAAAGAGCCAGTAGGGCCCTGAAACCCTGCCCCGTCCAACAACACGGGTCCAAGTGAGGAGGAAATACACATGGCCTTTGACACAGAGGCAGCTCCTTCTTTGGGTCCATTTCTCACCCCCACTGCCCCCCGGGGATGGTCCCAGGGACCTGGGAGATGGAGTAAGGTCATCACCACTTCACAGCAAAGGAAACTGAGGCCCTGAAGAAGGACGCTGAGGCAGCATGAGAGCCTGTGCCTGTCTGCTCTGAAGTGGGGGAAGAGTTAGAGTCCTGGGTGCTGGTCTGATAACTGCCCCTCCCTGGGTGGTCCTGAGCTCACCATGCCTTGTAAGATTCTATGTGAGGTAGGAGGGCAGCTCAACCATGTGGCTTGGGCAAATCCCTTTCCCCTCTGAGCAGCGGGGGTCTTATTTATACAAAGGGGGATGGGCTCGGTTAGAAGATCCCTGAAGGCATTTCTGGCCTGACCATCCCTGTTTCTTTGGTTCTCCCTGCCCCGGGAGCAGAAGTACCAGCAGGTGGATGAGGAGTTTCTGAGGAGTGACCACCCAGCCATCCTTCGGTCCCAGGCCCGCTTGCCTGGGTTCCATGGCCTCCGATCTCCCCTGGACACCAGCTCCGTCCTCTATACTGCCGTGCAGCCCAATGAGGGTGACAACGACTATATCATCCCCCTGCCTGACCCCAAACCCGAGGTTGCTGACGAGGGCCCACTGGAGGGTTCCCCCAGCCTAGCCAGGTAACCACCCTGGCCTGGGGCCAAGGAAATTGTGCACAGTGTGTGTGTGTGTGTGTGTGTGTGTGTGTGTGTGCGCGCGCGCGCGCGCGCTGCCAGGTTTGCCTCAGAGGTAAGTTACGTAGGGTAAGTACTTATCCCTACCAATGAATAGAAGACAGAATGGAACTCATTTGAACTTTGATGCCCTGAGGTGGAAAGGGCAGGCTAGTAAAAACAAAAGTATGGGCTGGGACTTACTTGCAAGGTAGCTATTTCCTTTAAGGGAGCCCCCAGAGGTTATCTATACTCTCTTATCTCTAGGTCCTGTCCTAGCCCCAAAAAGAAGAAGCAAACCTACTTAGCATCCCCAGCACCCCAGCTGTTACTCATGGCCAGCCTGAGGCCTATGTTCTGTTCTTCAGCACCACGCCCTGGGGCCAGAGGGAGCCTGCTTGGTTGTAGGAGTCAGAGGTGCCTAAAGGAATTCAGGACAGAATTCAGACTGGGAAGGAGATTCGTGGTTTTCTTTTGCCTTGGGAAGTGGTGAAGTTACAGCCCAGAGGGGGCTTTATAGGAGGACCCTGCTGTTGTGTGGACTTGATGTCCACGCAGGATCTCCCCTTAACTGGAGAGAAGGGCTCCCCATGAGGCCACGCCCACCTCCAAAGCGAGATCCAGCCCAAGGTGAAGTGGCTGGAGCCCCAGGCTGGGGTACTGTCCCAACTCTGCCACTAGCCGCTGAGACCTGGGAAGGCTTCTCCTCTGCGAGCCTCAGTTTCTCCATATGTGCCAGGAGTGCACACCGGCCTTAGAAGGCTCCGAAGGCCCTCATTGCTCTAACTGTTGAAGAGGCCAACCATCCAAGAGTCCCAGTGGATGGTGCAGAGGAGTGAAGTGCAGCGCTCACACAGCTTGAGGTGTGAATGCTCACCCTGTTTTGTGCCCTCAGACAAGCTGCTTCACTGTCTAAACATTGGTGTCCTCTTCTTTTTTTTTTTATTATTTTTATTCATTTATTTATTTATTTTTGAGATGGAGTTTCGCTCTTGTTGCCCAGGCTGGAGTGCAATGGCGCGATCTCGGCTCACTGCAACCTCCACCTCCCAGGTTCAAGCAATTCTCCTGCCTCAGCCTCCCGAGTAGCTGGAATTACAGGCATGCAGCACCACGCCTGGCTAATTTTGTATTTTTAGTAGAGTTGGGGTTTCTCCATGTTGAGACTGGTCTCAACCTCCTGACCTCAGGTGATCCGCCTGCCTCGGCCTCCCAAAGTGCTGGGATTACAGATGTGAGCCACCACGCCCGGCCAGTGTCTTCTTCTGTAAAATACAAACAGTAAAAGTACTTCTATTAGGCGGTCATTGCAAGGATTAAATGAGATAGCATACACCTTTAGGAGTGCAGAGGAGGGAGATGCTGGTGGGTGAGAAACGAGCTTTGGAGCCAGCTGACCCTGCTCCGAAGTTCCAGCTCCTGCACTTCCCTGCTGTGTGAAGTGGGGCAGTGATATAACCTCTCTGAGCCACACTTTCCTCACGGTGCAGGCCTTGCATAGTTTTCACAAGAGTTAAATGAGCCGGAGTGTGTGAAGCCTACGGTGCAGGGGTGGACACACCGAAGGCTCTTCATGACTGCTGCTGGAATCCTCCTGGGCTCCTTCCTAGCCCCTCACTCACTGCCTCTTTCCTCTAGCTCCACCCTGAATGAAGTCAACACCTCCTCAACCATCTCCTGTGACAGCCCCCTGGAGCCCCAGGACGAACCAGAGCCAGAGCCCCAGCTTGAGCTCCAGGTGGAGCCGGAGCCAGAGCTGGAACAGTTGCCGGATTCGGGGTGCCCTGCGCCTCGGGCGGAAGCAGAGGATAGCTTCCTGTAGGGGGCTGGCCCCTACCCTGCCCTGCCTGAAGCTCCCCCCCTGCCAGCACCCAGCATCTCCTGGCCTGGCCTGACCGGGCTTCCTGTCAGCCAGGCTGCCCTTATCAGCTGTCCCCTTCTGGAAGCTTTCTGCTCCTGACGTGTTGTGCCCCAAACCCTGGGGCTGGCTTAGGAGGCAAGAAAACTGCAGGGGCCGTGACCAGCCCTCTGCCTCCAGGGAGGCCAACTGACTCTGAGCCAGGGTTCCCCCAGGGAACTCAGTTTTCCCATATGTAAAATGGGAAAGTTAGGCTTGATGACCCAGAATCTAGGATTCTCTCCCTGGCTGACAGGTGGGGAGACCGAATCCCTCCCTGGGAAGATTCTTGGAGTTACTGAGGTGGTAAATTAACTTTTTTCTGTTCAGCCAGCTACCCCTCAAGGAATCATAGCTCTCTCCTCGCACTTTTATCCACCCAGGAGCTAGGGAAGAGACCCTAGCCTCCCTGGCTGCTGGCTGAGCTAGGGCCTAGCCTTGAGCAGTGTTGCCTCATCCAGAAGAAAGCCAGTCTCCTCCCTATGATGCCAGTCCCTGCGTTCCCTGGCCCGAGCTGGTCTGGGGCCATTAGGCAGCCTAATTAATGCTGGAGGCTGAGCCAAGTACAGGACACCCCCAGCCTGCAGCCCTTGCCCAGGGCACTTGGAGCACACGCAGCCATAGCAAGTGCCTGTGTCCCTGTCCTTCAGGCCCATCAGTCCTGGGGCTTTTTCTTTATCACCCTCAGTCTTAATCCATCCACCAGAGTCTAGAAGGCCAGACGGGCCCCGCATCTGTGATGAGAATGTAAATGTGCCAGTGTGGAGTGGCCACGTGTGTGTGCCAGTATATGGCCCTGGCTCTGCATTGGACCTGCTATGAGGCTTTGGAGGAATCCCTCACCCTCTCTGGGCCTCAGTTTCCCCTTCAAAAAATGAATAAGTCGGACTTATTAACTCTGAGTGCCTTGCCAGCACTAACATTCTAGAGTATTCCAGGTGGTTGCACATTTGTCCAGATGAAGCAAGGCCATATACCCTAAACTTCCATCCTGGGGGTCAGCTGGGCTCCTGGGAGATTCCAGATCACACATCACACTCTGGGGACTCAGGAACCATGCCCCTTCCCCAGGCCCCCAGCAAGTCTCAAGAACACAGCTGCACAGGCCTTGACTTAGAGTGACAGCCGGTGTCCTGGAAAGCCCCCAGCAGCTGCCCCAGGGACATGGGAAGACCACGGGACCTCTTTCACTACCCACGATGACCTCCGGGGGTATCCTGGGCAAAAGGGACAAAGAGGGCAAATGAGATCACCTCCTGCAGCCCACCACTCCAGCACCTGTGCCGAGGTCTGCGTCGAAGACAGAATGGACAGTGAGGACAGTTATGTCTTGTAAAAGACAAGAAGCTTCAGATGGGTACCCCAAGAAGGATGTGAGAGGTGGGCGCTTTGGAGGTTTGCCCCTCACCCACCAGCTGCCCCATCCCTGAGGCAGCGCTCCATGGGGGTATGGTTTTGTCACTGCCCAGACCTAGCAGTGACATCTCATTGTCCCCAGCCCAGTGGGCATTGGAGGTGCCAGGGGAGTCAGGGTTGTAGCCAAGACGCCCCCGCACGGGGAGGGTTGGGAAGGGGGTGCAGGAAGCTCAACCCCTCTGGGCACCAACCCTGCATTGCAGGTTGGCACCTTACTTCCCTGGGATCCCCAGAGTTGGTCCAAGGAGGGAGAGTGGGTTCTCAATACGGTACCAAAGATATAATCACCTAGGTTTACAAATATTTTTAGGACTCACGTTAACTCACATTTATACAGCAGAAATGCTATTTTGTATGCTGTTGAGTTTTTCTATCTGTGTACTTTTTTTTAAGGGAAAGATTTTAATATTAAACCTGGTGCTTCTCACTCACAGACTTTGTGGTCTCTCTCGGGTTTGGGTTCCTGCCCATAGGGAGTGTGGAGTGGGGCACATGAGGCTCACCCAGACGCAGACCCCCAGACAGGTCCCTTCAGCTCTGAGTCTCATTTCATTCATCTGTAAAGTGGGGATTTTCGCTCTCCCACCCCTCGCTGGAAGCTGGGGGGCCTAGACCTTGGGCTTGGTTTCCCAAGGTGGGAAGCGAGCAGGCTTTTCTGGCTCCACAGAGCCTGGCCTTGAGTCGGGCAGGAGGGTGTGGGGCTGCAGGGCTGCTCCAAGGCTCTGGTGCTGAGGCGTCTCACTGCCTCCACCATGTGCTTTGGCTTTGGCTATCAGCTGGGACACCCTCCCCTCCACTCCGCCCACAGGCCCGGATTGAGGCCGGCGTGCTCTGTGACAGGCAGCTGCTAGAGCCCAGATTCCAGGTCCAGGTGAGTCATGATCAGGCCCCAGGTAGGAGAAGGGCAGACAGAGTGTCCAAAAGCGTGAGAGCACGAAGTGAGGAGAAGGTGGAGAAGAGAGAAGAGGAAGAGGAAGAGGAAGAGAGGAAGCGGAGGGAACTGCGGCCAGGGTAAGGACAGGGGAGGGAATAGGGTGGCGACCAGGCTGTGGCTTTGAGGGCAGAGAGGTGTAGACCTGGCAGGACCCAGACCCCTCACGGCTGCAGCATCTCAGGGGTTGTGGGGCCGGCATGAGTCATAGGCTCTCCTGCCGAGCCCAGGCCTGTGGGACCCCGGCAGCAACACAGGGCCAGGGGCAATAGGGTTGCTGGGGGCAGGGGACAGAGTGCTAGGGCCCTCCCACCTGGGCCCAGAGTCCTGTACTTGGCTCACTTGAGGTGGACCAGATGTCAGCCTCAGATCCATCACTGTGTGTCCTTAGCCCCTCCCTTGCTCTCTCTGAGCTGGGGAAACGGCATCTTCATTTGAGTGGGTGCGGGAAGGACCTCATTTTGGAACCACAGGCCTCCCTGGACTGCCTCCAGGAGTCTGGGGCTGTGGCTTCAAGTGGGGAAAAGAATGGAGCCATGGGACAGCTCTGACTCACAGGCCCAGCCGCCAACTCAGGGGCAGCTGAGCCACACCAGGGAAAATACCCGACGGCTATAAGGCCTGGCCATACAAAGCCCACCATCCCAGGGATCCTGGCTTCAGAAAACACCCAGAGCCTGTGACTTCTCTTCTAGCTGTGGCAGGAGTTGAATGAGGTGATACCCGGATCTGCCTTGTAAAGAAAATAACTAGCCCACATTCCAGACAGGGATTATCTTTGCTGGTGCAAAAGCCTCTGTCTGGAGGTCAGAAGATCTCAGCTCCCTGTGTCTCAGGCCTGCTCCTTATGGGAACTTGAGTGGATTACACCACATCAGGCCTCAGTTTCCCCAGGGATAAATGGAGCTAGATGCCACACTAAGACAAAGGTTGATAAAAATCTGACTACCACTATCCAACAGTTACTATGCCCCAGGGCTGTCTGGTTGCTTCACACACATTAGCTCATTTTACCCTCCCAAAAGCCCAGTGACCTGAGTCCTACTATTATCCCATGTTACAGATGAGACACCAGTCCAAGCTGTTGTTGTTTTGTTTGTTTTTGTTTTTCTAGTTAAAGAAGTTTATTCAAGGGCAAAGTGTGAGGGTAGTCGTCAGGAAACAGGAAAACCAGAGAATGGTGATCAGTGCTTCCCTGTGTGGGGCAAGGTGAGGATGGTTTATATAGCCAGAAACGGGTGGGTAACACAATTACATTTTCCATACAAAGGTTAACGTAGAGCTACAAGATTTGATTGGCTACTATTGACTACACTTTAAGGGGGCTGCTTAACACTCATTTGTAAAGAGGTAATGATCACCAGCGTGTCATTTAGTCCAGGTTTGAATAAAGAATGGGGAGCCCGGTTAAAGTATAACATTCTCAACACAAAAATCAAGAGGCAATGGTCAGAGAGCAGTCCTGTGATGTGACTCAGTTTCCAGGGCTTAACTTTTCCCATTGGCATAATGAATTGGGGAGCTCCTGAAATTTTATTTTATTTTCACAATTTTGATTTGCATTCAAACCAAATCAAATGTGCATTCAGGGAGGTTTTGAAGTGACTTGCCCAAGATCATCTGGTCAGTGTGGCAGGGATGGGAGAGGAGCCCAGGTCAGACTGACTCCCAAGTCAGCACTCAGGGAGGTAAAGCACCCACCCAAATTTGCAGAGCTAGGGACTGGGGAAGCCTGCGACAAAACTCCTATCTTCTGTCTCCAGACCTTCTGGTACTGTGTTTCCCCAAGAGAAAGGATAGGAAAGGACTGGATGAGAAAGGAAAGCTAACATCATCTGAGAGCTAGAGAAAAATAATAAAAACTCATTTGTGGGAGGGCTTGGGCCTCTCAGGCCCCTGTGCAGAGGGCAGGCAGGGTCTGGGGTAACCACAGGTCAGCCCCTGCTGGGCTCCTGCCTCCCAGTCTCTCCCCTCAGGCGGGCCCAGGGAAGACGGGTGAGCTGGGATTTTCCTCCCAGACAGATGAGCCACTTGGACTGCACAATTCTTCCGCCACCCCACTCACGGCCGGGGTTCTTGTTCCTGGAAAAAGAGGGAAAGACTGAAAGGAGCTATTTCTGCCGGGGCCCTGACCTGCAGCTGATGAGGGTCTCACAGCTCCCATTCACGTCCCTTCTTCTTTGAATCAGGGCACCGTCTCTAACAGGCCCCTTTTATTTTAGTTATAATGTTCGGTTTTGCAATTAAAAATTATTTTTAATGGGCATCAGGATATTTCCTTCTGTCTTTGAATATGCCTTTTGTTTCTAATTTGTGCAACTATAACTTCACGTGAACCTCATGGATTCTGGCTTAGGCAAGTGGCTTCTATGTAATTAGCAGTGATTCCATCTTAATAAGGTCCTGTGATCTGACAAAAAAAAAAAAACTACTTGATACAAGTATTTATGTCATATATGCCTGTATTTAAAAATCCATTACCAAAATACATAATATAGAAAGAGAAGGTCTTCTTTGAGTATTTTTATATGTTAAATGCAGTAACATTTTAAATCTTTATTCTCTTTATTCAGCAACTCTGTGGTACAAATTTATCTTGTTGAAATTCTGCCTCTCACTATAAATAGTTTAGTTATATTTTTCAAAGTTGTTTTCTTTATATCCATACTAATATTTGTATCTGTACCTATCTACATAGAATATAGCTATAATCTTCAACAAAACTCCCATTTGTCATTGTGCAACTTTTTGTTTTTCACTTAACAATATATCATGGGCATACTCATAGGTCCATGGGAAATACAGATATTAATGCATTCATTTTGAGAGATGCACATAGTTTAAAAGCAAGCCTGTGCCAGACATTATTTAACCAATGTCAGAAATGCAAAATGCTTGTTCCCCAGTGCCACAAAGAAATAGCACTCGAACATAAATTTAATTTCCTCAGCAAGGCAATTTTTACTTTCTGCAGAGAGGGTGCTCCTGGCAGATGGAACAATGGCGAGAGCACACCTTGACAGGGGAGGGGAAGAGGTTCTTATTCCTGACACAGGCAGCCTCTACTGCTGCATTGTTCCCCTATTGGCTAGGGTTGGACCGCATAGTCTAAGCTAATTCCAATTGGCTATTTGAAAAAAAAGAGCAGGAGCATGAGCTGGAGTGCCGGGGTGAGTAGTTTGGTGGGAAAGGTGGATACGAACAGGTGGCTCAGGATGAGTCAGGATGGAGCAGGTGACTCAGGTCAAAGCAGGTGACCAGGGGAACAGATGTGAACTGATTAGGACTGGTGGGAAAGTTGTTTACTGAAACCAGAAGCAAGGGGGCGAAGAGATCCAGGAAGTTAAACTTTAAAATGGAGAATCAAAGAATAAGAGAGCTGAACATATTGACATACTGATTCTTTGAAGAGAAACTTGGGGTTCACTATATTTAACACCAATCTCCTACTGAGGGGCATTTGGACTATTTCCCATTTTTTAGAGTTATAAGTTATGCTACAATGGCCATTATTTATAAAATATGTTTGTTTTTGCATATTTAAGTATTTGTTTCCATAGCATAAATTCCTAGACATTGAGTTGTTGAGTAAAGAGAATAAACATTTAAAATGTCACTGAAGTCTAAAAATTCCCTTTTAAGTACATATAGTGCCCTGGGCGGCTGAGAAAATCAAACATACAAACAACAGAAACAACGTTATTTAATTCTAGCTAAGTACTCTGGACTGGTGGAGGAAGTATGGACCCTCTTTGGTTTATTGAGAAAAGTCATAAGTGGGTGACAGAGAAGAGTTGAAGACAGAAATGCGCCAAGCTGAAACATTCTCCTTGGCATAACCAGAAACACCCAGAGGACTTGGCAAGGCAGGAAGCTTCCCACAGTGCCATTCAGTGCTGCTGCAGCTCTACTAATCCATCATCCCACATCTAGACAGGGCATCCCACCCGTCGGGAAACCCAGCCTTCCCTCACCGCCCTGCTCTGCCCCAGTCCCTCATGGTGTAGGGTGTGCTCCTACCAGTGGTCCCATCGGATCCTCACGATTAGCCTGTGAGAGGAGCCTCCAGATGAGGAGGTTGAGGCTCAGAGCCATCAAGTGGCTTGGCTACAGTCACTGCAGGGAGGCTCTTGCCTTCCAGCCTCCCTGCTCCTACCTTCCCCGGGGGTGTCTAGGTCCAGTTCCAGATCTCAGAGTGGCCAGCAGGCTGAGCCCTGGGGTCAGGGGCCAGCTGCCTACACAGAATGTGGCTCCTGGAATTTCTTGGGTGGTGGGGGGGGGGCGGGCTTCTCCTTGGGATGGGGTTCTGGGGCCGCTCTGGGCCATGAAAGTTTCCCACAGCTTGGAAGAAAATCTGCCACCACTGTGTAGGGGTCTGGCGAGGGACCATTGGCCTGGGGCAGGGACCTGGGGACATCACAGAAGCCGAACTGTCTCCCTGTACCACCCCCTCCCAGCTGGCTCTTCCCTCACCCACATGTTCTTGGCATACAGGTCTGCCCTCTCCAGCAGCTCCCACCCCCCACCTGCTCAGGGCTCCTCGCCTTCTCCTGCAGGGCTTCACAGCAGGCTGCCCTTGCCCAGCTCCCCTTTGCAGATCCACAGTCTCTGGTTTTAGATTTTGTGGGTCTTCACTGCAGGAACTAGAAAAGTCACAAACATGGGGAAGTAACACAGTTTCTGGAAAATCACAGAATTCTAAGTCCCTTTTTTCCCCTCTGAAGAGACAAGAGGGAAGCTTCCACATCTGAAAATTTTTCTTTTTCATTCTTGATCTTCCTGAAGCATAGTGATGGTCTTGGTGTTCCCTTGCTCAAACATCTTCAGTGGCTCCCCGTGGCCCAGCAAAGTCGAGACTCCTTCATGGAATCTTTAAGGCCCTCCCTGATCTGATTCCAACCTCTCCTACTGCCTCTCCCACATCTGCCCTCCAAGGTCCATCCACCTTGTGTGGGCCACTAGCTTCCTGACCTCTGCCCCTTTTTTTGGTGCTACCGTCACCACCTAGAATGCCCAGTCTTTTATAGCTGAAGGTCAAAGTCTTGCTCAAGCTTCCAGCCCAGCAAAAGCTACTTTCTCCAAGAAGCTTTCCTCATTCTTCAGCTGAAAATGATTTCTCTTCGCATTCCTTTGTCTGTGCCTCTTATGGGCCCTCACATCTGTTCAGCATTCTTAGCCTCCCATACCCTGTGCACTCTTACGCCTCCAGGCCTTTACTGTGCTGTTTCTCCTTCTTGGAACATTCCTTCCTCCTCCCTGTATCTCTCCCCCAACTCCTCACCCTTCTCACTTCCTCTCAACTCAGATAGGGCCTTCCTTGACTCTTCTCTCCGGTGATCCCAGGACATCTTGCAACTCCCCCAGTGGCCTGGTTCCTCTCCTGGCTCTGACAATAGGCTGTGAGTTGCAGAAGGGAGGGACCACAGCTGACCTGTTCACCACCATGTCCCCAGGGCCAGGGACAGTGATTGAGAAATATCTGTTGCATGCCCTTCACCTGCATTATTGTCTCACTGGATCTGAGTCAATAGCCCCTTCCCCATTTTACATAATGAAGAAACAAGGCCTTGAAAGGCCGGGGACCTGGCTGTGGTTAGGAGTGGGGAATGAATTCCTGGTCTATCTGGCTCCAAAGCCTAGGCTGTTCCCCTTTACCCTCGATCCTCCTGAGAGCCCCTGCCATTGATGAAAGACAGTGGTTGAACATGTGGGCTCTGGCTCTGGGTTCCAGGGTTTAAAACCCAGCTCTGCCACTTAGCTGTTTAACTCCAGGCAGGTTACTTACCATCTTTGAGCCTGTCTTTCTTCATCTGTAACATGGAGTAATTACAGCTTTCCCCTAAGGTGGCTGGGAGAATCAATGAGATGATCTGTGCAAATAGCTCAGTCCAGAGACTGGCATGAAGAGTGTGCCCAATGGATCAACCAGAACAGTCCTTCTTCATGCCCCTGTGTTAATGCAATTATTAATAGCACCCCTTCCAGTCTCAAAGGTTCCAAATTGGATGACAAATCATGTTAATGTCCATAGATGTCAGATATTATCAGCTGCACTGTATAACACCACTTAGCTACTTGCCTTACCTCCCACCAGGCGGTGAGGTCCCTGCATGCAGGAAAGTGCTCTGAGCCTTGGCCTTCCTGGGCCCAGAACAAGGCCTGACACATGAAGCATTTGCTGAATAAATTGCTTTTGGAGGGTGGAGAGCTTCTCCTTGCTCTTCATTTATTCATTCATTCATTGGATTGTTTATACATTTCTTCATGCATCTGGCATTGACTGAGCACTCATCTGCCAGGCAGGGCCAGGTGTAGAGGGTATAAAGAAGACCGGAAGGGAGACTGGCCCTACCAGGAAACTCCTGCTGCAGAACAAAGGGGTCAGAATGACATCACACCAATAACCACTCTCATAACTGTGCTTCTGTTGACAGCGAGAAGTGCCAGGAAACTCAGGGAGCCACGAGAGACTATAAGACAGGGACTCAGTCAGGCAAAGGGAGGCTTATGGGCCAGGTGGAAGCAGAAGTATGTGGAACAGGAAGAAGGAGTGTGGGGGTGTATGCAGGAGCTGCAAGTGTTCAGTACAGCAGGGAGGGTGGATGGAGAGAGAAGAGGCAGAGATCAGATTGCAAAGGCCCCTGTAAGCCCTGCTACAGGGTATGGCCTTGATCTGCTCTATGGAGCTGCAATAGTAATGGGAGCAAATACCCCATAGTACTCCAATTCAGACACTAGAGCTCAATCCTCAGGCCTAGAGATAGGTGTGGTCGAACCTTTGTGGTCCAGGGTCAAAGAGGAACCAGTTGCCAAATTGCCATTATTCTGTCTGGGTCCCTGGCTCCTAGCTTGGGCCCACTCCACTCTCTGGTGGGGAACCTCCTGGGTCCCAGGGCATGGGCTGCA
Source organism: Homo sapiens (assembly GCF_000001405.40). Classification (NCBI taxonomy): domain Eukaryota; kingdom Metazoa; phylum Chordata; class Mammalia; order Primates; family Hominidae; genus Homo; species Homo sapiens. Next base: position 150,106,434 of record NC_000005.10, on the reverse strand, counting down.
GTTGGGGTTAACTGGGCAGGAGGGTGGGGGCTAAGCTGTCCTTGACCTGGGGTCTGGAGGTTCCAGGGTCCAGGAGTCAGGCAGGGAGATGAAAACTAGGCTCTCAGTATGTGAAGTGTGACATGGCCCACACATTTCTTCAGAGTTTCCTAATCCTTGGGCTGTCATGCAAACTCCTCTCAAAGTTCCTCTGCCACAGGAAGGGGTAATGTCAATCTGGGATTCTTGTTTGTCACCTTCCCGGCAGCATCACCAAGGCTTCCTCAGTCAGGGCTTACCCCACTGAGTCCCATGGCACTTCCCCACTCTGTGTCCACTAGCGGTCAGCACACCCACTGCTGGGGGAGGTCAGGATCGCCCTGTGCAGTGTGCTGGTCATTAGCGTAGGCTCTGCAGCCAGGCTGCCTGCTTCCAGTCTCAGCTCTGTCATTCCCTGGCTCTGGGACTTTGGGCAAGTGAACTAACCTCTCTGAGCCTTGGTTTCCTCATCGGCAAAATGGCGTAATTAATAGAATCAGCCTCATGTGTTAAAAGCACTAAATTAGATAAATATGGAAAGAGCCTGCTGTGGTGCCTGGCACATAAACAGCACTCAGAAAATATTAGGGAGTCCAGTGTGGTGGCTCACACATGTAATCTCAGCCCTTTGGGAAGCCAAGGCAGGAGGATCGCTTGATGCCAGGAGGAGTTTGAGACCAGCTGGAGCAACACAGTGAGACCCTGTCTCAACAAAAAGAAATAGAAAATTAGTCAAGTGGGCGGTGTGTGCCTGTAGTCCTAACTACTCAGGAGGCTGAGGCAGGAGGATTGCTTGAGCCCAGGAGTTTGAGGCTTCAGTGAGCTGTAACTCTGACACTGTACTCTAGCCTGGCAACAGAATGAGACTTGCCTATAAAAAAAGGGAAAAAGAAAAAAAAGAGGCCAGGTGTAGTGGCTCACGCCTGTAACCCCAGCATTTTGGGAAGCCAAAACGGGCAGATCACTTGAGGTCAGGAGTTCGAGATCAGCCTCGCCAACATGGTAACCCCGCCTCTATTAAAAAAAAAAAAATATATATATATATATATATATTTTTTTTTTTTTTTTTGAGACAGAGTCTCTCTCTGTCACCCAGGCTGGAGTGCAGTGGCACAATGTTGGCTCACTGCAACCTCCGCCTCCTGGGTTCAAGTGATTCTCCTGCCTCAGCCTCCTGAGCAGCTGGGACTACAGCCACGTGCCACCACGCCTGGCTGATGTTTTGTATTTTTAGGAGAGACAGGGTTTCACTGTGTTAGCCAGGCTGGTCTCCATCTCCTGATCTCGTGATCCACCTGCCTGGGCCTCCCAAAGTGCTGGGATTATAGGTGTGAGCCACTGCACCCAGCCTCTGTCAAAAATATTAAAAAATTAGCTGGGCGTGGTGGTGGGTGCCTATAGTCCCAGCTACTCAGGAGGCTGAGGCAAGAGAATCACTTGAACCCAGGAGGTGGAGGTTGCAGTGAGCTGAGATCACGCCACTGCACTCCAGCCTGGGTGACAGAATGAAACTCCATCTCAAAAAAAAAAAGAACAAATGAACAAAAGAGTAAGGATTAGGCCTCTAAATGCCATTTTTTCCAGGAGGACAGAGTACCTTCCTACTCACGGGGCTTTGGCATACAGCATTCATTCATTAATTCATTCACTCTTCATACATCTAAAATCAGTGGATCAGAATGGTCAGGTATACCTGTACCATAGGAGGCAGAAATGCCCTCACCAGCTGTGTGATCTTGGGAAAGTGACTTAACTTCTCTGAGCCTTGGTTTGCTCTTCAGTAAAACAAGGATAATAACCACACCTACCTCTAGAGTTGAGGATTCAATGAGAAAATTCCAAAGAGCACTGGGCGTGCTGCCTTTCACATAGTGAGCACCTGATAAACCTTTGAAGCCTGCCATGCAAGGAAAATGCTGGGATGCGGTTGAGCCCAAAAGGCCTGGGATGCATAATAAGGATACCTGCCCATCTGGCAGGAACAGGGAGGCTTCCAGGAGGCAGCGAGTCTGAAGGAGCTATAGGAATTAGCTGGATGGATAGAAATGACAGGACAAGCAGCATCCTTTGATCGTGGGGACAGAGACAGGTCCTGCCAAGGTGGCCTAGGCCATCCCTCAGGACTACTGTAGCCTCCACCCCTCTTGCTGGTTATACCCCTCCTCCACCTAAACATGTTCCACCAGAGAGGGGTCTCTGCCAGCCTGGGTCAGGGACTTGGTGAGAATTGCATGAAAGCTGGGCAAGATCACACACAAACTTTGCATCCGTGTTAGGGGTGCCCAGGTTTCCTCAAGGCCATCCAGGGACTCTCAAAGGCAGTGGCCTCAGCCAGAGGGAGCATGAGAATCCGCTAGAGAGCTTGTTACCTGTGCAGGTACCCCCCTCCCACCCCTAAGTCAGCAGGCCTGGGATGGTCCTGGAGTCTTCATTTTAACAGTTACCCCTGTGATTCTGAGGCTGGGGTCCCTGAACTGCACTTGGAGGTGCACCCCTCTAGAGGCCTCCAGGCCATTAAGGACCCATGGCCTATAGGATCAAGCCCTGGCACCCTGCCAGGTTGTCAGGTACTCTTAGTACTTGGACCTCACCCCCTTTCTACTCCCATCTCCACTCCATTCCTTCACACTCTGGTTGGCCCCAGAGAGTCCTGATTTTTCACCCTCTCTGCCCCTATGCTATTCCCTCTCCTGGGATTTCCTTTCTGCCTGAAGGGTTGCTGCTCCTCCTTCAAGGCCCAGCTCCAATGCCACTGCTCTGGAAGGCCTCACAGACTCTCCATCTTCTGTTCCCCAGCGCCATCTGATTGTGCTTATGTTACAACACTTAGGGGCTTGCTTCCAAATGTGTTGGACTTTAAGAAGTTAATGTCACATTGATGACCTTGCATGTTGTTGATCTGATGAGAGTAAGGGAGGCCAGATGTGCTTGGAGACCATGTCCCAGGAAAGACTACTAAGAAACCAGAGTGCTCACCCTGGAGAAGTAGTACCTCCGGGGACCACAAGTGCTGTCTGCATCACTGGAGGCCTGTCGAGGGACAGGGAACAGAGCTGCCTGAGGGTCCAGAGCAACAGGTGGGTGTCACAGAGAGGCAGATCTGGGCCAGATAGGGAAGCATGGGCTAACTGCTTCCCACAACAGATGGATGCAGGTGACCTGTCAGAAATGCGCCAAGGGGCACAGGGAATGGTATTGGCCAGACAATCCAAGTAGTGGGGAGTGGCGCCCAGCTACCTAGGCCTTCGACTCAGAAAATTCGGATTCTGGCTCTGAGTCTTCCCCAAAGTAGCTGTGTGAGCTGAGATAAGTCACAAACCCTCCTTGACCTTCCTTTTTCTTATCTATGCAATAGAGCTATGCACTTCACTGATTGCCTGTGACCCAGGCCTGTATGAGAAAATGGAAATGAAAGTGCCTCGTAAACAATAAATGGCTCAGCCTTCCTAAACAAAACATGAAACCCAGAAGTCAGAAATGAAAAGACAACAGATTTGACTACACACAGTAAAAACTTCTGTGTGAATACACAAACCAAAAGAACATTAGCAGAGAAGTGGCAAACTGATGGAAAATATTTTCAGCATTTCTGATAATTGGGTTAGCAGACATAATACAGATAACGAATAGTTCAATAAGCTGGGTGCAGTGGCTCATGCCTATAATCCCAGCACTTTGGGAGACCAAGGCATGCAGATCACTTGAGGTCTGGAGTTCGAGACCAGCCTGGTCAACATGGTGAAACCCCACTTCTAGTAAAAATACAAAAATTAATTGGCCGTGGTGGTGGGCGCCTGTAATCCCAGCTACTCGGGAGGCTGAGGCAGGAGAATCGCTTGAACCTGGGAGTCAGAGGTTGCAGTGAGCCAAGACTGCGCCACTGCACTCCAGCCTGCGTGATAGAGCGAGACTCGGTCTCAAAAATAAAGAAATAAATAGTCCAATGAATCAATAAAGACAAAAAAACGGACAAAGGATATCTGTAGAAGAAATACCAATAGCCAATACACACATGGAAAAAATGTTTATTTCATCACTCATACAGAAAATGCACATGAAACCTCAACGAATTAACATTTTTTCCTACCAGACTGCGAATAATTTTAAAGATCAGTGATATCCCATGTCAGCAAGTGTACGGTGATGCTGCATTTCTCACACACTGTTGGTGAGAATGCACATCCTCACGGCCTTCTTAGGGGAACAATTTAACAATATCTCCATGTTTTAACGTACCTACCCTTTGACCCGGCGATCCCACTTCTATGAATGGATCCTGCTCCAATGAGAGTGTATTTACACAACGATTCATGTGCAAGGATGTCCACTGAGCATTGTTTGCAATGGAGAAAAATTAGAAGGAACTAGAGTGTCCATTTGTTAGAGGAATGGTGAGATAAATTATGGTACATCCATACGATGAGATACAGTGAAGCAATTTTAAAAATATGGTAAATCTCTATGAACTAATATGGAAAGATTTCTAAGATGTGTTGAATGATTAAATAGCATAGGATACTATTTTTAAAACTATAAAGTAGGGATGGGATGGATGGGTGGACAGATGGATGAGCTCGTCTGTGCCCAGGCAAATGCTAGGAAGAGTATACACACACTCTTACAAGCAGTTGAGGCGGGGAGAGAGGCTGTGATTAGGTGAATAAGGGTTTGGGGGGCCTTCCATTTATGGGGACAGTGTATCTCTTTATGGATGAATATCTTACAGTGACCACTAGTATTAAAAAAAAAAAAAAAAGAAGGCAAGGAAAGCAAGCAAGGAGTGGGAGGGGATTGCCAGCACCGCCACTCTCTGCCTGGGTCCCGTGACGGCTGGTGGCAGACTGGTGGACCTGCTGATTGCCTTTGCTGTTCATTTCTTTTCAGATGCCCTTCTTTCTCTTCCCTGCCTCTGCCTGGCAAAATCCAACCTTCCCAGGCCTACCTCTTCCCTTAGCTCACTCTATCAGTTAGCTGTTGTTGCATAGCAAACAACCCTACAAAGCTGCAGTGACATATACCAATAAACACGTATTTCTCTCTCATCTACAGTATTCAGCTGATCTGGCTGGATTGCTAGGGTTTTCTCATGCATCTGGGGCAACTGGGGACTCTGCTTTAATCTAGCCTTGGCTAGGATACCTTAGCCATGCCAGCTCAGGCGCGTCTTTCTCATAGTGATGTTAGCAGCATCCGCAGGCAAGGAGAAACATGCAATGCCTCTTGTGGCCTAGGCTTGAAACTGGAACACCCTCACTTCCATCTCATTCTATAGGCCAAAGCAGCACCTGCACGACCAAGCCCAGATTCAAGGGGTGGAGAAATAGGTATCACCTTTTTTTTTTTTTTCTGAGAGCAACTGCTAAGTCACATGGCAAAGAGATCGGGTACTGAAAGGAATGAAGAATTGGGACCATTCATGCGATCTCCTTTGGATACCATAAAGAGGGGAGAGACAAACCACAGAATGGGAGAAGGCATTTGCCACCATGTAACCAAGCATGCGTATAATTGTGCGTAGCTGTATTTCACTTGTTTATTTGGTTTATATTATACTATTATATAAATACTACTTTTTACTATTCTATTATTGATGGATATTTCATTTTTTTTTCCAGTTTGAGCTATTATGACAAATGCTGCTATGTATCTTAGTACACTTGTGCACACATTTCTATTGCACGTATGCCTGCCAGGGAGTAGAATTTGTTGGATGGTAAGATATTGCATTTTCGTCAATCTAAGTAAATAATGCTAAACTGTTTTCCCAAGTGGTTGTATCAATTTATACCCTTACCAGCAGTGTATGAGATTTCCTGTTGCTCCAAATCTTAGCCAACACTTGGTAAGGGAGTTCATTTCTGTATATGTTGTATAGCCGGAAATGAACAGTACTTTTAAAAAATAATGGTTAGCCACACGGTGAAAGCCCGTCTCCACTAAAAATACAAGAAATTAGCTGGGCGTGGTGGCGGGTGCCTTTAGTCCCAGCTACTCGGGAGGCTGAGGCAGGAGAATGGCGTGAACCCGGGAGGCGGAGGTTGCAGTGAGCCGAGATTGGGCCACTGTACTCCAACCTGGGTGACAGAGCAAGACTCCGTCTCAGAAAAAAAAAAAAAAAAAAAAAAAGGTTAGCCAATGATCTTAGGTTCACTTAAAACTGTCTTTCCCTCCCCCATCCCCACTGGTTCTATCATCTGTCAAGTGTCCATATGATCCATATCTAGGAATTTTTTTTTAAGAGATGGGCTCTCACTATGTTGTCCAGGCTGGACTCGAACTTCTGGGCTCAAGGGATCCTCCTGCCTCAGCCTCCTGGATAACTGGCACGGGTGCGTCCCACAGTGCCCAGATACTACGATCTTTATTTTGTACCACCAGTCTATTTGTCTATCTGTGAGCCAACATCAAACTGTCTTAACTATCTTTATAATATTTCTTGATATCTATTATAGAAAGACTTCCCTTTTTTCATTTTCTTTAAGACTGTCTTGGTTATTCCTGGCCCTTTACATTTTTTTCCCATTGTTTTATGAAAATTTAATTTACACACAATAAAATGGACCCTTTTTAGTCTACAATTCTGCTACTTTTGACAAATGTATATAGTCATGTTTATCATTGTCACAATGAAGCTATATTTCCATCACCAAAAAATTCCCCAACCCCCCACCCCCCTGCCGGTTCTTTGAAGCCCTCCCTCCATCTCCAGCCCCTGGCAGCCAATGATCTATTTTCTATCTGTTTACAAGAGTGTCATATGAGTAAGATCAAAGAGTATGAAGCCTTTTGAATCTGGCTTCTTTCACTTAGCATAAAGAATTTGAGAGTCATCCACATCGTTGTGTACATCAGAAGTTTGTTCCACTTAATTGCTGAGTAGCGTTCTATTGTATGGATATACCACAGTTTATTTATCCATTTAACAGCTAAGGGACATTTGAGTTGTTTCCAGTTTGAGCTGATTACAAATAAAGCCACTAAAACATTTGCTTAGAGGGCCTTTTGTGAACATCAATTTCCATTTTACTTGGAATGCCTAGGAGTAGGATTACTCAATTATGGTAGGAGTTTTCTTTTTAAAGTTATGAATTATGGTAAAAGTTTCCTTTTTAACTTTATAAGATACTGCCAGACTGATTTCCAAAGTGGTAGCTCTTTTGCATCCTGACTACCAATACATATATGAGAGTTCTATTAATAGTTGTTCGTGGCCAGGCACGGTGGCTCACGCCTGTAATCCCAGCACTTTGGGAGGCCGAGGTGGGCAGATCATCTGAGGTCAAGAGTTTGAGATCAGCTTGGCCAACATGGTGAAACATGTCTCTCCTAAAAATACAAAAAAAAAAAAAAAAAAAATTAGCTGGGTGTGGTGGCGGGCACCTGCAATCCCAGCTACTTGGGAGGTTGAGGCAGGAGAATCGCTTGAACCTGGGAGGTGGAGGTTGCAGTGAGCCAAGATCATCCCACTGCACTATAGCCTGGGTGACAAGAGCAAGACTCTATCTCAAAAAAAAAAAAAAAAAAAAGTTGTTTGTATTCTCATCCTTATCAGCACTTGAAACTGTCAGGTTTTCTGATTTTTGGTTTTAGCCATTTAATTAAGTATGTAGTGGTATTTCATTGTGGTTTTAGTTTGTATTTTCCTAACAAATATTGATATTGAGCATCTTTTATATGGCAAATTATCTTATCATTTATATATATTATTTGTTCAATGTTTTCCTTGTTTTTACTGAATCATTTATTTTCATATTGAGTATTGAAAGTTCTTTATATACTCTTGATATAAGTCCTTTATAAGATATGCAATGTTGAATATTCTCTCTTGGTCTGTATTTTGTCTTTTAACCATCTATTTAAAAGAGTAGAAGTTTTAAATGTTGATGAAGTCCAATTTATAGATTTACTTTTTAAGGTAAGCCAAGTGAAACAGTGGGAGTGGAGAAGGAACAAAGAAACCTGTAACTGGTTGTGATCAATTTGTTGTAAACACCACTGCACTCAGACAGCCTATTTTTTTTTCTTTTATGGATTATATGGATCTTTTTAAATGTTGTGTTTAAGAAATCTTTCCATAACCCTCAAGGTCACAAAGATTTTCTCTATTTCTTGTAATAGTTGTATGGTTTTGCATTTAGGTCTTTGATCCATTTTGAGATAATTTTGTATAAGGCTTAAGTTAGAGATCAATGTTTTCTATGTTTGTTTGATTTTTATTTTTTTCTTTTTGCATGTGGATAGCCAGTTGTTCCAGTACCACTTTTTGGAATGCCTATTCTTTATTCATTTAATTACTTTTGCAACTTTGTCAAAAATCAATTGGCCACATATGTGCAGTTCTATTTCTGGACTCTATTCTGTTCCATTGATGTACATGTCTATCCTTTCACCAGTACTATATTATAGCTTTATAGAGTCTGTCAACCAGGTAGTATGAGGGCTTCAACTTTGTTCTTTTCCTAAATTATTTTGGCTAATCTAATTCCTTTATGCTTCCATATAAATTTTAGAATCAGCTTGTCAATTTACACAAAACTTCTTGCAGAGATTTTGATTGGCACTTTGTTGAATCTGTAGGTTAACCTGGAGAAGAATCAGCATGCTCAAAAATATTGAGTCTTCAAACCCACAAACATTGTATATCTAACCATTTATTTAGGTCTCATTCATTTTCTTTTCTCAGTGTTTTGTACACAGTATGCAGATCTTGCACATATTTAGTAAGATTTATACCTAAGTGTTTCATGTTTTTTTCAGTGCTATTGTAAATAGTATTTGTAAAAAATAAATTTCACTTTTAATCTGATTTTTGATATTGACCTTGTATTCTGTGATCTTGCTAAGTTTACTTACAGTTCTAGTAACTTTTTTGTAGATTCTTTGGCATTTTCTATGAAGACAATCATTTCATCTCCAAACAGAGACCATTATATTTCTTCTTTTGAACTCTTTTTCTTTCACTTTCTTTCTTTTTTCTTTCTTCTTCTTTTCTTTCTTTCTTTTTTCTTTCTTTCTTCTTCTTTCCTTTCTTTTCCTTCTTTCCTTCTCTTTCTCTCTCTTCCTCCTTCCCTACCTCCCTTCCTCCCTTCTCCTTCCCCTTCCCCTTTCCCTTTCCCTTCCCTTCTCCTTCTCCTTCCTTCCTTCCTTCTTTCCCTTTCTTTTTTTGAGACTGAGTGTCACTTTGTCACCCAGGCTAGAGTGCAGTGGCATAGTCCCTGCTCATTGTAGGCTAGACATCCTGAGCTCAAGTGATCAGCCTTCCAAGTAGCTAGGACTATAGGTGTGCATCACCATGCTAGGTTCTTTTTAAATTTTTTTGTAGAGACAGGGTCTGCCTATGTTGCCCAGGCTGGTCTCAAACTCCTGGACTCAGGTGATCCTCCTACGTTGGCCCCCCAAAGTGCTGAGCTTACATTGTGAGTCACCACACCTGGTCTATTTCTTTTTTTGCCTTACTACAGTGTCTAGGATCTCCAGTACACTGTTGAATAGTTCAGTATAATGTTGAACAGACATCCTTGCCTTGTTTCTCATCTTAGAGGGAAAATATACAATCTTTCACCACTAAGTTTAATGTTAGTGGTAGGGTTTTTACAGATGCCCTTTACCATATTGAAGAAATTTCCTTTAGAAATGAACATTGAATTTTGTCAAAGCATTATTCTGCAGCTATTAAGAAGCCTATGTGATTTTTAAAATCTTGATATGGTAAATTATAGTGCTTGATTTTTGAGTGTTGAACGTTTCAACCTTTAACTCTTATAATAAATACCACTTGGACATGATGCATTATCCTTTTTATATATACTTAAATTTGATTTGCTAAGATTTTCTTCAGAATTTTTGCATCTATTTTCATAAGGGATATTGGTCTATAATTTTATTTTCTTGCAATATCTTTGTGTGGTCATGATATTGGGATACTGCTGGTATCATACAATGAATTAAAAAGTCATCTCTCCTATGCTATATTCTTAAACAGTTTTTGTAGAATTGGTATTCTCTCTTTCTTTCTTTCTTTCTTTTGAGATGGAGTTTCAGTCTTGTTGCCCAGGCTGGAGTGCAATGGCACGATCTCAGCTCACAGCAACCTCTGCCTCCCGGGTTCAAGCAATTCTCCTACCTCAGCCTCCCAAGTAGCTGGGATTACAGGTGCCTGCCACCATGCTTGGCTAATTTTTGTATTTTTAGTAGAGATGGGGTTTCACCATGTTGGCCAGGCTGGTCTCGAACTTCTGACCTCACATGATCCGCCCGCCTCGGTCTCCCAAAGTGCTGGGATTACAGGCATGAGCCACTGGGCCAGGTCAGTATTATTTATTTCTTAATTGTTTGGTAGAATTTGCCAGTAAAACCACTTGAACCTGAAGAGTTTTTTTGTTTGTTTTTGGTTAGAAGGTTTTTAACTACAAGTTTAGTTTTTAAAAATAGATACAGGACTGTTCATGTTATCTATTTCTTCTTAAGAGAATTTTAGCAGTTTGTACCTTTCAAATAATTTGTCCATTTTATGCAACTTAGTGAATTTGTTGGCATAGAGTAGTTCATAGTATTCCCTTATTATTCTTTTAGTGTTGGTAGGGTTGGTATTGATGTCCACTTTCCATTCTTGATATTTGCAATTTGTGTTTTTCTTGTTTTTTTTTTTTTTTTCTCGGTAAATGTTATTACTTTTTTTTCCAGTGAAAAAGCTTTTGGTTTTATTAATTTTCCCTAACTCTTTTGTTCTGGATTTTATTGATTTCTGCTCGTGTCTTTATTTCCTTCCTACGGTCAATTTGGATTTAATTTGTTCTTCTTTTTCTAGTTTCTTAAGGTGGTAGCCTTAGACCATTGTTTTCTTATCCAATTCAAAATATTTTCTAATTTTTCATGTGACTTCTTCTTTGACTCTTGGGTTGTTTATAAGTGTGTTTAATTTCCAAATATTTTCAATTTCCCAGATACCTTTTTGTTAATAATTTCAAGTTTGATTCTGTTGTGATGCAAGAAATACTTTGCATAACTTATTTAAACTTTTAAAGATGTATCTTAAGTGATAGAATATGGTATATCTTGGTGAATGTTCTATATGCCCTTGAGATGAATGTGTATTCTGCAATTGTTAGGTGGATAAAAATCAATTAGGTCAATCATTTACGATTTTATTCAGGTTTTCTATAACCTTGCTGATTTGCTCTCTACTTGTACCACCTACAACTGGGAGAAGGGTGTTACAAGAGATTTTTATATCTCTCCTTTCGGGTCTATCAGTTTTGTTTCATGTAGTTTGAAGCTCTGTTCTTTTTTTTTTTTTTTTTTTTTCCAATTTGAGAGCAGGTACTGTTTATTAACCAACCAGCTTAGAAAAATAATCATGGTAGACACCTTAGTTCATTCTTCTAATAAGCCTGTTGATCTGGTCCTCCCTGTTGCCAGCATCTCCACCTTCTACAAAATGGGTGGTCTTTTTCTTCATTCCACCTCGTGGAGAAGACAATTTGAAGGGCCACAGGAAGTTATTTGCCTCTTTGAAGCGTTTTCCAACAGTATAGATCTCATGAATCAAATCCTCCACGCAGATGATGCCGTATTTACCAAGAGATCGAGCAATCAAAGCGTTATCTGTCAAAGCAATTCGCTTCTTATTGATTTTGCCATAACCACGCTTGTAGATTAGTTCATTTACTGACTTCAGATTGGGGTACCCCCATGCAATATATGGCTCTACAATCCTCAGCATGTTAATCGAAGCCTTGTTGAGCTTCACAAAGGTTCCATTGAAGATTTGACGAAGGCGAAGAAGCTGCAACACCTTTCGAACCTTTGGGCTCACTCCATTGATACCTCTGATTCTGATGACAAACGCCAATTTGGGTTCTGCAGGTACATAGAAGTTGCCAGCTTTTCTTGCCATCCTCGCCATTCGAATTTCAGTCCTGTACATCTGCCTATATTCCTTGTGATAGTGCTTTGCTTTTTCATAGATAAGCTTCCTCCTTGCCTTTCGAAGCATCTTTTGGGCAAACTTCTTTCTCAGGCGCTTCATCTTCAGCTCTGCGAAATTCCTTCGCTTTTTCTTAAGGGTTTCTGGCACAGCAGGAACCTCCTTCTTCTTCTCTTCTACACCCTCCATGGTTCCAGCCGGAAAAAAAAACTGAAGCTCTGTTCTAAAGTGCATATACACCCAGGATTGTTATGTCTTCTTGTAAAATTGATTCTGTCTTCACTATGTAATGTCCCTCATTATGCCTGGAAATATTTCTTGTTCTGAAGTCTATTTTGTCTGATATTAATACAGCTACTCCAGGTTTCTTCAAGTTTTATTTTATTTTTGATTGACACATAATAATTGTACTTTTTTTTTTTTTTTTGAGATGGAATTTCACTCTTGTTGCCCAGGCTAAAGTGCAATGGCTTGATCTTGGGTCACTGCAACCTCTGCCTCCCAGGTTTAAGCACTTCTCCTGCCTCAGCCTCCCAAGTAGCTGGGATTACAGGCACCTGCCACCACACCCAGCTAATTTTATACTTTTAGTAAAGACAGGGTTTTGCCATGTTGGTCAGGCTAGTCTCGAACTCCTGACCTCAGGTGACCTGCCCACCTTGGCCTCCCAAAGTGCTGGGATTACAGGCGTGAGCCACTGTGCCCGGCCTCAATAATTGTACATGTTTATGGAGTACAATATGATGTTTTGATACATGTGTATATTGTGTAATGATCACATCAGGGTAATTAGCATGTCTATTGCCTTAAACATTTATGATTTCTTATGGTGAGAACATTCAAAATCCTCTCTTCTACCATCTTGTTAGATGTTTTCTATTCATTCTATCTGGTCTTCTTTCTTTCCATCTTTGTCTTCCTTTGGATTGAGTATGTATTATGTCTCCATTTCATTTCCACTATTGGCTTATAATTTATACCTCTTCAAAAATTTTTAAGTTATTAAAAAGAGAGAAAAATTTTTAGGGAGTGTCCTGGGTTTTACAACTTACATCGTAAATTAATCAAAGTCTACCTTTAAATGATAAAATGTTACTTTAAATATAGCATGAGGGCCGGTGCTGTGGCTCACACCTGTAATCCCAGCACTTTGGGAGGCCGAAGCAGGCAGATGACCTGAAGTCAGGAATTCGAGACCAGCTTAGCCAACATGGTGAAACCCTGTCTCTACTAAAAATGCAAAAATTAGCCAGACACGGTGGCAGGTGTCTGTAATCCCAGCTACTTGGGAGGCTGATGCGTGAGAATCGCTTGAACCTGGGAGGTGGAAGTTGCAGTGAGCCAAGATCACGCCACTGCCCTCCAGCCTGGGTGACAGAGTGAGACTCCATCTCAAAAAACAAACAAGAAAAATAAATATAGCATGAGGACCTGACAAGAGTAGACTGCACACCCTTTCTTCCCGTTTTTCATAGTGCAGTAGTTCCCCCTTATTGGCAATTTCAGTTACTTGTGATCAATCCATGTCCAAAAATATGAAGGTACTTTGAGAGAGAGAGAGAGACTACATTCACGTGGCTTTTATCACAGTGTAGTGTTATAATTGTCTTATTGTATTATTAGTTATTATTGTTGATCTCTTACTTTGCCTAACTGATAAACTTTATCATAGGTATGTAGGTGATATGGTTTGGCTGTGTCCCCACCCAATTCTCACCTTGAATTGTAATAATTCCCACATGTCAAGGGTGGGGCCAGGTGGAGATAATTGAATCATGGGGGCAGTTTTCCCCATACTGTTCTCGTGGTAGTGATTAAGTCTCACGAGATCTGATGGTTTTATAAATGGGAGTTCCCCTGCATATACTCTTTTGCCTGCCATCATGTTGGATGTGATTCTGCTCCTCCTTTGCCTTCCACTATGATTCTGAGGCCTCCTCAGCCATGCTGAACTGTGAGTCAATTAAACCTCCTTTCCTTTAGAAATCACCCAGTCTTGGGTATGTCTTTATTAGCAGTATGAGAACAGACTAATACAGTAGGTATAGGAAAAAAACATGGCATATACAGGGTTTAGTACTATCTGCAGTTTCAGGCATACACCAGGGTTACTGGAATGTATCCCCTGTGGAGATTGCTGTAAATGCATATGTGAAAGTGAAATGTATGACAACAATATGTTTCACTTTTAATCTGCTATAAATATACAATGCATTGCTACTACTTTTGCTTTAAATCAGAGATTGGCAAACTATAGCCTGTGGACCAAATGTAGCCTGCCTCCTGTTTTTGTAAATAAGGTATGATTGGAACATAGCGTGCTCAATAGTTTATGTATTGGCTATGGCTGCTTTTGCACTGCAATGGCAGAATTAAGCAGTTGCCCCAAAGACCGTATGGCCACAAAACCTAAAATACTTACTATTTGGTCCTTGACAGGAAAAAAATTTTTCAATGTCTGTTTTAAATAGTTATCTTTTCAAGCATTTAAAAAGCAATCATATTTTTTATGCTTACCTTTATTCCATTTCCAGCACTTTTTATTTTTTAATGTATATCCAACTTTCTAGCTGGTATCATACTCCTTTTACCTAAAGAACTTCCCTTAGGATTTTTTTTTTTTTTTTTTTTTTTTTTTGGTAGTATGGGTCTGCTGGCAATGAATTCTCTTAGTTTTTGTTTGTCAAAGATAATCTTTATCCCTTCTCTTTTTTTGAGATAAAATTCACATAACATAAAATTAAACATTAACCATTTTAAGGTGTACAACGGCATTTAGGACAAATACAATGCTGGGCAGCCATCACCTTTATCTAGTTCCAAGACATTTCATCACCCCAAAACAAAACCACCTCCTCATAAGCAATCACTCCCCATTCTCCCTTGCCACATCCCCTGGTAACCACTCGTCAACCGTCTGCCTCTACAGGTTTACCTGTTCTGGATGTTTCATATAGATGGAGTCGTATGACATTTTGCTACTGGCTTCATTGACTTAACACAGTGTTTTCAAGGTTCATCCACAGTGTAGCAGGTACCAGTATTTCATTCCCTTTATAGCTGAATAATATTCAATTGTATGGACACACCACATTTTGTTTAGCTGTCAACTGTTTCCACCTTTTGGCTACTGTAAATTGTGCTGCGTTGAATATTTGCGTGCATGTATTTATTTGGGTCCCTGTTTTCCATTCTTTTGGTTTTACCTAGAAGTGATATTTCTGGATCATATGACAATTCTATGTTTAACTTTTTGAGGAATTGTCAAACTGATTACCATAGCAGCTGCACCATTTTTCATTTTCACCAACATTGTACAAAGGTTCCAATTTCTCCACATCCTCACCAACACTTGTTATCCGATTTTTTTTATTATGATGATCCTAGTAGATATGAAGTGGTATCTCAAGGTGGTTCTGATTTGCACTTCCCTAATGACTAATGATATTGAGTATTTTTTCATGTGCTCTGGAGAAATATCTATTCAATGTTTTGCCTGTTTTTTAAAAAAATTATTTTAGACTCGGGAGTAGATGTGCATGTTTATTACATGGGTACATTGCATAATGGTGAATTTGGCTTCCAGTGTACCCAGTACCCAAATACTGAACACTGTACCCAATAGGTAATTTTTCACTTCCTTTTTGCCCTTTCCCCTTTCCTTCTATCCTTCCACTTTTGGAGTCTATTCTTTCCATCTTTATATCCGTGTGGACCCTTTGTTTGGCTTCCACTTATAAGTGAGGACATGCAATATTTGAATTTGCCTATTTTTAAATTTAATTGTTTTTTTGTTGTTGTAGGCAACACTACAACTTTCATTCTTTTTTAAAATTTATTTTCCCATAAATATTTATTAATTGTGAGGGACAATAGAGTGGCTTTAGCTACATATTGCGTGATTCTACATACATTCTTTAGCTACACACTGTATGATTCCATTTATATGACATTATCCTGTAAAGCACAAAGACATTGTGGAAAAGGCAAAACTGCAGGGATGGAGAACAGATCCGTGGTTGTTTGGTGTAAGGGGTTTGGGGAGGGCTTTACTATAAAGGAGCAGCATGAGAAACATTTTCTAGAGTGATGGAGCTGTTCTATATCTTGACTACAGTGGTGGTTACATTGTTATATATATTTGTCAAAACTCATAGAACTATGCACCAAGAGTGATTTTTGCTGAGGAAACACTACAACTTTCATTCTGTATATATTCTGGATATATTTATTTATTGTGGATATAAATATTCATTCTGTGTGTTTTTATTCTCTTGACAGTGTCCTTTGATGCACAAAAATGTTTAATTTTTATTATGTCCAATTTTTCTTTGGTTGCTTGTGCTTTTAGAAACATATCTGAGAAATCATTTCCAATTCCAAGGTCATGAATATTACCTTTATGGTTTCTTTTAAGGTTTTAATAATTTTAGCTTTTATATTTAGGTCTTTAATTCATTTTGAGTTAATTTTTATATGTGATGTAAAATAAGGATTCAACTTCATTCTTCTGCATGTGACTATCTAGTTCTTTTAGCACCTATGTTGAAAAAACTGGTCATTCTCCATTGGATGGTCCTGCCACCCTTGTTGAATATCAGTTGTCCATGAATGTGAGAGTTTACTTCCTGACTCTCAATTTTATTCTATTGATCCATATAGTTATTCTTATGCTGATACCACACTATTTTGATTTCTGTAGTTTTATAGTAGGTTTTGAAATTGAAAAGTGTGACTCCTCCAAGATTGTTTTGCATATTCAATGTCCCTCGAGATTCCATATGAATTTGAGAATCAGCTTTTCCATTTCTGCAGAAAAAGGCTGTTGGGATTTTGATAGGGATTATATTGACCCTATAAATCAGTCTCACTTTGAGAGTACCGCTGTCTTATTAAATCCTCCAACTTATGAAAACAAGGTGGTTTTTCATTTATTAAGGTCTTCTAAATTTCTTTCAACAGTGTTTTGTAGTTTTCATTGTAAAGTCATGCATCTCCTTAGTTTATTCCAAAATATTTTATTTTTGATACTATTGCAAATTAAATTGTTTTCTTAATTTCCTTATTGGAGTATTATCAGTACTATAGAGTTACGTATGTTGATCTTGTATCCTGCAGGTTTGCTGAATTTGTATATTAACTCTAATAGTTGCTTTTTGTAGATCTTTTAGGATTTATCTATATATAGGATCATGTCATCTGTGAACAGAGATAGTTTTACTTCTTCTTTTTTAATTTGGATGCCTTCTGTTTCTTTTTCTTCCTGATTGCTCTGGCTAGGACTTCCAGTACTATGTTGAACAGAAGTGGCGAGAACAGGCATCTTTGTCTTGTTCCTGATGTAAAGGGACCAGCTCTCAGTCTTTTACCATTGAATTAGTTGTGCTTTTTCACATGTGCCCTTAATCACGTTGAGGCTGTTCCCTTTTATTGCTAGTTTGTTGGGTGGGTTTTGTTTTGTTTTGTTTTTAATGAAAGCATGTTGGGTTTTACAGTTACATCAAGTGACATGATCATATGAGGATTTTTTTCATTCTATTAATGTGATGTATTACCCTGATTTTCATGTGTTAAACCACTGTTGTATTTCTTGGACAAATCCCACTTCATCATGGTATATAATCATTTTAATATGCTGTTAGATTTGGTTTGCTGGTGGCTGGGTGCAGTGGCTCACGCCTGTAATCCCAACACTTTGGGAGGCCAAGATGGGCAGACTGCTTGAGGTCAGGAGTTCAAGACTAGCCTGGCCAACATGGTGAAACCCTGTCTCTACTAAAAATACAAAAATTAGCTGGGCATGGTGGCGCATGCCTGTAATCCCAGCTACTCGGGAGTTTGAGGCACGAGAATAGCTTGAACGCGGGAGGCAGAGGTTGCAGTGAGCCGAGATTGCTCCACTGCACTCCAGCCTGAGTGACAGAGTGAGACCCTGTCTCAAAAAAGAAAGAAAGAAAGAAAAAAAAAAAAAGATTTGGTTTGCTAGTACATTTTTGAAAATTTTTGCTTTCTATATTCATGCATTTGTATTGGTCTGTAGTTATCTTTTCTGGCAATGTCTTGGTCTAGCTTTGGTACCAGAAAAATGCTGGCTTCATAGAATGAGTTGAAAAGGATTGGTATTAATTCTTCTTTAAATGTTTGGGAGAATTCACCAGTGAAGCCATCTGGTCCTGGGCTTTGCTTTGTCGGGAGGTTTTTGATTACTGATTAAATTTCTTTTCTTGTTATAGGTTTATTTGGATTTTCTTTTTCTTCTTGAGTCAGCTTTGATTGACATTCATGATTGCTAAAGGTTCAAAACACTTTTCTGAAAAAGAAAGTACATATATACACTCATAAATATACATACAAACACACACATACACACCACACACACACCTGAGTACACGGGAATGATCATTTTCCTGGATCAATGTTATATCAGGATTTTTCAATTTCAAGAAGGAACTTTAGGCTGGGTATAGTGGCTCATACCTATAATCCCAGTACTTTGGGAAGCCAAGGTATGCGAATCACTTGAGCTCAGGGGTTTGAGACCAGCCTGGACAACATGGTGAAACCCCATGTCTACCAAAAATACAGAAATTTGCTAGGAATGGTGGCACATGCCCCTGTAGTCCCAACTACTCAGGAGGATGAGGTAGGAGGATGGCTTGAGTCCGGGAGGTGGAGGTTGCAGTGAGCCGAGATCACACTACTGCACTCCAGCCTGGGTGACAGAACCAAACCCTGTCTCAGAAAAAAAAAAAGAAAAAAAGAAGAAGAAATGACCATGTTCTTTAGAGATAAGAAGTAAAATACTAAGCGAATCAACTAAAAGAGGTAAAAGCAATTGCCTCCAGGAAAAGAGGGAGCAAAGGAATGCTATATATTTTAAGAATTATGCAGAACAATTAGATTCTTTGTAAAAATAAATAAACAATGTAAGTAACGCACAAAAGATAGTTTTATAACCAGACTGCTGGGATCCAAATCCTATCTCCACCATTTGGTAGCTGTTTGACTATGGACAAGCTTAAGGCATTTGATCTCTCTGAGCTTTAGTTTTCCCATCTGTGAAATGAGAATGACAATAGTACTTACCTACATAAAGTTTTGCAGTACTAAAGGAGACAGTGAATGTAAAAGGTTTGGCTAGTAAATGTCCTGTAAAAGGAAGCTTATTGCCAATATTATCAGGCTCTCCCAGACCAACCTGTATACAGGAAGAAAACAAACTCCGTTTCTCCTATAGTCTCACAACACAAAATACTTCTGACCCCAGATGTAGAGGATGGGGCATATTTCCCCATACACCAAGCAATCAACCAATTGTTCAGATTCTGCAGCAGACACGAATCTGGTGCCCTCCGATTCAATTTGAACACTATATTTACCTAGAGATAACGTCAGATCTCACAGCTTGAAGGCTTGAGCCAGGAGTTTGAGGCTGCAGTGAGCTATGATCGAGCCACAGAGCTCCAGCCTGGGCAACAGAGTGAAACTGCGTCTCTAAAATAATAATAATAAATTTTTAAAAGATATGCATTACTTTGGAGATTCCAAGGATTTTAGGAGTTGTAAGCCAGGACATCAGGGTAAAGAAAAAATATATATGTCACAATATCATGCAACCTAACTTCTCTTTGGGATCTGCCAGAGCCACCTGATCACTCTGAAGACCCTCATTTGTGCTACTGACTAACGGTCTGGCTGCTCTTGGACATGTCTCTTCTCCCAAGACCCCTTGAAGATGGCTTTAGAAGGGCCCCAAACTTAGCTAGCTCCCCCCAAGCTCAGGCTGGCCCTGCCCCAGACTGCGACCCCTCCCTCTTGGGTTCAAGGCTTTGTTTTCTTCTTAAAGACCCAAGATTTCCAAACTCTGTGGTTGCCTTGCCTAGCTAAAAGGGGAAGAAGAGGATCAGCCCAAGGAGGAGGAAGAGGAAAACAAGACAAACAGCCAGTGCAGAGGAGAGGAACGTGTGTCCAGTGTCCCGATCCCTGCGGAGCTAGTAGCTGAGAGCTCTGTGCCCTGGGCACCTTGCAGCCCTGCACCTGCCTGCCACTTCCCCACCGAGGCCATGGGCCCAGGAGTTCTGCTGCTCCTGCTGGTGGCCACAGCTTGGCATGGTAAGAGCAGAACGGGGGGTGGGGGACTTTGTTGGGGTGTGATGGAGAAGACCCCTGTGAAAGGATTCAGTCCTTGCCCCTCACTGGGTGTCCTCAGGCTGTTTTAGTCTCCCCAACACTGGACTGCAGGCTTGTGGGTATCTGCTTTGGAGAGGTAGTGGGGTGAAAAGAGATGGGTGTGGTGGAACTGGTCCACCTGGTGCTGTGGATCTGTCCCAGCTCTGCCAGCGACTCACTGTGTGTCCTGAGCAAGCCTCTGATACTCTTGAGGCTTCAGTGTCCACTTCTATTCAATTGCAGGTGTTGGGGGCAGGGGGACAGTGATAGACTAGACCAGAGCAGTGCTTTTCATACTTTCCTGTGCATACAAGTTACCTGAGGATTTTGTTACAATGCAGATTCAGACTCAGTCGGTCTCAGGTGCGACCTGAGATTCTGTATATCCAACACACTCCTGGGAGATGTGAGATGCCGGCACTGCTGGTCCAGACCTACACTGAGTTGGGAGGACCTGGAGAGCTCCTGATGGCTCTGGCAGCTCTGCCAGCCTGTGATTCGATGATTCTATGCAAGATCTGATTTGGAAGGGCCTGATAGGGGTGGTGGTTCTTCCTTGGGTGGCTTGTGTAAGGGGTCAGAGGGGAGAGACAAGAGGTTGGCCTCTCTGGCCCAGGGCTCAGGAGAGGGGAATTCGGGGTGAAATAGGTATAGGGCTAGAGGAGGGATTGGGAAGAGGCCAGTGAGGGTCTCCTGGACCAGAGCCCTCCCAGACACAGGCTGCCAAGTCTCAGGAGGTCCCCAGGCTGTAGCAGTTCTGCAGAATTTCCATCTGGGAGGGAACATGACTAGAGGTGAGGGGCTGCTGTGCTTGGCTTGTTGGCCCAACAAACACATTTCTATTGCCTGCTTATTCAAAGGGACCTTGGGGGAGGATGGGGATTGAAGGGGAGAAAGGACAGCCTCATACTGGCCTCTTCACAGAAGGACCCTAAGGCCGTGGCGCTTCTGGTCCCTGATGAGGAGGAGATGGCCCACTGACCATCCTTCTCTGGCCCAGGCAATCACACTGAGCTTGAGTATTTGGGTTTTTTTTTTTTTTTTCCTGAGACAGAGTCTCTCTCTGTCACCAGGCTGGAGTACAGTGGCACAATCTCGGCTCACTGCAACCTCCACCTCCCGGGTTCAAGTGTTTCTCCTGTCTCAGCCTCCCAAGCTGGGATTACAGGCATACACCATCATGACTGGCTAATTTTTGTATTTTTAGTAGAGATGGGATTTCACCATGTTGGCCAAGCTGGTCTCGAACTCCTGACCTCAGGTGATCCACCTGCCTTGGCCTCCCAAAGTGTTGGGATTACTGGTGTGAGTCACGGCGCCCGGCCTGGACTTCTTATTTTGCAATGTAACTTACATGCAGTAGAAAGCACAGGTTCTTAAGTTCAATGAGGTCTGACAAATGCACACACAGTGTACCCGCCACCCCCTTCATCTCAGAGAGTCCCACAGGTTTGATTTCACTGCCTTGTCCTATCCTTACACCCACAACCTGCCTGTGGGGCAAAAACGGAAAAGTATCTGAGCCAGGTCTCAATTTAATTTTATTTTTTTTATTGAGATGGAGTCTTGTGGCCAGGCATGGTGGCTCACACCTGTAATCCCAGCACTCTGGGAGGCCGAGGCGGGTGGATCACAAGATCAGGAGTTTCAGACCAGCCTCGCCAATATGGTGAAGCCCCCTCTCTACTAAAAAATACAAAAATTAGCCGGGTGTGGTGGTGGGTTCCTGTAGTTCCAGCTACTCAGGAGGCTGAGGTGGGAGAATCACTTGAACCCGGGAGGCAGAGGTTGCAGTGAGCTGAGATCATGCCACTGCACTCCAGCCTAGGCGACAGAGCAAGACTCCATCTCCTTCCTTTCTTTCTTCCTTCCTTCCTTCCTTCCTTCCTTCCTTCCTTCCTTCCTTCCTTCCTTCCTTCCTTCCTTCCTTCTTTCTTTCTTTCTTTCTTTCTTTCTTTCTTTCTTTCTTTCTTTCTTTTTTCTATCTTTTTGAGACCGAGTCTTGCTCTGTTGCCCAGGCTGGAGTGCAATGGCATGGATCTCGGCTCACTGCAACCTCCGCCTCCGGGGTTCAAGCAATTCTGCCACTCCTGAGTAGCTGTGATTACTGGTGCCTGCCACCACACCCAGCTAATTTTTTTATTTTTGGTAGAGACAGGGTTTTATCATGCTGGCCATGCTGGTCTCGAACTCCTGAACTCAAGCGATCCCCCTGCCTTGGCGTCCCAAAGTGCTGGGATTACAGGCATGAGCCACTGTGCCTGGCTTCAATCAATTTAGAAGTTTATTTTGCCAAGGTTAAGGACATGCTGGCGAGAAAAAAACATGGAGTCACAAAAACATTCTGTGGTCTGTGCCATTCTGGATGAATTCGAGGGCTTTAATATTTAAAGGGGAAAGTGGGCTGGAGGGGAAAAGGGGAGGTTGTGGTAATCCACATGTTGCAAAAGAAAAGCAGCAGGTAGGGGAACAGTCAATTATCTCGGTTCAGTAAATTGGCTCTTTACATAGGGAAAGTGAACATAGAGGAGCTGCCTGTGGGATATTTTACCTTTTATCTGTCGCTATCTGCTTAGGAATAAAAGGCAAGGCAGCTTCTTGCATGACTCAGTTTCCAGCTTGATTTTTCCTTTTGGCAGAGTGAATTAGGGTCCCAAGTTTTTATTTTCCCTTCACAGGGGCATGGTGTGTGGGAGGGGGGCCAGATGGTTTTCCAGGGTCCAGTCCCAAGAGAAAGAAGAGATGGGGAGGCTGGAAACCTAAGTTTTCAGCCCAACAGACCAATGATGAGTGGATGAGGGGCCACTGTGAGGAGACTGGGGATGGTATTGGAGGACCCTAGAGAGAGAGGGGGGCTCTCTCTTCATTACTGCGATGAGATCCTGGGCTGAAGAGGGGCTGTGTCCAGCCTTAGTGTGCAGTGTGTGTGTGTGTGTGTGTGTGTGTGTGTGTGTGTGTGTGTGT
Organism: Homo sapiens; assembly: GCF_000001405.40. Classification (NCBI taxonomy): domain Eukaryota; kingdom Metazoa; phylum Chordata; class Mammalia; order Primates; family Hominidae; genus Homo; species Homo sapiens. The sequence goes on along the minus strand of NC_000005.10, from coordinate 150,083,357 downwards.
GTGTGTGTTGGGAGAGAAGAGTAGAGATTGGGGCACATTCTGGAAGTGATGAGGGAGGGGCTTCCAGGCAAGTGGGAGCTAGTGGAGAGGTGTGGGGCATGGGGAGAATTGGGGAGTGGAGATGAGAGGGGGGAAGAATGGACAGGCACAGAAGGGGACCTCAGTTAATGTTCATAAGCCCATGCCCCCACCCCGAGGAGGATGGGGGCCAAGCCGGCTTCCTTCCCTGCTAGCCAAGCCAGCAGGGGAAGTTGGCTGCGGAAGTTGCGGGTATCAGCCTTATCCTGCGTGAATACCTGGGACAATAGGATAGGACAAAATAGGGCAGACACCGCTCCCTGACCACATTTCCTGGAGGCCAAGGCAGGGTCTAGAGAGACAGGCTGGGGGAAGGGATGGGAGAAGCCCACTGTAAGGTGTGAGGCAGGTGTAAAAAAGGAACAAATGGAATCACAGAATCCAAGGTTAAAATCTTGAGCGATCAGAGTTGGCCCAGAAGGGACATTAGAAATGTAGCAATTAAAGCAGGTGCCCAGGGCAGGAGTAGTTCTATACATCATCTCACTCAACCTTCAGCTGAAGTTTTTGGGGTGGGAGCTGGGATTATTCCCATCAGACAGAAGAATAGCCTGAGGCTCAAAGAGGTTAAGAAACTAACCCAGCTGGTAAGGGAAGAACCAAGATCCAAACCCAAGTTGGTGTGAGCCCACACTCCAAGCTGTTTCCTGCTATAAAACCCCGGCCTGGGGGCCCTAGATTGCTGCAGCAGTGATAGGGCAGCCCCAGCTCTGTTGAGATTTGCTAAAAAGGCTGCTAGAAATGACACTTGTCCCTCTTCCTGGCAGTTGCACTGCATAGGAGGGCTACAACCCCAGGTGGCAGGCTTGGCAGTATTCACAATTCACTCAATCTCGTTTGCTGATCAGAGTCTTGGGGAGAAGGGATGCACATTCTGATGAATACAAAATCAAAACGTGAATTAAGCCATCCTGAAAGGACTTGAGAGAGGAAACCTTTCCAATTCTGGGCTCTATGGTGGGGCAGGGGGAATTTCCATTTCAAGGGGGTTTGCAGAGAACAATGGAGATACCCTGAATTCACCGAAAGCCCTCGGGGCTGGCCTGTCATTGTGCCCCCATCACTGGGAAGAGGAAGGGCCAGAGCTGAGGAGTTGGATGGCCAGGGTCAGCCAGTGGGTCAGCGTCAGAGCCCAGCCTCACAGCTGCCCCGCAAGTGGCACTCCCTCTCCCTGCCTGGAGAGAGGAGAGTGGCTAGGAGGCTGGGGAAGCAGAAGTGAGAACATCCCTGTAGAAGGGCCACAGGCTGAGCGGAAACCGGGGGCTGAGCCTGACGCCAACAATGTGTTTCCGCCCACACAGGCTGGGGGGCGCCTGGCAGCCCCTCGGAGGCTTGAATCAGCTCTCACTTCCCTCCTTTGCCCCTATTTTAGGCCCTGGAAAAATGCTGACGCTGCAGAGGCAACGGGCCTTCTTCCCGGACAGCCTGATAGGGGTTTCAAGTTCTCTTTTCTCCTTCAAGAAAATTTTCCTTAAAAGAGATTGGCTTCCCAGTAAACACAGATGTGTGGGGGTGCCGGGGTGAGCTGCTGGGTGTAGACTAGGTAATAAACATAGTGACTAACTCTTACTGAGCCATTTATTTGGTGACAGGTGATGTTCTAAAGTCTTCCCATGCATTTAAAATGCCTAACATACCAATGAGTGGGTACGATGATTGTCCCTGTTTTATAGGTGGGGAAACTGAGGCATGGCACCTCCCCATCCCACTGTGCTGCAGACCAGATGTCCATTGGTGGGAGCGGGCACACCAGGAGATTCTTGGGACCTCTCTAACTCTGCTGGGCTAAGATCCTACATCTCTTTTTTTTTCTTTCCCATATGAATTAAGCTGAGGACTTGGCCGTGAACATTCCATTCATTTGTTTCTTCATTCGGTGGTAGAAATACGTCCACTTTGTACACAGGGTTAAAAGAGTCCATTCCTGGGGAGTAGAAAGATGGCATCACAGCAGGGAAGACTGAGGCAGGAGGCTGAGGACCCCAGGGGGACAGAGGCCTGGGTGAGAGGCTGAGCAAGCTGCAAGCCCCCTTTCTCAGAGGAGGGACCTCCTGGACATCAGAGACATCAGTCTGTCCCTGAGCAGGTTGAGGGTTAGGAGCTGAGCAAATGACCAGGGGGCAGGGGCTCGTTCAAGGTGGTCCCTTGATGGCACAGCACCATCCCTGCCAAGCTACCACCCATCTCAGAGTCAGGACGGCCCAAGGGGCGCATCCTAGACCTCACTTCTGTCTGCTGTCCCTCTCTCCCACCAGGTCAGGGAATCCCAGTGATAGAGCCCAGTGTCCCTGAGCTGGTCGTGAAGCCAGGAGCAACGGTGACCTTGCGATGTGTGGGCAATGGCAGCGTGGAATGGGATGGCCCCCCATCACCTCACTGGACCCTGTACTCTGATGGCTCCAGCAGCATCCTCAGCACCAACAACGCTACCTTCCAAAACACGGGGACCTATCGCTGCACTGAGCCTGGAGACCCCCTGGGAGGCAGCGCCGCCATCCACCTCTATGTCAAAGGTGAGGAGTCTGAGCCTCCTCCCAAGAGGCCTGACCCGGCAGGCCCCACTACAATGGGCCCTAAAATTAACAATCGTAACAATTCAGCTCTGCATTTACTGAGTGCTGGCTATGAGCAAGGACCTGGAAGAGCTGCTAATGTAATGCAGTCCTCACAACAACCCTGCAAGTCGGGTCTATGATGATGCATTTTCTAGAAGTGCAGGGAGGTTATCCAAGGTCACACAGCCTCACATAGTGGGACTAGACTGGAGCCCAGGTGCGCCTGACTCTGGAGCCACCACGCTGAAGCATCCGCTGAACTGTCCTGGCGTGGTGTGACCTCAGATGAATGATCAGCCTCTCTGAGCTTCCTTGTCACCTATGTCCAGGTACTCCTTGGCCCAGTGGAGGGAGGGCAGTTGTAACCCTGTGCCCTCCTCTACTCTAGACCCTGCCCGGCCCTGGAACGTGCTAGCACAGGAGGTGGTCGTGTTCGAGGACCAGGACGCACTACTGCCCTGTCTGCTCACAGACCCGGTGCTGGAAGCAGGCGTCTCGCTGGTGCGTGTGCGTGGCCGGCCCCTCATGCGCCACACCAACTACTCCTTCTCGCCCTGGCATGGCTTCACCATCCACAGGGCCAAGTTCATTCAGAGCCAGGACTATCAATGCAGTGCCCTGATGGGTGGCAGGAAGGTGATGTCCATCAGCATCCGGCTGAAAGTGCAGAAAGGTGCGTGGGGCATGGGGACCGGCAGCCAGGCCTGAAGAGTGGGGACAGAGAGCCGGCGGCCACATGGGTGGTGACTGGGGACTGGGTGTGATGGGGGGCAGTGGGATGTCCTCTTTCTTTCACTTCTTCCCCTCAATGGTTCCACGATCATCTATGGGGCAGGACTGACAAGGTGTCGGGGCAGGGAGACAAACCACATGTGAGCAAATAACTCAGTGGGCAAGGTCATCTCAAGTCATTGGACATGCTACAAAAATAAACATTCAACATGGTAGCTGAATAAGGAGTGTGTAGGGCGGGGAGCCTCACTGAGAAGGAAACACTTTATTAGAGCGGAAATCTGAATGACATGAAGAAGGTGGCTGTGCAAAGATCTGCTTCAGCAGGGGGACAGTGAGTACCAAGTGGTGAGGTGGGGACAGGCTCTGAATGTTCTAGGTATGGAAAGAGGACGGAAGCTCAGCCTCAGACATGGATTTCCCACTGGGGGCCTGCCTAAGGCCAAGTGCTGGGCATGTGTAGGAGGGATGCTGAGCCAAGAGGCAGGGAGGAGATGGTGGGTGCGTGTGATGGCTCTCGCGGTGGCCAGGTAACAGTGGAGGTGGAGTCTCACCCTGCTGGGATGGCAGGCAGGATTCTGGTTTCTGGGAGGACTGGTGAGAGCAAGCAGGACCCCAGCCTGAGGACCTGGGCTTGAGACAGCAATCAGTCCCTGTAACAAGGGCCAGGGTCAGAGTGAAGCAGCTAGCCCAATGCCACTGGGATCTGAAGCCACTAAACCTGCCCAGGGGGTCAAAGGACCCCAGCTGTGTGGGCAGAGGAGGCCATTAGGGCTCTTTCCTGGCATTTCATCCTGCAGAGCCCTGGGCTGGCCAAGAGCCAAAGGTCCTGGGCCCTAGTTCTGCCTTGACACCCCCTCAGGGACCTTGGGTGAGTCCTTTCATGTCCCTGGGCCTTAGGAATCTGGATTAGATTATCTTTCAACAGCAGCAATGGGCATAAATATGAATTCAAGGCCTACTGTGCATCAGGCATCTTGCTGGCTGCTGGAATATTCCTGTCACGGATTTGACATTCGACTAGAGTCTAACTATTAAATAGAAAGTAAATACAAATGTGATGAGCAAGAAACCAAGCTGGGGAGTGGCGGGCATGGAGGTGCTGGGGAGGCTAATTCATATCAGCTGGTCACAGAAGCCTTGCTGAGGAATTTTTGAGCTAAAGATCTGAAGGATGAGAACAGCCTCCCATTTGAAGTGTGGGAGGAAAGGCATTCCAGGAGGGAAAGGTGGGTGCAAAGGCCCTGTGGTAGGAAAGAGGTCCAGCGGGCTGCAGTGCAGTGAACAAGGGGTGGGGTTATCAGGGCGGTCAGAAACAGGTTGGGCTGTGGAAGGACTTTGACTTCTTTTCTGAGAGTAATGGGAAGCCCCAAATGTTTACAGAGGAGAGAGGCATGGTCCCATTTATATTTGTAAGAGGTCACTTTAGTGAAGAATCTAGGTGTGGGGGGCTTGGAGGGAGGCAGGGAGGTCTCTGAGGAGGCTGGTGCAGAAGTCCAGAGTGGAGAATGGTGACGGGACTGGGGAGGGGTAGAGGTGATGGAGAAAGTAGACTTTCCAAGGTCTCTTTAGGACAGGCCTTGCAGTGGGGGGACTGGGAGCATCAAGGCTGCCTCCCAGGATTTGGGATGGGGCAGTGATGGGGACCCTGGCCTGTGTGTCCTGGCCCATGGCAGGGAGGAGAGCAATATCTCTATCATGTTCAGGGAGCCTGGGTGTTCAGGGGTCTCTCCCCCGGTCTCAGTCATCCCAGGGCCCCCAGCCTTGACACTGGTGCCTGCAGAGCTGGTGCGGATTCGAGGGGAGGCTGCCCAGATCGTGTGCTCAGCCAGCAGCGTTGATGTTAACTTTGATGTCTTCCTCCAACACAACAACACCAAGGTCAGTCCCTGCAGATCACAAGGTGAAGTCTGGCCATCCTCCCAGCACACCAGGTTTCCCATGGTGGAGTCCTGGGCCCCCAACTCCAAACTGGCTGTCTTAGCTGAAGGCACAGCTCAGACTCCAGAGAGGGGTGCAGACTCACCCGAGATCTCACTCCCAGTCAGTAGCTGACACAGAATCAGGACTCATGCTTGTGCCGCTGAACTTTGTGGGGGTGGGTGGGGGGAGGTGGTTCTCTGTCACCTTGACACATGGCCTTTGCCCCAGCCTTTAGACAAAAGCCAGAGGTGAGCTCACTTCTGATTTAGCAAGGGTTTCCTAGGCCACCATTGAAGCCCAGGAATATAACAGCTATTTCAGAAAGACATTGGGAGAGAGGGAGGAGGAGGGAGGATTCCAGGAGGGACTCACGTTGGGCTGCCTCTAAGAGCCCCCTCCCTTCCCACTGCACCTGCCGTGTTCCAGACACAGCCCTAAGCCACTTGCATGCATATCTCATTTACTCCTCACTACAGTCTTGGGGCAGGGAGCCAGTATTAGCCCCATTTTACAAGTGAAGCAACAGGCTCAGAGGAAAGGCAGATAGTAATCCTTAAAGGCTGAGGATTGGAACCCAGATCTTTCTAATCCCTAAACTACCTTGGTATAACATCTCCATTCCTTCTGGCTGCAGCTCGCAATCCCTCAACAATCTGACTTTCATAATAACCGTTACCAAAAAGTCCTGACCCTCAACCTCGATCAAGTAGATTTCCAACATGCCGGCAACTACTCCTGCGTGGCCAGCAACGTGCAGGGCAAGCACTCCACCTCCATGTTCTTCCGGGTGGTAGGTAAGCATCAGGGTGGTGGTGGACAGTCGGTAGGGATCCTGCAGGAGTGTGAGCAGAAGGGTTTTGAGGAGGAAGCTGATGTCAGGGAAGGAGACCTGCTGAGGATATCTCTGCTGGAGTTTGTTTATCCAAGGCCTGGCTAAGGAGCCACTCTCCAGGAGCTTTCCCTTACCCTCTCCTGGGATCTCTCTCCCATCTTGGAGCTCTTACAGTGCATGGCTGCATTGGGTGCACCTTAGTGCCATTTTTTGTTTATTTGGGGATTGGGGTCCAGTAGCTCCCTACTGGACTTCATTTGTTCATTCTTTCATGCATTCCTTTATGGAAACATGAAAAGACAATGATCACCCAGTGATTATGGGGGAAGCACAAGGTGTCCTGGGAACACTGAAGAGTCCCCCCAACCCAGGCTTCGAGAAGGTGGCCTCTAAACTGGGATGGGAAGAATGAAGGTGAGTTGGCCGGGCAGAAGGGTGGGAAAGGAAGGGGAACAGCGCTTCTGGCAGAGGGAGGAACATATGCAAGGCTCAAAGGCAAAGAGAACATAGATCATTTGGAACACTGAAAGAACTTGACAACAGCTGGGATGTGGAGTGGTGTGAGGAGTGGCCACAGGGGAGCAGAGGAGGTGGCAGAAGCCGGAGGTAAAGGTGTCTTAAAGTGAGAAAGAATAACTGCATCTTAACCTATTGGGAGGTCATTGTAAAGAGGAGAGTGATGGGGTCAGATTGTACAGAGGAGGCACTTCGTGGTGGTCAGGAGCACACACTCCAGGGCAGTGTTCCAACCTGAGTCTGCCAAGGACTAGCAGGTTGCTAACCACCCTGTGTCTCAGTTTTCCTACCTGTAAAATGAAGATATTAACAGTAACTGCCTTCATAGATAGAAGATAGATAGATTAGATAGATAGATAGATAGATAGATAGATAGATAGATAGATAGATAGATAGATAGGAAGTACTTAGAACAGGGTCTGACACAGGAAATGCTGTCCAAGTGTGCACCAGGAGATAGTATCTGAGAAGGCTCAGTCTGGCACCATGTGGGTTGGGTGGGAACCTGGAGGCTGGAGAATGGGCTGAAGATGGCCAGTGGTGTGTGGAAGAGTCTGAGATGCAGGGATGAGGAAGAGAAAGGAGATAAGGATGACCTCCAGGTCTCTGGCTATGGTGATTGGGTGCAGGCAGTGGCAGTCACTGGACTCAGACCCTGAAGCAAGGCAGCAGCTCATCGGAGTGGGAGCAGGCTCTGAGACATTTAGGTCTGGCCGTGCCTCATGTGTTGAATGTTATGGGAGATGGAGGTGGCGAGGAGCATGAGAATCATGAGCATCACTGCCCCTAGAGTATGTGCAAGGCACTGGACTTGCAGCAGATTGTGAGCTCTGCTGTGGACCCCAATCTGCACTGGGAGCTTTGGCAGGGTAAAGGGGAAGAAGAGCAAAAGCACAAGAATTCAGTTACGGCTTCTAATCCTGTCTGCTTTCTAGTACAGGCATACAGTCATCACTCAAGAAATGTTTATGTTCATTCACACTTTGGGCCAGACACTGTTCTAGACATCGAGGATACAGCTGCAAGTGAAACAGATACAACAACCCCCGACTCATGAAGTGTGTGCTCTAGCTGGGAGTGGGCAAGCAATGAGCCAAGTAAATTATTAAAAAAACAAATTATATAGCATTTGCAGCTTCAGATAGGGTGTTCACCAAGGAAGATCTCACTAGAAAGCTGATATTTGAGCAAAGGCTTAAATTGCTGAAGGAGCAAGCCATGCGGCCATTTTGGAGAAGGGAGCTCCATCCTGCAGCGGGACTGTGCTTGCCATGTTCAGGGGACAAGTGGGCCAGTGTGGCTGCGGGGAGAGAGTGAGAAAAAAAGTGGTCTCAGATGAGGTCAGAGAGCTAAAGTGGGAAGGTGAGATGAAAGGAGGCTACCGCAGTGGTCCAGGCTGGAGCTGATGGTGGGTGGACTAGAGTGGTAATGGTGAAGGCAGCAGGAAGTTGTTGGTGTTTGGATGGATGAATGGACTAATGGATGGATGAATAATAGATAGATGGATTGTTGAGAGAGACAGAGAAGAGAAAAGCCTTGCCCCCAAAAGCTCACAGACTACTTGGAGAGAGAAGAAAGCTACCTGGAGGGAGAACCAGATGCATGAAGCAGTGCAGATGTGGTGCCTAATGAGTGTGTAGTCTGGAAGGGCAGCAAAAGTCGAGTGGAGTGAGAGGTTCCTGTGTCCTGGAGCACTGAGTAGAGACTCCCTCATGGGGGTGAATCTTAAAGGATAAAGGGGCCTCTATAATGAAAAGGAGGAGGATGGGATTTCTGGTAGAGGAAATTGCTTGAGCAAAACCTCCAAGGTTGGAATGACTATGGTGTGTTCAGGGATGTTAGGAGACCCAGATGGGTGGAGCGTTGAGTGTGTGTGTGTAGGAAGGAAGAGGGGAGGTGGCTGGATGAGCACAGTGAGACCTGATTTGATTGAGAGCCTTGAACGCCACGCTGAATAATGGAGGCAATGGGACTCCATAGAGGGCTTTTGAGTAGACATATATCAGTGTAGAAGGGTGAATTTCAGATTTTTAGACAGAATAGAGTAAGGAGAGGAGCTCTTAGAAATCATCTAGTCCAGGGCTTGTGGCAGAGCCCTGAGGTTTTAAGAAGGCATGTCAGGGGCTACCATGACAGGCACGGAGAGGCTGAGTGAATTGGGGTTCTTGCCACAATTCCCTTGCCTGAGATTCAACAAGAGCAGCTGTATTACAATCTGTGCAAAATGTCATTAGGAGAAACTAGTTAGTAGCTGGGCGTGGTGGCATGCAACTGTTGTCCCAGCTACTCGGGAGGCTGAGGCCGGAGAATCGCTTGAACCTGGGAGGCGGAGGTTGCAGTGAGCAGAGACTGTGCCACTGCACTCCAGCCTGGATGACAGAGCAAGACTCTGTTTCAAAAAAAAAAAAAAAAAAAACTAGTCAGGACTCTTTCAGATACAAGTAATAGAAACCAACTCAAACTGGCCTAATTAAAAGGATTTTTTTCCTTATAGCTAAAAAGCTCATGGATATCAGCTTCAGGAACACTTGGATCCAGGTGTTCAGCTGATGCTGGAAAGAATCTATGACTCCCCAACTCTCAGCCCTGCCAGGAAGGCTTTCCCCTTGTAGGACTCCGACTATCCGCCTTGTAGTATCTGATCCAGCAACACCAGTAAAATGAGGGCTTCTCTTTTCCCAGAGTCTTAACAAAAATCATGGAATTGAGTGTTATGGACTCATGGATTCATGGTAACCCAAACCAATCACCGGGCCAGAGGGGACAGAGTACCCTCACTGGTTGGCCTGGGTTACACACCTACTCCAGAGCTATATTTGGAAGCCGCATTGACTAATTTATGACCAGAAGAAAGGGAAATGGATGAGGACACGTGAAATTGTGTGTGTATGTGTGTGTGTGTTTTCTTGCTGCCAAAAATTTTTCAAAAACTTGGAAAATCACAGATATATTCAATCTCTTCATTACACAAATAAGGAGATGGAGGCACAAATGGGGATAGGGATTTGCCCAGGTTCTCCTAGGGCTTCAGTGAGAAAAGTTTTGATCCAGGGATTCTGAAGGGGGTGGTGAGAAGAGGGGTGTCAGAGGACCTGTCTTGGGTGGTGGGGACTATGTACCTGTGACATAGCTGCTCAGGGACTGGATCAATGGGTGGATGACAAAATGGACAAATAAACAAGGACATCTTCCCACTAATGCCAGATGCTTGTGTGTTCTGCTTTCCAGAGAGTGCCTACTTGAACTTGAGCTCTGAGCAGAACCTCATCCAGGAGGTGACCGTGGGGGAGGGGCTCAACCTCAAAGTCATGGTGGAGGCCTACCCAGGCCTGCAAGGTTTTAACTGGACCTACCTGGGACCCTTTTCTGACCACCAGCCTGAGCCCAAGCTTGCTAATGCTACCACCAAGGACACATACAGGTACCACTTATCAGCTCCCGTCTACACAGCCCGACAACCAGATGGGGTATGCTTCAGCAAGCATCAGGACGCTTGGCTCATGTCCCAACCTTGGTGTATGACCTTGAGCAAGTCCCTGCCCCTTTCTGGGCTTCGCTTTCCCTGACTTCATGGAATCCCAATATTGGTCATCTGTGTTTGAGATCTAGATGAAATTGACCTACCTCTCCATCCCACATCCTTGGGATAGTCAATGCCCCACCCAAGGATTCTACCATTTCTTGGGAGTGTGCATTCTCATTGGTCCCTCAAGAACCCTCAGCCTCATTCATTTTCCTCTCTTGGGGCCAATCCAAATGCAGAAAACAGCCCCACTCATAGACACACTCCTGATAATGACTGCACAAGTTATCTGCTACATACAAAAGCTTGGAGGGAGGGGAAGAGGGAATTAAGATCACACAATCACAGATACATGAAATGTTCTTTAAAGGATTGTGATCACCCAGCCCCAAGAATTTCTCACTGGCTGCTCTTCTCTGTAAGCTCAAAACTCTTCCCATGAAGTGCAATCTATAATAACTCCACACCCCTCTTCTTCCGTCTCTCCACTCCCACAATCCTGTGTATTCCACACACATTTTAGAAATCTTTTTCCTGTCTGCTTGTGAACTGTGTTCTTGGGGTCTTGCTTTCTCATCCAAAGTGGCTTAAGCAGGTAGGTTCTAAATAAGAAAGCTTTGTGCCTAAGAGGAACACTCATACCAGGTATATCAGGTATTAACTCAGGTATTAAAATAGTTCCTTCTTTTCTTTCTTTTTATTATTTTTTTTAGATGGAGTTTTGCTCTTGTTGCTGGAGTGCAATGGCACAATCTCGGCTCACTGCAAACTCGGCCTCCCGGGTTCAAGTGATTCTCCTGCCTCAGCCTCCCGAGTAGCTGGGATTACAGATGCCCACCACCACACCCAGCTAATTTTTGTATTTTTAGTAGAGACAGAGTTTCACCATGTTGGCCAGGCTGGTCTCGAACTCCTGACCTCAGGTGATCTGCCTGCCTCGGCCTCCCAAGGTGCTAGGATTACAGGTGTGAGCCATCGTGCCTGGCCTGAAATAATCATTCATACCCTGCCCTTTCAGAGGGAGACAGTACAGCTTAAGGGCAGCGAATACGTGGTGTGCATGCCACACTCACTCTCATTCTTGTTTCTGCAACTCTGTTCTGCAGAGTGTAGATGCGGCCTCAGAGTCCTCCTCAACACAGGTCCCAGGCAGTATTTCCAGCATAGTTGGCTCATGAGAGATCTGTTTGTCATCCCTGTGTGGATCCCTTAGACAACTTCAAAACTCTTTGGGATTCTCGTTCTAGCTCTGGAAGCCCAAACCTCATTGATTCCCACAATCTTGCTTGTCAATTGTCAGAAGCAACAAGGATGTTTTCTTGTCCTCATCTTCCTCCTCTCAGTTCCCTTCTGGTCCTTTCTGGCCAGGTCTCTGTCTTCCTCTCATTTAAAGCAGAAGTTCTGAATCTGGAATGTGTAGGCCCTTTGGAGGGGGCTGGTCCATGGATCGGTTTAATGGGTCCATAAGCCACAGAGACATTGAGGAAAGGAACACGAGATCCCCTAAAACACAGTAGTCTGGGCCCATTCAGCACAAGGCAGACAAGCCTGGACACCAAACAGCCACAGAATTTTAGTTCATGTGATGGGTTGTTCATAATGGTGACTTTCAATTATCCAAAAAAGTCAAATTATTTTTAGTTAAAGGGGTTAGTTATCTCAAGAAGTGACCTGGGCAGAGGCCTTGTATATGCCCAGGGTCTGGCTGGATGAGACTGCTCTCTGAATACCATAGATTTTAGTCTAGTAGTAGCTGCAGACATTTCCCAAGCAAGAACTGGCCATTTGCTATAATTTTTAAAATTTTATTTATTTTGACAGTGAACTGGGGGACTTTTTAAAAAATGTATTTATTACCTAAACAACACATGTTCATTATGGACAAATTGTAAAATAGAGATTAAAGAAAGAATAAAACAAAAAATTTCCCAGAATCAGCCAAAGATGATTTTTATTGTTAGTTTTTGCTCCAGGGCCTTTTCTGTAATAAAGGGTACCATTGAATTGAGTGCCCACAAAGATTCAACTTCTGTGTCAAGCACCCTAAAAAGGTCCTTTAATCCTCAAGCCAAGCCTGTGAATTAATAACCATCGATATCACTCTCACAGCAAAGGAAGTGAGGGATCAGAGAGGTTAAGTACTTGTCTAAGATCACACAGCCAAGAAACAGCAGCACCAGGACTTGAACCCCAGTCTCTGCAGCAACATGGCTCAGAACCCAGGGCCCTACATCCTGCCTCTTGTCTCTTTCTCAGTCCCTCTTGGCAAGGTTGGCACTTCAGGGATTTGTAGCAGGGATTGCAGCTTTCATGAAAGCTTAGTCCAGTGACAGTGGTCAACGTAGGCGACCTGTGATAGGCCTCCCAGCACCTTGAAGACATCACCTCTATTAAACCTCGGGAAAAAAACACTTTCAGATAAGAAAACCAACTAAGGAAATGGGATTGGTGGTTTTTGCATGTCTCAATGGCACCCTGTCTGAGTATCTGGCTTACCCAAGGCCGTTGGGCCCTGAATATTTTACCAAAAATAAAATAAACCCCTTTAAGGCTGTTATCTGACTGCAATCCTGGCAGGGGCCATACTAGGCTGGGGCTCACCAACACCACCTGATTCTCTCCTGCAGGCACACCTTCACCCTCTCTCTGCCCCGCCTGAAGCCCTCTGAGGCTGGCCGCTACTCCTTCCTGGCCAGAAACCCAGGAGGCTGGAGAGCTCTGACGTTTGAGCTCACCCTTCGATGTGAGTGCTGGGGCCGAGCGCCACCTGGGGCGGAGGCCCTGGGACTGCCTGGAGGGATGGGGTTGACTGGGGCAGGGCACAGGGAAGTAGGTACTGGGAGATTGGGAGGTGGCGGGGAAAGTGTGACTTGGGGCCTCCTCCTTTCTTCCTCAGACCCCCCAGAGGTAAGCGTCATATGGACATTCATCAACGGCTCTGGCACCCTTTTGTGTGCTGCCTCTGGGTACCCCCAGCCCAACGTGACATGGCTGCAGTGCAGTGGCCACACTGATAGGTAAGTGGGCTCCACTCACCTCCCTCACCTGGGCTCAGGGGCTGGGCACCCTGTGAGTGGGAGGGACATGCTGGCGCTGGGAACCCTGAAGCTCTGAGCCACATTCTGCTTTTGCCAGGTGTGATGAGGCCCAAGTGCTGCAGGTCTGGGATGACCCATACCCTGAGGTCCTGAGCCAGGAGCCCTTCCACAAGGTGACGGTGCAGAGCCTGCTGACTGTTGAGACCTTAGAGCACAACCAAACCTACGAGTGCAGGGCCCACAACAGCGTGGGGAGTGGCTCCTGGGCCTTCATACCCATCTCTGCAGGTGAGAGGGAGCCTTCGCACCCGCACCGCCCCCCCGCCCGCCCCCCGCCCCTGCTCCTTTAGGCGGCTCCTCCCCCACCCCCCACCGAGGGAGCTGGGGTTGGCTCCACCTTTGGAGCAGATCCTAGCAGTACCAAGGTCCACCTCTCTGGGCCAGTCCAAGCCCCTCCTGCCTGGCAGGTCCCCCGAAGCAGTAGGACGGGGTAGTCTCTGAGAAAGCAGAGAGAAAGCAGCCTGAAGAAACTGGCCCCCACTCTTGTCCCTGCACTCTAACTCATGCATCTATTCACAAGTATGTGCAGGCATTATGCACCGTGTGCCAGGGACGTGCCCTATGCAGGGAAGCAGTGCCTCCCCAGAGCTCAGAGGCTGATGAGGGAGGCAGGCAATGAGCAAGGAAACAGTCCATCTCCAGCTCGGGGCCAGCTAAGGACGGCCTTCTCCAACTCTCCCCTCTTGCTCCAGACACAGTCTATCCATTTGAGGTTGCTGTGCAAGAGGCTGCCCCGGGGGATGATGCCCGGCCCTGTGCACAACACAGGCTGCCTCTCTGCTTTACACAAAGGCTCCTTACCAGCTAGTTCTGTGATTCTCAGAGGCCCACAGCATCCTCAGGCTTTTGACAACCAGGCTCTGGCACCCACTGTGTGCCAGACCCTGGCATCTGCCTGGCTCAGGGGTGGTCACTCACGTCCCCAGCTGCTGGCCTTGGAGCAACTGCTACCAGGGTCCAGCTGCAAGCAGGAGCCTGCGGCCGCGCTGGGCCTCACTGCTGGAGGTTGTATATTATAATAAAGCCAACATTTTGTTGAAGGCTTCTGCTGCGCCAGGCACTGTGTTAAGCTCTTTGTGGGGATTATCTCGATTAACTCCTACAAACCTAGGAAATAAATAGAATTTTCCCTAGGCTCAATGTCACACAGCTCCCAAGTGGCACAGGTGAAACTTGACTGCAGATCTAAGTTACTGATCTGAGCAAGGAAGTGGAAATTATGTTCTCCAAAACATCACTAGAACTAGTAGTATAGATTCTGGGAAGAGGAGACTCAGGGGCCACAAGCCTGGCTTGCTAGACCCTCAGAAGGGCTGTATGATTCCAAAGGCATGTGGAGAAGCTGCAGGGGAAATGCAGGAGAGGAAGGTTGCAGTGTGACCTCCAGAAGGCCTTTCTGAACGAGCTTCCTGGAGGTGTAGTGCATGCAAGCCATGGCTGGGCACCAGGCCAGGCCGCTGCAGAGAGGTTTCTTGCACTGGCAGAGGGTGAGACTGCATGACCCCAGAGGCTCCCTACCCCCAGCCACAGGAGGCTGTGACTCTGGACAGGGTTTGGGGCTGGGCATGAGCAGAGCTGAAGAGGCCGTCCTCTCTGCCTTTCTCGGGGAGGGTGTGCAGGAGAGGCTCCAGAGGCTTCCAGTGGAGGATGCTTCATTCAGTCAACAAGCATTTATTGAGCACCCACTGTGTTCCAGGCAGTGTGCAGGCCTGACCTCAGGGGGCTCGGAGGCACCCCTGCCTGCTCACTGCTTTGCTTCATGCCTTCCAGGAGCCCACACGCATCCCCCGGATGAGTTCCTCTTCACACCAGTGGTGGTCGCCTGCATGTCCATCATGGCCTTGCTGCTGCTGCTGCTCCTGCTGCTATTGTACAAGTATAAGCAGGTGAGCCGGAGCGGAGTGGGGCTGCCAGGTGCCTGAGTGAGCCAGATTTGGATGGTACCCCCAGGCTGCATGGATTCACCCTTCCTCCTCCTCAGTCAGTCCATCAGCTAACAGCTCTTTAGTGGGTGCCTACTGTATGCCAACATGAGTCAGCTGCTGGGTGGCCTCTGAGGCTCTGCCCTAATAGCGTTTACTGTCTAGTGCGAGAGACAGGTGCTAATCAAATAGCCATTAAAGCAAGGGCACACCTGTAATCCCAGCTACTTGGGAGGTTGAGGCAGGGGGATTGCTTGAGGCCAGGAGTTAGGGACCAGCCTGGGTGATACAGCCAGATCCCAGCTCAAAAAACAAACAAAAAGCCGTGAAAGCAAGAGCATGGATTATAGAGTGAGAGGCTATGAGGAGAGGAATGGCATTCTGAGGCAGCGCAGCCCTGGGATCCTGTCTCAGCCCAGGGGTGTCCTGGCACCCAGCACGGGGCAGAGGAAATGGATATACAAGCGTGGTGTCCCCTGGGCCAGGCCTGAGCCCTGCCCTAAGAAGCACATGGTCTAGTGAAGACGAGGGCCTGTGACCATCATCCTCTTCATTATTTCATGTTACTGTCCTATTAGCCAAAGCCACAATTTAGTGCATGTTGCGTATAGTGTGCTTCCTGTCACTGTCTGCTCAGTATATGACAGTGATTTGAGGGGCATTTTTCTATAGCATGTTACCTACATCATCTCATTTAATGCCCTCAGCAACCACTGTATGCAGCTAGCATTAGTCTGTTTTACAGAGTTGTAAACTGAGGTTCTGAGAGGTTGGGACAGTTGCCCTTGTCTACAGCTGGTCAAAGGCAGAGTCTGGTTTTTAACCCTGAAGGAGGACTCACTCCAAAGCATGTCCCAATCATTATGTGAAACATTGACTCATCTTATTTTACCCTCACAAGAAGCTGGAGGCAGGAAGTATACTAGTCAGTATCTTACCCATCAGGAAGCTGAGGCTCAGCAAGGTTAAAAAAAAAAACCCCAAGGGGCTGAGGGATAGGGTTGGCACTGGGCCCCAGGGGCTTCTGTCCCTAGAGCCCATGGCCTCCACTGCCTGCCTGCCCACACAAAGACCATGTGCAATGTGATCAGAAGCTGAGAGGACCAGGCCAGAGGGCTGTGGGAGTTCAGAGGTGGACGGACTTTTCAGGCTGGTGGGTAAGGGAGACTGCCTGGAGGAGGTGGCTTGGCATTGGTGGGACGGGCTTTGGAGGATGAGGATGCAGCAGGGGAGATGACACTAAGGGAAAGGGTACCTCTGGGGGAGAGGGCAGAGTGTGCAGAGGTGCAGGTGAGGGAAGGACCAGGGTGGGGTTGGGGGTCTGAAGGGTTGGACCCCACCCTGTCGGTCCAAGGCCATCAGTGGGTTTGAACAAGGGAGTGGTGTGATCAAGGACTGAATGACCCATCTTGTGTCCCCTTGGCTACCTTTTCTTCCCCACACCCCCTTGGGGCTTTTGTGAGAAGAGGGCTTGAAGTGGGCAGGGTGGGAAGGATGTTGGGGGAGCCCCAGGGGCACATGGATCGGGATCTCTACTCCTGCCAGCACTCAGCATGAGAAGGCTGCTCTGAGGGCAGCCCCGGTCAATACCTCCGGATCTAGGTCCAGCTCTGACACTGTTTTGCCATGTAACCTCAGCTGACTCGCTGTCCTCTCTGGGCCTTAGTTTCCCCTCTTATACCATGGGTCTGGGTGTTCTCTAACAGCCCCTCCTCCTCTGACATGCCAAGAGCCCACTGGTGGTCTAGTTTAAGCACCAGAAACTTGGACTTCAGTGAATCTGGGTCCAAATCCTGCCTCTGCCAAGCTCTGGCTATGGGATGATGAGAAAGTTGGTGTGTCTGAGTCTCTTCTCCATTTGTAAAATGGGATCATTAACAGCCTGTTGTGAGGGATTCCGTACCACAACGCACATAGAGGACTGAGCGGGGTGCTGGACGAGACAGTCTCTGTGATGGGAGCTGCACACTCTTGTCCCAGGAGGAAGTTCGTTGGGGAACCAGAGTTAGCTCATGCCTCTTGGGATGGTGGAAGGAGGGGGAGGTCTGAGGTCGGGCATCATCTCCTTGACTACACACCCAAAGCGGTTGTTTGGCCCAGCCCACCCACCTCCAGGGACAGGACCTTACTCACTCTCGGGGCCACCTGTTCCTTCTCTGAGCAGCTCCAATGTTTGCAAAGTTCTTCCTTACATGGAACTGAAAACTGCCTCGCAGTGCCCACAGAGCTGCCAGGACAGTCATGCAGAGATTCCAGAGAAGAGCCTAGGGCCCCCTGCGGCCCTTTCTGCCTTGGGCTGGCCAGCCCCCTTGGCTGTGGTTTAGGAACTCTGTATCCCCTCTCCACGGGACCATTTTTGGAACATGTCACCTCCACACTTCCTGTCCAGGAAATTCAGCTGCCCCTGGAGCCCATGCAAGGCTGCGAGAAGACTTGCAGCTACCCTCCTCCCCTACACCCATTCACAGACCCTTTAGCTCCAGGCCGAGGTGTCCACCCATGGGAGCGGAGGGGGCAGGATGGTCATGCCCGTGCTAAGTGCCTGCCCTCCCATCCTCCTCTGCCTTGCCCCATGAGGTTCGGAGCCTTGCCCCTTCACTGGGGACTCAGCCCAGCCTCTCCTCATTGCCCAGGCCTGGGGAAAGAAGTGGCCTGTCTGTGGGGAGTGTTTGTTCTGCCTCAGGGCTGAATCATCACCTTTCTGTCCCCCAGAGTGACCACAAGGGGGGCCGTGGGGGAAGAGAAAAGGGCAGGAGTCAGCAGGCTCCCCTGGAGGAGGAGGCGCACAGGGAAATGGCTGAGGCAGCAGGGAAGGGAGGGTCCAGGGAGGCTGCTGGAAAGACTACGATTCTGGGGGCTGGAACTGAGCTCTGAGGAGCAACAGGAGGGTCCCCAAAGATTCCACTGGGAATTGTTCAGATCTCCACCTTCCTGGGATGGAGAACATCCACTCACCCAGAACCAGCAGGCCTAGATGGGGAGGGGACCGGGACTTTGTCTCCATGCCCCCTTTGGTGGGGAGGATGGGAGGAAGGGAAGAAGTCAGGGGGTGGGCCTGGGGCTTAGGCCCATTGCAAGGAATGAATGGGGTGATGTGCTTCAAGCATCTAGCCCAGCGCCCCACTCCCAGGAAGAGCTCAGGAAGAACCCGCTGCCATCATGACAATTACGTCCACCCTTCTCAGGGAGCCTCGCCCATCCCCACCTCTTGATCTCTCACTCATAGTTCTTTGGAAGAGAGGCTGCCTCTGGGTAGACGCCCATGAGCCCTTTCCAGGGATGGCACAGGTGCCCTGGGAGGTTTACATGCCCAGCAGGGGCAGGGGAGGGTTCCTGAGGCAGGCAGAAGGCAGCTTGGTCCGCTTCCAGAAATTAGGAGCCTAGGATTCAGAAATCTGAGAATCCAGCCAAACCTCCATCCTCCTTGATCCCCTCCCTTTCAACAGTGCCCCCTGCCCAGCTGGGGGCAGGGAGGGGCTGACTCAGCCCAGCTGCAGAGGGACAGAGGAACAAGAAGTGGTAAGAAAAAACAGTCTTAGCCACAGAGGCTCCTAGAGATGGAAGTGGCCAGGAGAGGCTGAAGAATCCCCTCCTTGCCTTGTTGCTGTCTTTTGGGCTGGGAAGGCACCCACGGGCAGGATTTGGATCCTCAGAGGCTTGGGAAGTTCTTCTCCCTGGGTCCCGTTTCAGACTCTCTCCCAAGCTATAACGCAGAGGCTCTGAAGTTCACCTGCAGTCCGCCCTTCCGAATCAGAGCCTGGAAGTTAGTTCCTTCTCATTTCTAATTGCAGTCTTTTCTCTCTAACTACCAGCTAGAAGTTCTTCCTGATGGTTAGCTGGAAGCTTTCTCCCTGTCTCTCTCTTTAAAAATGTCCACATTTTATTTTTGATTCAGGGGATAGACGTACAGGTTTGTTGCATGCGTATGTTTCGTGATGCTGAGCTTTGGAATATGGATCCCATCACCTGCTACTGAGCATAGCTCCCATAGTTTTTCAACCCTCGCCCGCTTCCACCCTCCCTGCTCTAGTAGCCCCCAGTGTCTGTTGGTGCCATCTTTATGCCCATGCACACTCAATATTTAGCTCCCACTTATAAGTGAGAACATGCGGTATGTAGGTTTTCTGTTTCGGTGTTAATTTGCTTAGGATAATGGCCTTCAGCTGCACCACGTTGCTGCAAAGGACATGACTGGAATCTTCTCTCTCAACCAGGACTTGCAGCTAAAGGCCAGCCTCCTCCCTAGCACCGGTCCACACTTCCTTTAAGTTTCTAGCTCGGGTGCCCAGGGAAGGAGCCCAGCTGCAGGCACAGCCAAGCTTGTCCCATCCCCAAGGCCTGGCCGGAAAGAGTTGCTCTGCTGACCCAGGGCCTCAGTGTCCTCCACCGCCCCAGCCCAGCTTCCACTTTCCCCCTCAACTTGGTCTTCCATCAGCATTTCTTGTGGGCAACCCTTAGCATGGTACTCCCCCTCAGCAGCTGACCCCTGGGCAAGAAACAGGGGCAGCCATTCCTCCTCCCCACATCCCAGGGCTTGCCTCCCCTGGCTGGGTGGTAACAGCATGGAGAGCCTAAGGAAGGAAATCAGGTCTTTCCAAAGGTGCTGGTCCTCCAGAATCTATCTAGTGGGCAGCGTCTCTCTTTCTCTCTCAAAAAGGTAAAGTCAAGGCTGGGTGCGATGGCTCACGCCTATAATCCCAGCACTTTGAGAGGCCAAGGCAGAAGGATTGCTTGAGCCCAGGAGTTTGAGCCTAGTGAGCTATGATCGTGCCACTGCACTCCGGCATGAGTGAAGGAGCAAGACTCTGTCTCAAAAAAAAAAAGTCAGATGGCGACTCACCTGTGTCAAACTCTCAGGGTCTCTCACTGCCCGGCCAGGCATGGTAGCTCATGCCTGTAATCCCAGCACTTTGAGAGACCGAGGCAGGCAAACTGCTTGAGCTCACGAGTTCAAGACCAGCCTAGGCTGCGACAAAGCCCCGTCTCTACAAAAATTAGCCAGGTGTGGTGCCACATGCTTGTAGTCCCGGCTGCTTGGGAGACTGAGGTGGGAGGATTGCTTGAACCTCGGGGGTCGAGGCTGTAGTGAGCCAAGACTGCCCCCACTGCATGCCAGTCTGGGGGACAGAGATCCTGTCTTGGAAAAAAAAAAATCCCAAAAGGGAACCCACTCACCTTATCATAGCCCTCAAGGCCTTCCTGTTTCTGGAATCTGCCCCCCACTTCCCTCAAGCCATGATGGCTGCCTTCCTATAGCTCAAACTTGCCAGGATCATTCCCATGTCAAGCATACAGCATTTCCATGCACTGTTCCTGGAAAATTCTTCCTCTGATGGTCACATGGTGGGCTCTTTAGGGGCCTTCCCTGACTTATCTTACTTTATTTTCTTCATAGCACCACTTGAGAATCTCCTAGATACATGTTTATTTGCGTTTAATGCCTCTCTCAGCCACTAGAATGCAAACTCCATGGAGGGGCAGGGACTTTGTCCTGTTCAACTCTGAATCAGCGGTGCCTGACACAAATAGATGTTCAAGAAAGTATGTGGATGGGCTACTATTATTCAGCCTTAAAAAGGAAGGGAATTCTGACCTGTGCTGCAGCATGAATGAACCTTGAAGACATTATGCTGGGTGAAATAAGGCAATCTCAATAGACACATGCTGTGTGAGTCCACTGAGGTGCAGTGCCTAGAGCAGTGCAATTCACAGAGACAGCAGAATCATGGTTGCCAGGGGCTGGAGGAGGGAAAGGGGAGTTGCTTTTTAACAGGAACAGAATTTCAGTTTTGCAAGATGAAAAGAGCTCTGGAAACTGGTTGCACAAGGTAGAATGTAATTTACTTAATACTACTGAACCATACACTTAAAAATGGTTGAAATGGTAAATTTCATGTATGTTTTATCACAATTAAAATATATATATATATTTGGATGGGAGGTTGGGTGGGTGGATGGATGGGTAGATGGATGGACAGATGAACGGATGGATAAGATCTCAAGTTCCACCCTCCCTCCTGGCTCAGGAATTACCAGATTATCAGAGATATCAGGGCCCTCAGAGGTTGTCTTGTCCAAGGTCTTCAATACACAAATAGTGAAACAGGCTTGGAGAAGGGAAGGTCACACAACAAGGCAGAGTCAAGCAGGAACATGCTCTCAGTGCTATGTTCATGAGACGACCTCTCTCAGCCCAGAGCAGGCCTTGCCCTGCCTTCTCCCACTGGGCGCCTTGGGACTGCCCACACCCCTGCTCTTGGGGGTCAGAAACAAGGTCCAGGAACTGCCTGCCAGCCCCGACTGCCACGTGCTCCCTTCCTCTTCTGCAGAAGCCCAAGTACCAGGTCCGCTGGAAGATCATCGAGAGCTATGAGGGCAACAGTTATACTTTCATCGACCCCACGCAGCTGCCTTACAACGAGAAGTGGGAGTTCCCCCGGAACAACCTGCAGTTTGGTGAGATGGCAGCTCATCACTCCACAGCTTCCTATCACAGGGCCTGTGGGGGTTGCAGGGAGCCCATGGGCCCTTGGACAGAGGCCCTTTGGTGCCCAGGGACTTAAGGGACCTGTGTGCGTGGCAGGTAAGACCCTCGGAGCTGGAGCCTTTGGGAAGGTGGTGGAGGCCACGGCCTTTGGTCTGGGCAAGGAGGATGCTGTCCTGAAGGTGGCTGTGAAGATGCTGAAGTGTGAGTGAGGGGAGGGGATGAGGGAAGGGATGGGGGGTGGTAGATGCTGGGGGTGGGCTGGCCCTGGTGTCACAAGAGGCATCACACACATTTCAACCTGTTGAAGCCTGGGGGACAGAGCTCAGGGGTGAGGACTTGGGTTTTCTTGTGAGCTCCAGGCACCCTCTGACTCCCGGCTCCAAGAAGGTCTAGGTCACCCTTTAGTTGTGAAGGGGCTCCTGACTGAGCTCCAAAAAGTCTGGGGGTGCAGAAAGGCCACCTATGGCCATGGCCTGGCCACAGTTTGGCTTCCTGTCACCTGAAGACCAGCTCAGTGACAGGCTCATCCCTCCTCTCTCTCTCTCTGCCATCTGTGTGTCTGCATTTTTCCTTCTCCTTCTTTTGGCTTCTGGTCACTCCGGGTCTTGGGGTATGCCCTGCTTTCTCCCCTGGGTCTCTGCATTTGGTCCCCATGTATCTGTGTGGTGCTCTCTGTCCTGCCCTCTCCCTGTCTTTGGGACTGTGGTTCTTCCTCCCAGCCACGGCCCATGCTGATGAGAAGGAGGCCCTCATGTCCGAGCTGAAGATCATGAGCCACCTGGGCCAGCACGAGAACATCGTCAACCTTCTGGGAGCCTGTACCCATGGAGGTAAGGGCCTTGGGGTTCCTGGGGCCAAGGTCTTGGGGCCTCTGGGGAATCTCAGGGCCCCAGGGCTACCTTGTTCCGTCTTCTCCTTCTCAGGATCCTACTGCTCCAAGTGTCAGGGGGATCCCGGTCACAGCATCCCTTAAACTCCTGGGCCCATCTCCTGGAATAGTCAGGAGCTGCACGGGCAGCTTGAGGTATAAAGAGAGACTGATAGGGAGCATCGGAGCCCTTGGAGGAGGAGATGAATGTGCAAGCTCCTAGGCCCTGCTTCCAGGGAGCCGGATCCTCTGGGTCTGGAGTGAAGCCCCCCGCCTACCTCTTATGAAGCTTCCATTCAAGGATGCTTGGACACTCTCCCCAGGGCCCCCAAAGGTGCCCCGGGCTTTGCTGGGACTCCAAGTGCCCCACATCCTCTTCACTGATAGCAGCTCTGACCTACAGTGAGCCGCCATAGCTTTCCTTTGAAGAAATAATTCTTGGGCTACATTTTTTTTAAGGTTGTCTTTTTTTTTTCATTTTTTGTTTTTTTTTTCTTGAGACGGAGCCTCACTCTGTCACCCAGGCTGGAGTGCAGTGGTGCGATCTCGGCTCACTGCAACCTCTGCCTCCCAGGTTCAAGCAATTCTCCTGCCTCAACCTCCTGAGTAGTTGGAACTACAGGCACATGCCACCATGCCCGGCTGATTTTTTTGTATTTTTGTAGAGATGGGGTTTCACCATGTTAGCCAGGATGGTCTCGATCTCCTGACCTCGTGATCCACCCACCTTGGCCTCCCAAAGTGCTGAGATTACAGGCATGAGCCACCGTGCCCCGCCAAAGCCATCTGTTTTAAACAAATGGAACTACTGAGGCACAAGGAAACTTGCTCACAGAGCCGAGGTTAGAACTCAGCTATGCTGAGTCCAAGTCCAGTGGCCTCACTGCCCCCAGTCTCATGCTCCTGTTCATGGAGGGGAGCACTCAGCACCTCCCTCACCCCACACCCTTGGCTGCTCTAGGCCCTGTACTGGTCATCACGGAGTACTGTTGCTATGGCGACCTGCTCAACTTTCTGCGAAGGAAGGCTGAGGCCATGCTGGGACCCAGCCTGAGCCCCGGCCAGGACCCCGAGGGAGGCGTCGACTATAAGAACATCCACCTCGAGAAGAAATATGTCCGCAGGTAGCCCCTGGCAAAGGACAAGAAAAAGGCCAGGTCTGGGAGGCAGGATCCGAGTCTGTCTTCAAAGCCAGCTCAGGGTTGGATGGCTCATGAATGGGTGGCTATGCAGCCCTCACCTGCCACCTGTGTCATGGGAAGTAGCCACCACAGGTTTTATGGCCATCTCTTGTTTCTCTACTCCTTTTCCCCTTCATTCAACAAATATTTGAACACCTACCGTGTTCTGGGAGTGTGGAGGGCAAAGATGGGCAGCTCATAATCTGGTGGAGATATGCATCAATGAAATCACCACCCAGTGTGTGTAAAAGATCAACCAAGATCTGTGCCTGGAGCCCTAGTAAGAGATGGGCAGATGTGGCCGGGTGCAGTGGCTCATGCCTGTAATCCCAGCACTTTGGGAGGCTGAGGCGGGCAGATCACCTGAGGATGGGAGTTCGAGACCAGCCTTACCAACAAGGTGAAACCCCGTCTCTATTAAATATACAAAATTAGCCGGGCGTGGTGGCGCATGCCTATAATCCCAGCTACTCGGGAGGCTGAGGCGGGAGAATTGCTTGAACCCAGGAGGCAGAGGTTGCTGTGAGCTGAGATCACACCATTGCACTCCAGCCTGGGCAACAAGAATGAAACTCCGTCTCAAAAAAAAAGAGAGATGGCTCTGTTGTCCTGTTGCTGTGATTCCTGGAAGCCATCCAGAACAGAGCCATCCAACAGACAGAGCCACATGGGGAACCAAAGAGAGGAAGTGGGGAGATTCATGTCACACATGAGTCAGGGTTAGAGGTGGAGCCTGGACTAGAATCCTGCTCTCTTGACTTCCAGTCCAGGAGTCACCCAAGCCACACTGCTGTCCTGGAGGTCTCTGTCTCAGGGGCTTGTGGGGTCAGGACAGGATCAGAACAAGAAGGGTGTACACTGCGCCCTCATCCTAGATACTGTCAGCTGCCACGCCTGGGGAGGCAAAAGAGAAGGAGGCCATCTCTTCACCCAGGGCCTTAAAAATGGGGGCCTGGCAGCATCACTTCCTCTTCTGATTCCCTGACACTTCTATGAGGGTGGCACACACTAGGCCTCTGAAGATCAGATCAAAATGAGCACCAAAGGAAAGTATTAGCTTCCATCTTCAAATACGCAGATGGGGAAAGTATTCCCAGAGTGGGTAATTTCGAGGGCAAATGGCCTGTAAACCAACTCTGTCAAAGGATTCCAGGCTGTTAACGGAAGCATAGTTTCTACAAGGGAGCGGAAGGTTTTTTCGGTTTCTCCTTCTGGGAACACTAGAATATGGACATTGTCAAGGTACACATCTCTAGCGCAGAGGGGACAGGAGGGAGAGAGAAATCCTATCTGGCTGGAACGTTAGGAGCAGTAGTGCTTCAGTCTACAGTAGTGCTTCTCAAATTCTCTACCCCAAGTGTGCTCTCATAGGCATCTCTTGAGGACTGTTGGAAGTGCACCACCTCAGGCCCATCCACCCAGGCCTGCTGATTCAAAATCTGCATTGCAGAGATTCCCGGGGTGATTTATCTGCACATGAGTTGCAGCGTAAGCAGCACTGCTCTAGACCAGTGGGCCTCAGCTTAGGCTGTACTTTGTGATCACCTGGGGAGATTTAAATCTGTGAATGACTGTTTTGTCCCTAGAGTTTCTGAAGTATTAGTAATTAGCCTGATCCTAAAAGCTCCCGAAGTGATTTTAATGTGAAGCCAGGGGTGTGAGGCACTGTCCAGAGAAGAGAGGGCACAAGGGGCCCTAGAATATGCCCCAATTCTAGTAGGGCTGTTATGGGGAAGAGGACTCCAACTTCTCTGTGGCCCTTGAGGGTAGAGCAGGGGCTAGGAGGAAAATCTCAGGGGTAGATTGGCATTAGGAACAGTGAAGAACTTTCTCACAGGCAGAGCTGCCCAAAACCAGAATGGGTTGTAAGCTCCCTCACCGGGGACAGCCGAGCAGAGACCAATGCTCACTCAGATGGAGTGTGGCAGGAGGGTTTCTTATCAGAAAGGGAGGTTCCAGTTGACCATGGGGTGGTGGGTGGTCAAGGCCTGAGCTGAGCAGTGCAGTGATGATGAGTGACCTCTGCCCCCCAACCCTCTCTCCTATGTAGGGACAGTGGCTTCTCCAGCCAGGGTGTGGACACCTATGTGGAGATGAGGCCTGTCTCCACTTCTTCAAATGACTCCTTCTCTGAGCAAGGTGAGGAGGTCCCAGGGCCAGGCCCCATTTGCTTGATAACAAGGGAAAAGGAGAAGGGGCTGCTGGGGTGAGGGGTGGGGAGTGTGGCAGGGCTGCCCTGACGCCTCTTCCCACCCTAGACCTGGACAAGGAGGATGGACGGCCCCTGGAGCTCCGGGACCTGCTTCACTTCTCCAGCCAAGTAGCCCAGGGCATGGCCTTCCTCGCTTCCAAGAATGTGAGTAGGAACCTGGCCCTGGCTCATAGCCACCCAGGTCTGTGCTCCGGGGAGGCTGGATGAGTGACGATGGGGAGGAGGAAACGGGAGCCTGTGAGGGGGTAGGGGAGGAGACAGAGTATGAGAGAGTCATTTGGGCAGCAGCTGCAAGGATGAGTGGGAGAAAGCTGTGCCCAGGGCTGGAGCTCTGGGGCTGGGCACCTGTGTCCCCAGCGTGAAGATGAGGAAGGGTACCAGGCTTTCTTCATTCGTTTTTACTAAATAGTGTATGAGAGACAACAGTTGTCTCTGCTCATAAAGCACGCGGTCTGGTGGGGATGATAACGGAAGCTTCCTCAGAATTTTGGGGATATTAGATAACGTATAAAGTGCGCTCGGCCTAGGAAGAAGTGCCAGGGAATGGGAGCTCTTGCCATCTTCCTTAGAACAGATTCGGGAGTCAGTGGTTTGATTGTTGGCTCTGCCACCTGCTCCGTGACTTTAAGCAACTATTTAAATTCTGTGCCTCAGTTTCTACACCTATAAAAATGGGCATAACGATTGTTGAAAAGAAAAAGGGTTCAATGTGTGCAGAGTTTAGGGAAGGGCCTGGCAGATAGCAGCTGCTATGATCAGAAGTAACGGTAGGGTTTGGAGACTGCTCTCTGCACGGAAGCCCTTCGCTTCTGGGGCCTGAGCAGACCAGTCAGAGGACAAAGGGTGAGAAGGGCCATGGCTGCTCAGGGTAATGGGGGTTTCTAAGCATTAAATGATCAGATCACGATACACATTCTCAGATCCTGGGCCCTGGTAGAAGGTATAGACAAGGGTTTGTGGTAAAGGACCAAAACTGTTGTTCACTCCAGCAGGGACTCCAAAGCCATGTGGGGCCCTCCCTGCCATCCTCCTCACCTCAGGCTCAGGTAGGAGAAGGCCCAAGACTAACCCTGCAGTGCTTTCCCTCAGTGCATCCACCGGGACGTGGCAGCGCGTAACGTGCTGTTGACCAATGGTCATGTGGCCAAGATTGGGGACTTCGGGCTGGCTAGGGACATCATGAATGACTCCAACTACATTGTCAAGGGCAATGTAAGTGCTGGGAGGGCTTGGGCCAGGCTGGGGAGGGGGTGAAGAGTCGGGGCCCAAAATAACTGGGGACTGTCATCCCAGGCCCGCCTGCCTGTGAAGTGGATGGCCCCAGAGAGCATCTTTGACTGTGTCTACACGGTTCAGAGCGACGTCTGGTCCTATGGCATCCTCCTCTGGGAGATCTTCTCACTTGGTGAGCCACTGGGCCCACTCCAGGCAGAGCCTGGGGCTGGCTCCTCTGGTTGCCCCACTGGTGGACAAAGCTGTTTGGTGCCCAGGACACAGCGAGGGTTGGTGAGAGTGCAGGAATGGGCAAGGGCTCTCGAAACCCAGCATCGTGGCTCCTGCGGGACTCGGCAGACCCTCTGCCCCTGACAGGCGCTCCTTTCTGGCTCTTCCCTCGTTTGTCTCTGCTCAGTTGCTGTTACCTGTTACCCTCCTTTGTCACTGTTTCCCTCCTTTGTCTGAAATCTACAGACCCTTGAAGATGCAGCTCTCTACTACTAGGCTCTAGTAGAAAGAACTGCTATTTCCCGAGGACTAGGCACAAGGACTTGTACTCAGTTCTTAAATACGCTGCTCCTATACCCTCATAACCACCTGACTGTCCACACTTTAACGATACACAGCTGAAGCTTTGGTCTGATTCCAAAGCCTGTGCAAGAATGTTTGGTGTGATAAGGCCTGGATAGAGGCTCACACCTTCCTAAAGCCTAAGCCTGCCACACACTGGCTGGCACACAGGAAGCACCGGGTAAGAGTAGCTGCTGTTGCAGTGTTGTCAAGTGGGACCCTTTAAACCCAGTCTAAGATGTGTGTGGGTGTGCGGGAATGGGGAGAAGACAATGGGCATGGCCTCTTACCTGATCTTGGCCTTTGCAGGGCTGAATCCCTACCCTGGCATCCTGGTGAACAGCAAGTTCTATAAACTGGTGAAGGATGGATACCAAATGGCCCAGCCTGCATTTGCCCCAAAGAATATGTAAGCGAAGGGATCCCAGGGAGGGAAAAGGACACCCCAGGCTTTCGCTGGAAAGGGATGGAAGGCCGTGTGGCCCTGATCTTTCCCTGTCCAAAATGTTCCAGGGTCAGACTTTATCTCTCCCATAGTGGACACAACAAGCCCCTTTTGAGTTCAAGCTATGGGGGATGTTCTCAGAGAAGCAGCTGTTCACTAGGGCTGGTCCTAACCGACCACTTTTCCTTTTTTTTTTTTTTTTTTTTTGAGACAGCATCTTGCTCTGTAGCCCGGGCTGGAGCGCAGTGATGTGTGCAATCATAGCTCACTGCAGCCTCAATCTTCAGGGCTCAAGCAATCCTTTGGCCTCAGCCTCCCAAACAGCTGGGACTACAGGTGTGCACCACCAAGCCCAGCTATTTTTAAAAAATTTTTTAGTAGAGATGGGATCTCACTATGTTGTCCAGGCTGGTCTGGAACTCCTGGCCTTATGCAATCCTCCTGCATCAACCTCCCAAAGTGTTGGGATTACAGGAATGAGCCACTGCACCTGTCCCTAAACAGACTTTTAAGAGATCGTTATTACAGTTACCCTGAGGATACCAAAATGGCCTCATCTGTCAGAATGAGGGTGATGAGAGTACCCTTCTGCAAGGGTTACTGTGAGGATTAAATGGTAAAGCATGCCAAGGACTTGGCATAGGTTTTATACTAAACTTACTTTGACTGGGTTTGGGGACCTCTGCTGGGTAGGTCTCTCTAGGGGTGTGTGTTAATGGCCCCTGGACCCTAGGGAGCTGCCCATGGGCATCCTCTGTCCTATCTCCCAGATACAGCATCATGCAGGCCTGCTGGGCCTTGGAGCCCACCCACAGACCCACCTTCCAGCAGATCTGCTCCTTCCTTCAGGAGCAGGCCCAAGAGGACAGGAGAGAGCGGGTGAGTGGGGTGAGGCTTGGGGTGGGTG